>NC_000008.11:139641234-139943312 GCF_000001405.40 Homo sapiens | reverse complement strand
GGTGAATCACCTGAGGTCAGGAGTTCGAGACCAGCCTGGCCAACATGGCAAAGACCCAGCTCTACTAAAAACACAAAAATTAGCTGGGCGTGGTGGTATGCACCTGTAGTCCCAACTACTTGGGAGGCTGAGACAGGAGAATCGCTTGAACCCAGGTGGCGGAAGTTACAGTGAGCTGACATCGTACCACTGCACTCCAGTCTGGATGGCAGAATGAGACTCTGTCTCAATTTAAAAAAGAAAAACAAAATTCTACCTCTTGGACATCTCGAATCTCAGTTTTGTTCTTTTCTCCTTAGCTGGACTTCACTGACTCTGCTCCATGCACACCAGGTTCAGGAGTAAGCCAAAGCTCTGGGCAGATTCTATGTACAACATTCTGGACTCCTGCTCTCGGCCCTCTCCTTTCCTGAACTCTCCCTCCCTTTCCCTTGCTGTGGTTGCCCCAAACTCTGTCTTCAGACTTTTTGGCCAAGGAAGATGGCAGAGTCTCTCCCCGAGCTTTCGTTTCCACGTGGTGCTGACTCGGCCTGTCCTCAGACAAGAAGTCATAAAGGAAGGGTACCTGGCACCGTGGTTTTCCTTCTTCCGGGTGTCTGTTCTCTGTTCTCTCGACTATGTCTGTTTTTCTTTTCCTGCCAGTGCCTTCAGGTTGCTTATTAAAAAAAAATGTGTCCAGAATTTATAGTAATTATTTGCAGGAGGCTTTGGAGCTTGCTCAGATGTACTGGAACTTTTCTACTTTTCCAACTTTCACGCTTCCCCAGTTTATCTGACTGTGGAACTCTTGTTACACCTATTAAGCACCAATAAGAAGTTCTGGGGATGACGGTTTTTCTCAGGTGTCTTGAGAATGGTTTTTCTCAAATTCTGTCTCTAGCATCTTGCCTCCATTAGAAGCTCTTAAGATTCTCATGATTTTTTTTAAAAATAAAATGACCAATGACCAAATTTCTGATCCAAATAAGAACACTTGTTGGGTCAATGCCCAGGGATTCAATAAATAACTATTGGGTGTCTATTCCTTAACCGACCCTAGGAAGGTAAAATGCCAAAATGAGGGAGAACCCTCGTGCTCAGCAGGCGGAGATGTCATCACCCTTGCTGAGAACTAGAGAAGGGTTGCTACGTGGCCGCCCCCTGTTATTACCATCCCGAGTCACCGTCCACAAAGTGTTCTCATATCCGTCAGCCCAGTTCAGTGTTCACAAATCAGTAAGGCGAGTCTTTTAATTTGTAAAACACAGAAAAGGACACTAAGGCTTGAGAAGGTAGGTGACTTAGTGGAGGGAGCTGGGTTCCATCCCAGATGGGTTTGCTTCTGGAGCCTGTGTTCTTCATACACCCTCATGTGTCTCTGTCCTTCCTGCACACCGATCTGCAGGACCCTCCCCATGGGGCTCCTTCAGATATGCTCTGGCACTGTCTCCCATTTGCCTTAGGAAGAAGTTTGCAGAACAGTGTGGCAAACCCATGCCCGGAGCCCATGTGGGCCAGAGACTGAGCCCAGGGGTGCAGAGTGGAATATGCCCTCTGCCCAGCCTGCCTCCTGCTCGGCCAGCCTGCCCTGAGACCTTCACTGAAATGCTTGCATTTGTCGTGTTTGGGAGCACTGGCTTGCCACAGTTACAGTCACGCTGTCTGGGCAAACCAGTCTGTTGTAGATACCTGTGACTAGCCTTGGAAAATTCCTTTCCTTGTGCTGTTGAATTGGATGGTGATGTTACCACTTGGCACAGTCTCTCTCTGCCTTTGTTAAGGCTAAACAGGATGAGGGCACTGACTGCCCTCCTGCCAGCCCCTGGCCTGCCCTCCTGCCATACTGGGCCCTCTGTGTCCCATTTTCACTCCTACTCTTCTAGTCTTGCAACTGAGAGCACAGCCTCTTCCTACAGTAAGAGGGCCCCACCCTGAATCCTCACTTCTGGGCATTGGGGCAGCATCTCAGCCCCACTTCCTGGCTAGGGGCTGCCGGCCCTCCAGGGAAGTGGACAAACTACTTCTGCTCTGACGGCCTCTGTTGTTTCCCTGTGAGGCTTCTGCAGCCCCAGGGTCCTGGTCATGGTGCGTGTGGACTGCACCCTTCTCACCTGGCAGCCTCCTGTGAAGGCTGAGGGCCGGGGAGGATGCCCACCCGCTCTGAAGACTAGCCAATCGTGCCTGCCCAAGGCTCTGCTGCCCTGTTCTTCAGTGTCTGCAGCTGAGGCCCAGACAGGCATTTCCATTTGCCCATGCCAAGGGGTTCTGGGCCTGCCACAGAACCAATCATGTGGGTCCACCCCAGGTATGTCCCAGTGAGGACAGTGATGGGAGATGCTACCCCAACCCCCCTTCATAGGCTGCTGTGGGTGCCCGGCTTATGCACTTTACTATCGCAGATGCCTGGGGACACCCACAGCCTTGTCCCCTTCCCCAGCTCCCCTTCACCCTGGCCCAGCGCCCTGCCGGAACTCAGCCTCCCTCTGTGTGGAAGAGTGAATTCATCCCTCCCTAGGGTTCCAGCCACCTCTGCTGTGGTTGGCTCCTAATTTCCAAAGCTCTGTACGGCCATGAGGTGGGGAAGGAGGAAGAGGGACGTTGGCCAAGGTGCCTGTGGCTCCTCTCTGGCTGATTTGGTCATAGCTTCTTGGAGGAAGTTCTGTGGGTGACAGTGGAGCTGCCATTGGCCTAGCTGGAGCGTGGCCCCTGCCCTGTGTCCCTGCCGGCCCCTCTGCACCTTTGAGCCCAGGCCTGTGACTCTGCTGAGTCTGGGGCTGCCGCTCTCCACGTCCTGCCTCTGCAAGGAGGGAGCAGATATACTCTAGCTATGTGTCTGATTCATTTGCTTTTCAATTTTTAAAATCCCCCCCATTTCATTATGTTTCATTTCATTCCTTCTGGCACTATGAGGTTTTTCACAGTATGAAATTGAAAATGAAGATGATGACGATGATAATATTTGTTGGAATAGAGCATAGCAAAAACTCCCCAATTAACACAAACTTCAGTATCTGATGTCTTCCCTGTTTCTCTGTCTAGTAATTTGTGTCAGTGTCTAGAGAGATGGTGGAGAAGATGTATTAAGAAAAACTTGACTGCCAGAACTGTTCAGAAGTAAGAGAGACTTGGGGGCAGTAACCCACCTGCGCTCCTTGTGTCTGAGGGTGGAGGCCGTGGCGGATCCTGTAAGACAGGGGTGAGGGGAACTGATGATGATGTGTTCCAACCAAACGACGGGAATCCCAGACGTGTGGCCAGCAGGCCCAGTCCAGCTCGCAGGTATATTTGGGCTGCCTAGGGTGAAAAAAGAAACAACAAATTGAGCTGTCATTGTAAAAATATAGGAATTTCAGATTCAATCTCGTTTCTGGTTCTCTCGAGAGATCAGGAGCTGGAGCTGTGCAGAGCCGCATGCTGTGGCCTGGCTGCCAGAGGGGCAGGCCTTTCCCGCAGATGAGACCTGCACCTGCCTCTGCACCAGCCTCCCTCTCTTCCTGGGCCCTGGAGGCATTTTTGTTGCCATTCTGAACTTAGAGATTTCTTTCCAATTCTAGGACTTAGGAACTGAAACTGTTTTGGGCAATACTGAATAAGCCATGATCAGATGTGACCAGGCTGTTGTGGAGCCACAGAAGGTGGGAGCACTTGCTGAAAAGGACCAGAGGGAGGCACAGAGCCCCCAGCGACGGGGTGGCCTGGGACACGGGGCTGCCAGGATGCACATCAGCCCCACGACAGGGGTGCTTCCCACACCTGCAGGCCTGCAGCTTCAAACAGGAGCCTTTGTGGACCTGGACGGGTTGGGAGCAGATCCTGCCCTGGGAATGGGGACTGGGAGGGTGGGCTGAGGGTCTCGGTTGGGGAGGCTCTGTCCTTTTAGCCCCATGCGGCGTGCTGGACCACCTCCTTCTGGAGTTTCCTCACTCGCCAGGGGCTGCCCTCTCTGGCTCGCCCCGCTTCCCGGCCCCCTCTCAGGTGCTGGCACCTGCCCGCCACGCCTCTTGCTGTGTGTTGTCCACTCACCTCAGGGCCCTGGCTCCTATGCTCCTTGACCTCTCCAGACCCCGGTGTCCAGCAGAGGTGTTATCTCTTCCAGGACCTTCCTTGGACTCTGGGCTTTCACCCATTCTCTGGCTCCCATGGCAAATGTCCCCCAAATATAGCCCTTAGCGAAGTATGGTGGAGTTGCCTGCTCACTTGTCTGGCCAGTTCTTTGAGTACAAGTCATGTTTGAATGGCCCTTGTGTCCTGGTGCCTGTCGCCTGGAGAACAGTGGGCATTCCCTCCTGTCTGTCAAGTGGCAGGGAGGAATGGAGGAGCTGAATCTGAGGACATGGCACTTTATTCATTTGTCTTATTTCTCTCCTTTGGCCTTAAAAAATTAATCGGGGCCGGGCGCGGTGGCTCACGCCTGTAATCCCAGCACTTTGGGAGGCCGAGGCGGGTGGATCATGAGGTCAGGAGATCGAGACCATCCTGGCTAGCAAGGTGAAACCCCGTCTCTACTAAAAATACAAAAAATTAGCCGGGCGTGGTGGCGGGCGCCTGTAGTCCCAGCTACTCGGGAGGCTGAGGCAGGAGAATGGCGTGAACCCGGGAAGCGGAGCTTGCAGTGAGCCGAGATTGCGCCACTGCAGTCCACAGTCCGGCCTGGGCGACAGAGCGAGACTCCGTCTCAAAAAAAAAAAAATTAATCGGGTATAGCTCTGTGTGTCTCAAGGAATTGCACATTTAACATAGACTGTTTCTAGCTGGGCACAGTGGCTCATGCCTGTAATCCCAGCACTTTGGGAGGCCGAGGCGGGAGGATCACGAGGTCAGGAGATCGAGACCATCCTGGCTAACACGGTGAAAACTCATCTCTACTAAAAAATACAAAATATTAGCTGGGCATGGTGGTGGGCGCCTGTAGTCCCAGCTACTCGGGAGGCTGAGGCAGGAGAATGGCGTGAACCCGGGAGGCGGAGCTTGCAGTGAGCTGAGATCGCGCCACTGCACTCCAGCCCTGGTGACAGAGTGAGACTCCGTCTCAAAAAAAAAATAAAGATAGACTGTTTCAAAGGACCCACTGACTGTGTGGTTTTCTATCTGATTTCGGCATAGGGACGGCTGAGTTGACACACAGGTGGGGCAGCTTTGTCAGGTTCCCAAAGACCTGCCAGGAAGCCATGGGTGGAGAGAGGCTGCTGCTTTATTGTTTCAATGCAGGAATGTATTTCTTATCCCTAATTGTCAATTGCATATCATTACAGACATTCTCCTATTCATATTTCAATGGTTGTGGCATTTTCAGTATTAAGCCAGACACCCAAAAGATTTTTCTGGCTGAGTTGATCTCCCACAAGGAGAACTCTGTTTTCAAATCCCCGAAGACTCAGGGCCACTGAGGAGGTGTCTCTGTGCATCTGGTAATGCATTTCACCTGTCGGCGTCCTGAGCCACAGCGGGCACCAGAGCGTGTGTGGAGCCCTGGTGGCAGCTGCTCAGCGATGGCTTTGTCAAGCGCTGGCCAGAGAAGGCTTCATTACCCATGTTTAACGCGATTAGAAACCGTGGCGGCAGCGGTAATAATACGTGACATTTGCGTCCGCATTTCCGCTTCACACTGCGCCTTCCAAGTGTTTTCATTCACTGCCCTGCCGTCTGCCAGGAGCACTTCCAGAACCGCCTCATTCTAATTCTCTTCCCTTCCTCTCCTTGCTGCCTCCAGTGTGGACGACGCTGGTCTCTCTGTTGGCTTACATTGATCCTCCCTCTCTCCTGGCCCCACTGGCCCCAGCACCGGCCCTGCCACCTCGGCCCTCCAGCCTCCGCCTGCTCCTGAAGCCGCTGCCCCCAGCGCTGTCCCCGCAGCGCCTTGGGCTCCTAGGAAGGGGATTTCTTTTCTTCTTTGAGATGTCAGCCCAACCCACAAAAATAACATGTGTTCATTTTAGAAAAGAAGGAAAAGTATGGAGAAAATAATGTTTGGATGACACGGAATCCCAGCATCCAGAGAGAATACCTCCCTCTCTGGGCCCGCACCCATATTGCTATCTGTGTCTACTTTACTTCATTCACACCAAATTGGGATCGTTTTGTGTTCACTCTTCTGTGCCTCTTCCCATAATATAAAAAGAGCTTTTACTGTTACTCTTCAAGAACACAGTGCAATGTCCTGTAGACACAGGGGGCTAAAGCAGCCCCCTCCTGGGATGCAGCAAGGTATGGTCTGACTTTGCTCCCCTCCAGCCTGAAGTCCAGCCCCACTCTCTCCATGCTTTATACCACACTGCAGTGCCCACTCCCCACTCTCTCCATGCTTTATACCACACTGCAGTGCCCACTCCCCACTCTCTCCATGCTTTATACCACACTGCAGTGCCCACTCGCCCACTCTCTCCATGCTTTATACCACACTGCAGTGCCCACTCGCCCACTCTCTCCATGCTTTATACCACACTGCAGTGCCCACTCCCCACTCTCTCCGTGCTTTATACCACACTGCAGTGCCCACTCGCCCACTCTCTCCATGCTTTATACCACACTGCAGTGCCCACTCCCCACTCTCTCCATGCTTTATACCACACTGCAGTGCCCACTCCCCTATTCTCTCCCTGCTTTATACCACACTGCAGTCCCCACTCCCCACTCTCCCCATGCTTTATACCACACTGTGGTGCCCGCTCCCCCATTCTCTCCCTGCTTTATCACCACACTCAGTGCCCACTCGTCCTGTGTGTGCCACACACTTACCTTTCGGCTCTCAGTCCTCGTCCTGGGGTGCCCTGCCCTTGCTCAGGGGCCTAGTGGCTCTGCTCTACCTTTAGAAGGCTCTAAGCCGAGTGACTTCCCCATGCTCCCACTGGATGGGCTCCCAGCTCTGGTACAGCGTCTGCCACAGCTCCGCATATAGGTGTCGACCTCCCCACTCACCATTTGTGCCTGATTGCAGGGGCTGCGCTTCCTTTGTCCTTGTGTTCATAGCATGTGGCCTTGTGCTCCTGGCAGAGCTGGCACTCAGCATGCATGTTATGAATGAAGAAGCGCACTGCCTGCCTCGGAAATCACTTTAGGAGGTGTTTGGGATTTTCCATCTCTAAATCCTCCTTCAGCAGGACTAAGAGCTGTGATGGTGCGTGCTAGACGGTTTGTTGGCCTGTGGCGCTCCTGGGCTCTGGTAGGCGCTATCTCAAAAGGGCCGGAGTTAGGGATGCCGGGAATCCAGGTGAGGAGTTTTAGAGTCTTCAGAGGCCAACAGGCGTGGAGCAGGTGAGGTGGAGGTCAGCGTGAGCATGTGACGCCACTCCAGGCCTGTGCTCGCACCAGGTTCCCCAAGCCCTGGGCAGGAGTGGCCCTCCCCACATGGTGCAGGCTTCCCCATTGTGGGACTGGAGCAGGAAAGGTCACATGCCATCCTGACACTGCATTTCCAGCTCCATCCCTTTGGGTGACTAGTGTGGCATCTGTGTGCCTCAGTTTCCCCATCGGTGAATGAGGAAGGGTTCTTGTATGGATGAAATGAGGTGATTGTTCTGAAGTTGTGTTAAATTGTAAAACACTAAATAATGGTAGGCTATAATAGCAAAATAATTCTTTTGTTACTGTCATCAAGTGACTTGCCCGAGTTCATACGGCAAATAAGTTGAGCTTAGAACAAATGTAAAAAAAAAAAAAAAAAAAAAGCAAAGACTGAAGAAGCATATTTTAACTAAGAGATGCTTTTCACAAAAATGCCATATCATATCATATCCCTGTTTCCCAGCTTGGAGCTCTGGGAAGGAAGCTAGATACCATCCTCTTCTCTCTTTTTTATAGGCAAGGAGCTAGAAAGGGAGGGGAGGACTCAAACACACTGGTCATGGACTTGCCTGGGACTGTCTGCACACGCAGTCCATTCTCTCTCATTGAATTCCTGTAAGAACGTCATGGGATAGACGTTTTTTCTTATTTTATAGATGAGGAAATTGAGACCCAGAGAGGTGAGGAAATAGTCAAAGGTCTCAGAGCTGGCAGGTCACCCTGTAACCCTGAGAAGCAGACAGGATACGCGAGAGCTCCCAAACACAAAAGCACGTGTAATTTTTTAGAAATCTTTCCCCTCTCCTTCCCTGGCAGCCACTACATTGAAGAACCCCCGAGTCTACCATTTTGGGGTTCTAGGACAGAAGGTCCTGCACGCAGACATCAGTAGGCTTTCATTCACCATGCACCTTCTCTCGCACGGTGATGTCTTGTCTGGTCTTTCGGGGCTCCCATGAGATCACGTACCGGGAGGGGCTGAAATCCTGAGCAGTGAAGTGACAGGTCTCCTAGGGAATACCTGTGGTCCTCTGTCTTCTCCGTGTGATGTACCAGAGACTCTGTGAACATTGTCTTGCCTAATTCTCACAACAAGCCTGGGAAGCAGGTGTCCTGGCAAGACCTCGGAAAGCTAACCTGGTTTGACCCAGCCCACAAGTAGGACTTGGCAGTGCTGGGGCTCCTATCTCAAGTCTGAGAGTCTGAGTGGCTGCAGGTCAGTCACTTCGTCCTTTGGCCAGCGCTGTCCTGCCCAGAGCCATGTCCCCTATCTGAGCGAACACTGACCGAGGAACCCTTGCGATTGGGCCCCATGTGTCTACTTGCAAGATCAGAAGGGCGCGCCTTCCCCAGTCTGCAGGGATGGGGCCTCCTGTGGCCACATGTGCAGCCTGGAGATTCCTCGGCGGATGGAAGGCAGTTTCCTGAAGGTGGAAGAGGATTGAAAGAGAATTGCTGAGCGGTTTAGAAGTGATGACTCAGACAGGGGCTGATCATTAAGTAAAAAACTCTCTCTACACTATGAGTACCACTGAAATAGCACCAGGAAAGCCAGTCAGCAGTGCATGGCCTACAAGAGATTGGAAGAATGAAGTTTCAAGAGCCCAGGTTTTCCATTGTCTGTGCAAATTGTCATTGATGGTGGTAGAATATTTGTCATTATTGTCACTGCTAACTGTAATGACAGGAGACACCCCTGCCAGGTAGCCTGTGCACGCTCCTGCTGTGCGTACAGCTACTCTCATCTTCTCTCTCTCTCTCTCTCTCTCTCTGACTGGACTTGAAGTCAGGGATTCAGCCACATTTGCCTAATCTCTCTGTCTCTCTCTGATTGGACTTGAAGTCAGGGATTCAACCACATTTGCCTAAAACAGTGGCTGTTAGTGTCGGCACACAAAGCATTTTGTTGAATGAATGAAGGCAATCACATAGCTTAACCTGTTTTACAAAAAATTTGTTTTCAAAAATGAATTCTGCTGAGTATAACTTCTCACAGAGGTTTCTATAACGTAGTAGCAGCTAAGGATGGAGAAATATGGACAGGATGGTATTACGATCATGTAGGTTTATAAATAATAGATGACACCTACTAGCAACCACATAGCATAGTAGATGCTTTTGCTATACTATTTCTCATCTTTACCTTAATCCTTCGTGACATTATTGTTGCTGCTTTATAGATAAAGAAATTTGATGGGTTATGTAATTTACCGGAGCTCACACGGCTACGTAAGGTGGATCTGGAATCCATAGCGGTCCAGAACTGATCATGGACTTTGGTTAATCTCAAATATGTATGAATTGATTCCCAAAACTTTGTGTGGGAAGAGCAGAAACCAAGACAGGGATTGGCCAAGGGCAGGGATGACAAAAATGCTGAGCAAGTGTAAGTAGAAGAGTCGAGTTTGGGTTGCAGCCAGTGTGGTCCTCAGGGAGGCAAGACCGGGCCACGCGGTGCAGAGATCTGGGCAAAAGCGTGGAGAAGCGGCCGCGGTGGGCGGGAGGCGTCTGATCGAGGGCTCAAGACGCTGGCCCTGTGGTTTCCGTGGCCTGTGTCTGCCCAAATGGGTCCTATTCTGCCCCCACATCTGAAGGTTATAACTCTTGCTCTGTTTTGTTCAAGGCTGTGCGCTGAGTGGATCAGTGGGAGGCAGGACTTCCTTCCTGCAGGAGAGATGATATCTCCCTTGGCAACTTGGTTCTATCAGCACTGCGTATAATGTAGTTTCCATACTCATTGATTCATTCACAGTTCAACACGTATTCATGCGCTAATTAGGCTCTATTCCTTAAATGTTAGAAGAGATCTTAGTTGTGGAGTTTTCTGCTTTAGATGGAGCAGGTAGGCACAGAATCCAGGTACGATTCAGAGCACTGTTCCCTAGGGCATGTCCTCAAGGCAGCTGGAGAAACAGCTTGGTCACAAAGAATCATGCAAAAAACAAACACTGAGGAAGTCCATGGGTAGACAGCGGAGGGGCTGGGGTCTCGAGAAGAGAGATGTTGCTCCCGGCGGGGAATGAGGAGATGCTTCTGGAAGTAGTGGCTTTTTTGCGCCATGCCTTGAAGAGAAAGCATTTGTGCACCGGAGCAGAGGTGCAGGGGCGTTCCGGGAAGAAGAGCTGTATGATTTTTTTTTTTTTTTTTACCAGCTTATGCTGTGGTAACAGACTATTCCTAAATGTCAGTGACTATAAGCATGAGTTGACATCTTCTTACATTACATGTCAACGAGAGGTTGGCTGGGGCCTTGGGACCCTGCCCTGCATGACAGTGCTTTTTTTTTTTGAAGACACAGTCTCATTCTGTTGCCCAGGCTGCAGTGCAGAGGTACCATCTCGGCTCACTGCAACCTCCACCTCTGGGGTTCAGGCAATTCTCGTGCCTCAGCCTCCCACGTAGCTGGGACTACAGGCATGTGCCAACACACCTGGCTAATTTTTTTTGTAAATTAGTAGAGACGGGTTTCACCATGTTGTCCAGGCTGGTCTCGAACTCCTGAGCTCAGGCAATCCACCTGCCTCGGCCTTCCAAAGTGCTGGGATTACAGGCGTGAGCCACCGCGCCCAGTGTCTACATGACATTTCTACCCCAGGAGTCAGGTCAGCCAACATCTTGTACTTATGACGGGAGAAAGAAAGGGAGCCATACCACGTGGTGGTCCAGCGTGCTTCTGATCCAGTGTGGCATATGTCACTCTGCTCAGGTCCCGTGGCCAAGGACCTGTGGCCAAGCCTGACATCCACGAGGTGGGGACATTCTCCCATGGTGGCTACCCTGAGCGAGGCCCCGTGGTGCGGGACTCCCTCGGCTGCACGGCGAAGTGGCTCTGTGGGCTGCCTGCGGGGCCTGCCTGGCTGGTTTCTCCTTGTTCCTCCCTGTAAGGTCAATGCTTCTGAGCACCAAAGCCCTGCCTTTGGGCCAGCACCCCGCCCTCAGCCGCACATCAACACCTCTGCGGCCTCTTCTATCTCCTTTTGAATTGTATTATTGCTCTTAGGTGCTCTTGTAATGCTGGACAAATTCTCTGTGAATAAGGGAAAAAATTGAAGCATAAATCATCCGGAGAGTAGCATTTTCTAATTTGGATGTGTGGCAAAACAACTCTGGGTGATTTTTATTCTTTATTTTCAACACAGAATTTCTCTGACAGGCCATCGTCAGCTGCTATAGAGCAATAAATCAGAGTCATCTTTTCCGGGTGAAATGGGCTTAATTTCTCATCCTTTTGTTCGTGTTTCCCTTCCTCTTCTACCGCATGGCACTTGTAATCCTAATGATGCTGTGATGAGATATGATGGTCAGAGCCTCAGACTTATCAGGATGGGCTGACAAATCGTGGAGATCCGCACTGGTCCCACACCCGCCTCTGCTCAGGCGGGCAGGATGTAGATCTGCAGACTGGACCAGCTCAAGTTGATAGCCCCGTAGCATGCAGAGAAAGGAGCACTTTCCAGACCGCGGGGCCCAGAGGCTCAGGTCCAAAGCTTTGTGTGACCTCTGGGCTTGGCTTTTTGTACAATGAGAGCTTTGGACTAGGTGGTCTTCAAGGTCAACTGTAAAATCCTTGACACCACAGACAGGGTTCCAGTGGGCACCTGCCTTAAGGTGCGTGCCAGCCTCTGTGGAAGAGTGTTCATCCTTCTTTCTAGGGCTGTGGTTGTGGGTGATTGCACTAGGAAAGACTTGCAGAAACTGTCATTGTGGATATTTGCCACGTCATTAACCTCAGTCTCCTCCTCTGTGAGATGGGGATGTCAGGATCCAGCTCCTATGGTTGCGGTGAGGATTACGTGTATGCTCGGCTCTACTGCAGCTGGTGTTCAGTGAGTGGCAGTTGTCTATGGTTAATATTCTCATTTTTCAGATTAGAAAACTGAGCCTCATGAGGTCGAAGTGTTTCCCGAGGATCTCACAGCTTGCGGTTATAGAGGTGGGGTTAGAATCATCTAGAAGCTCTTTTCCTCACCCCTTTGGGGCAGTTTGGGAGGTGGGAGGACAAGAGCCAGGGCCTCGGGGTTGCTTCCTGGACAGACAGGGAACAGGCTCCATGACCTGAGGGCTGATTCCAGCAGGGTGGGCACCCTGCATGTGCCTTTTTCCATACCTATGAAAGGGGGCACCACCGAGTGCAGAGTCAATGAGCTAATGCAGGTGTCCAGCGTACACTGAGCACTCAACAGTGTTGCTGTCGTCGTGATTTCATCCTCATAACCCTTGGGTGGCCCCGTTTTCGCCTCCTTCCCTGTTTTGAGCGTCTCCTCAGAGGGTCTCATCTATGAGACAGCGGTGGAATGAGGCTGGGTTTCTAAGGGAGCTCCAGCTCTGGAAGGCCGGTTACTAGGATTGGTTGAAAACGAAATCTCATTGCAAAATAAGTTCCCTCCTCCATGGGGCTAAACACGGGGGATGCTCCTTATTGTATTTGACGGGTCTAGAAGGATCAAGATGGCCTTTGAATATTAATCTGTCACTGGTACCATTTTGTCTGTTTGATGTCTAGGATGGAAAAAAGAGGGGTGTGACTATCTCCTGTCTGATGCGAGCATTGCTGCTTGGAAAGCAGAACAGAAGTCCCTTTCCAAGGCTTGGCTCTAGTCATCGACCCCCTTGTTTTCCCTGTGATCCTGAGCCACCCACCTGCCCTACCGACACCACGGGAGAAGTTGACTGGCGAGAACCGTGTTGTGTGAGCGCGCTGGCCTTGCCACTGCTCACCTTGGCTGTATCTTGTTCACGTTACACATCAACTCCCGGCTGGCGCAGCCCCACTGCCCCACACTATAAGCCTTCCCATCTCAGGAGTTGGGATGGAGGGGTAAACATGCATTAAGATAGTGCGTAGAAGGCTTAAGGGTCTCAGCTCTTCCTGAGTGTCACCCCCTTGGCTGTCACCTCTTAGGCATCTGGGAGGTCCCAGAAATAAGAGAAGTGAAGTTATGCTTGTTCAGCCCCTAGCATATGCCATTCACGATGCTCAATGTTTTCTTTAAATTACCTGTTCATAACAGAGAAGTGTAGAGAATCGGCAGAATCCACGCACAGTGCCAAACACGTATATTGATGGCCTTCTGTGTGTCAGGTGCTGCTCCTGAGGACTGCACCTACAAGGTGGTGCTTGCTCCATTTTACAGGACATGGAAGGGTCTGAGGCAGAGAGGGGCTGGGCTGGAGATGAGGATGGAAAGGTGGGGAGGGCAGACCCCAGAGGCCCATCCCAGCTTAGCCTGCTCTGCTGGGCCTTCCTTGAACACCTGGCCAGCGCTGCCCAGGCTTGCTGGGTGACCAGCCAAGGGACCTGAGTCCACTCCCCACACACCTATGTGTCGGGTGCATGGCACCATGGTTCCTGAAGCAGCAGGGCATATGCAGAAACATGGTTTCAGAAGAGGACAGTATTCTTCTGGAAGACCATGGAAGCCTGTAGCTCAGGAAGAAGCAGCAGGCAGCACGGTAACTCTGTGTGGAGAGAAAACCAAAGCCAAGAACTGAGGCTGCCCGAAGCACAGGACAGCTCAGCTTTTTTTTTTTTCTCATGATCCGCCCACCTCGGCCTTCCAAAGTGCTGGGATTACAGGCGTGAGCCACCACGCTCGGCCCCCTCCCTTTTTTTTTATTGTAAGCCTGGGACCACTGCTGTGTTTGAGAACGGCATTGCACTAAAGTTATTTCAAGGCACCTTGTCTTAACTCAAATGTATCAGACGTTATCTGTTATCCTGGTGACCCCAAGCTTTCAGTAGATTCATGTATTGATCATCCACTCTGTGCTGTGCTTTGTAAGACTTTAGAGACATCGTTGTTTAAAATGTGACAGTCATGGTTCCTACCTGTGTGACTTTGTCAGGGAAAGTGACAGAAAAGTATATAAAACCTAAAATGTAGAAGCTTGTTAATTAATTAATTAATACATTTTTAAGAGAGTGGCTTCTTTATTTTAAACAAATAGAACTAAAAATAATTCCCGATTTCGTGAAGTATTTGCTAGTCATAGATTTTCCACAAGATGGGATTGCCATTGGCGTGCACAGCACCAGCTTGGGCACCCTCCCGCGCCCACGCACACGTCTCCCGTAAGCAACATCGAGGGGCGTGATGCTTGCAAGGCGTTGTCTTAGGGACCGAGGAGAATCAACAGACTGTGATGCAAGGGACTGTGGAGAATCAACGGGCTGTGATGCATTCTTCCTCTCCAAACACCTGTGGTTTCCTAGAGATAAAAATGCACCCACAAAAGGGTGAGACAAGACCCTGTGAGCGCCATACACAGACTGTACGGTGCCTTGGGATTCCCAGGAAGGAACTCTCAGGAGTGGAGAGAGGGCAAGACACTGTGGCCAGCACACAAGCATGGAGATGGCGTGGAGAATGCGTCACCTCCAGGGCTGGGACAGACCTCCCAGCCACGCACTCACCCAGTACCGACAGCAGCTCTGAGGTCGGTCGATGCTGTGGGCTTTTCCATTGTACACACAAAGGCCTTGAGGTCAAGGAACTTCAGTCTCTTGCCAGGCCTAAGATTTGAACCCAGGTGTTTCTTTTGTTATTTTCTTTTTTTTTTTGAGATGGAGTCTCACTTTGTCACCCAGGCTGGAGTGCAGTGGCGCCATCTTGGCTCACTGCAACCTCTGCCTCCTGGGTTCAAGCGATTCTCCTGCCTCAGCCTCCTGAGTAGCTGGGATTACAGGCACCCACCACCACACCCAGCTAATTTTTGTCTTTTTAGTAGAGACGGCATTTTGCCATGTTGGCCAGGCTAGTCTCGAACTCCTGACCTCAGGTGATTCACCTGCCTCAGCTTCCCAAAGTGCTGGGATTATAGGCATGAGCCACTGTACCCAACCCAAACCGAGGTGTTTCTGACTTTAGAAGACACACTTCTCCAGTGGTTTAGAGCCAGACAGTTTTGGTGGGGAGATATTTCACAGGGCTTGTCTTTTGGTACAACTTTATAGAAGGATTATTGTGGAAGAGTAAACCCTACATATTTAAAGTGTATAATTTGATCAGCTTTGATATGTGTCTATACGCAAGGAATTTTCAGCACATTCAGTATAACAAATGTTGCTATCACCCCCAAAAGTTCTTTGTGCCCTTTTGCAGTCTGTCCCACAGCAACCCCTGGCGTGCTTCTGCCGTGGATTAGCTCTTGTGTTCCAGGATTTTATATAAATGGGATCACATAGTGAGGACTTGCATTTGTCTGACATCACTCACTCAGCACAATGGTTTGGAGATTCATCCACGTGGTTGGCCTGCAACAATAGTTTGTTCCTTTTTGTAGTTGAGTATTTCATTCTTAAAGTATTCCATTATTTATGTATGCATTCGCCTGTTGATGGGCATTTGGGTTGTTTCTACTTTTTTGGCTATTGCTATTAAAGCTGCCATAACCATTCCTCAACAGACCTCTGCATAGACGTATTTTCATTGCTCTTGGTGAATATCTGGGAGTAGGATTTTGGCCCATATGATAGGTCTGTGGATAACTAAGAAACTACCAGACCAGGTCAGGTGCAGTGGCTCACACCTGTAATGCCAGTACTTTGGAAGGCTGAGGCAGGCAGGTCACTTGAGCCCAGGAGTTTGAGACCAACCTGGACAACATAATGAGAACTCATCTCTACTAAAAATAAAAAACATTAGCTGGGTGTGGTGGTGCACACTTGTAGTCCCAGCTACTCAGGAGGTTAAAGTGGAAGGATTGCTTGAGCCTGGGAGGTCTAGGCTGCAGTGAGCTATGGCTGTGCCACCACATTCCAGCTTGAGTAACAGAGTGAGACTGTCTAAAAAAAAAAAGAAAGAAAAGAAAAAATAGCAGATTCCCTTGCATGCTCCCATCAGCAGTGTGTGAGAGTTCTCGTTCTTCCACCCCAGTCACTGCCAATGCTTGATGTGGTCAGTCTGTTTCATTGTAGCTGTTCAAGTATGGGTGTTTCCCATTGTGATAGTTTGACATTTACATTTCCCCCATGACTGTGGATGCTGAGCATCTTCCCAAGTATTTATGGATTATTTGAAACTTTCTTTGATGAAATGTCTATTTAAATATTTTGCCTATTTTTCATTAGGTTGTTTGAGTTCATATTATTGGGTTTTGAGATTTCTTTATATAGTCTTGGATACAAATCTTTTGTCTAATCAATGTGTTGTGATTTTTTTTTCCCAGTCTTGATTTGCTTTTGAATATCAAAAGTTTTACATTTGATGCAGTTTAGTTTCTCAATATTTTCTTTTGTGACTTGTCTATCTTCAAGTTAACTTACCCTCTCCCCAGTTACCTCCATTCTACTGTTCTCCATTCAGGAGGTGTTTTTGTTTGTTTGTTTTTTTCTGAGGCAGAGTCTCACCCTGTCACCCAGGCTGGAGTGCAGTGGCGCAATCTCAGCTCACTGCAACCTCCGCCTCCCAGGTTCAAGCTATTCAGGAGTTTTTTTTTTTTTTTTATTTTAATTCATTGTATTTTTAAGTTGTAAAATGTCCACTTGCCTCTCTTTTATATTTTCTATTTCTTTGTTGTAAATTCCTATTTTTAAAACTTCATTTTGAATGTGTTTTCTTTTGTCACGGGAGTCTGGTTATAGCGGCTGCTTTAAAGACTGTCTTGTGGCTCCAGCATTTGGGTGATCTTGGGGTACCCATTCGTTCTTCTGAATCGATCTCGTTCCTGTTGTCAGTTTCCCATTGTGTCTTGGGCATTGTGGGTGTTATTTTTTGCAGACTGTGGGTTCTCTTGGGAGCCTCTGGAGAATAGTGATGATTTGTCTTGTCAGGTCCTCAGTCCAGTTAGGTTCAGACCTTAAGTTCTGCCTGGCCCTATTGGGATGGGAGGTCACATCTCAGCTCCTCAAGCTCACCTCCCCAGGCCTCTGCTGCATTGTTCTGGGTCTCTCCAGTGTGACTTGGTTAATTTTTAACAACCAGCCTTGGATCATAGCATTTGCTGATTTTTGTAGTGCAAATACTTGCCTTCTGGGCAATTTCAGGCTATCCACGTGACGTCACTGGATGAAGAGTGGAGAAGAGATGCTAACAGTTGGCTCCTGGGAGCGGGAACCAGCTAGCTGCAGCACACCATTGGGTCTGTCCCACCCGTGTGCCTCTTGGGGAGTCAGGCTGAGACACGTGTGTGGCTCAAATCTCATTTCACGGCTTTCCCATGCTGCTGAGGTCTATCCTGTACATAACTCAGAGGTAAATCTGAAACGTGTGTGTGTGTGTGTGTGCGTGTGCGTGTGCGTGTGCGTGTGCTGGGTAGTCAAACCCCAGTTCTGTTTTCTGAGGCTTTCTTTTTTTTTTTTTTTTTAAGATGGAGTCTCATTCTGTTGCCCAGGCTCAAGTGCAGTGACGTGATCTCAGCTCACTGCAACCTCTGCCTCCCAGGTTCAAGCAATCCTCCTGCCTCAGCCTCCTGAGTAGCTGGGATTACAGGCGTGCACTACCACACCCAGCTAGTTTTTGTATTGTTAGTAGAGATGGGGTTTCACTATGTTACCCAGGCTGGTCTCGAACTCCTGGCCTCAAGCAATCTGCCCGCCTCGGCCTCCCAAAGTGCTGGGATTACAGGCGTGAGCCACCGTGCCCGGCCTTTACAGCTTTGTACTGTTCGGTTGGGTCTGTTTTGCTCAGGGATCAATCCGAGATTTCTGCAGGTTTCTATGCAGAATGAAAGGGTCCACTTCTCTAGCTCTCTCGCCTCTAAGATTCCCCCACCTCCATATGCAACTCTGCAGCCTACAAAGACTCCACCCCTTTTCCTGGGCAGAAAGGCGATATTTCTGTTAGAGTTTCGGCCTCCAGTGCTGTTGCCTGATGCTCTGTAACAGGGCATTTTTTTCCACACTGTGGAGGAAAGGTCGAGGGAAAAGTGGGAGGCGCCGCCACCCCGTGGGCGAGCTCATTCCATGTGTCGACTCCTCCACATTCTGCTGCTTTTGTTTTACTCCCGGATTCCTCAGGGAGCTGTTTTTGTGTGCTTTTCGGGAGCTTTCCCCTGTAGGCAGTGGGAGGCGTGAGTTGTAGTGGGGTGGCCCCTCGTGCTGGAGAACACGAAGCTGGTGGCCGCTGCAGGCCGTCTGCTCTGGCTCTACCCTCTGGGGCCACACTGAACACCGCTGACCCCCCTGCTCATGAAAGTCATTCAGGTGATCTAAGGCCGTTTCCAGTAACTCATTCAGCAAACATGTAATGAGCCCTTGAGTTCTAGGCCTGTAAAAGATGAGTAAGATGTAATTCCCTCACTCTGTAGAATTCACGGTCCAGGAGCGAAGGAGGTGGACGAAATAGGTATCCAAAGAAACCAGTGCCATCAAGCGTGGCTGATGATGGGTTAAAGTGTGAGCACAGACTGATGGGTATAGCGAGGGCTTGGTTCCTGGGGGTGGGATGGGGAGAAGTCCAGGTGGCTTACAAAGCAGACTGTATTGGAGCTTATCCCTGAAGAACCAGTCGATTCCTAGGCTAAGAGTTGAAGGCAGGGCTTCCTGGTGGCTGGAATAGGATTGTGCCAGGGCCCGGCAGCATGATGGTGCGTTGACGGTTCCCAGGCAGGATGCAGTCCCGTGGTACACGTATGCAGGCAAGAACCAGAGGTCCATGGGCCCAGGGAGTTGGGGGGCTTTGAATGCCTTTCCTAAGGAGGTTCTGGCATTTTCTGTGACCTCTGCTGTCCCTTCAGCTCCATGTGGCCGGGTCAGGTGCAGGGCTCCTGTCGTCCATGGGAAGCAGTGTTGCCAGGTACCACTGCTGGCCATCAGGTGCATGCTCTGTGCCCAGCGCTTGGCCTGCGGCTTTTCAAACCTCACCGTTACACTCTCAGGTTGGCATTATTGTCCTTCACCTTCACAGCAAGAAAACACTTCAAGAGGCTTGACTGATTTATCCAGGATGACACTGATACTGAGGCAGAGCTTGGATGAAAGTCTGGGTTTCTGTGACTCCACACCCTGGAGTTCTTCTCTGTCACCCTGCACTGAGCTCTGGGGCCTGGGACAAGAAGGCCTGTGGGGTCCTGGCCATGCCCCCTCCCCGTGCTCGGCATGGACCTTGTTGATTGTTTGCAAGGCACATTTGAGTATGTCCTTTTCCTGTTTGTTTTCCCCCCTTTAATCTAGGGAAAATGAGATTTCACTTAGAATTGATGAAATATGTAATTAGATATAATAGCATTTTTAAACTAATAGCTACTGATTCAATATGATTGAGGCATTTTGTTAACAAAATGGGGGCATTTCACTGCCTTAAAACCAGTCAGCTCTCTACTGAGTCGTTCTCTCCAGGAGGCTTTTGGGTGCCTCTTAGTTCCACCAGCCTGTTCTTCAATACCTGCTATGTCTGAGGCATTGAGTCAGGTGCTAGAAAGGTGAACACACAGACCTTCTGTCTCCGCTCTTCTGAGGACTCTGCACATGTGCAGTGCTGGCCTCCTCAGACGTGCTTCGTCAGGGAAGCCACTAGAAGCACAGGGAGAGAAGGAGGCCAGCAGATGGAGAATTTTTCCAGGTGGAGGTGGGGCTGAGATGAGGTTAGCCAGGTGGAGGTGGGGCTGAAACTTGGGAATGACAGGAGCAGAGTGTTGAGTGAAACGTGAGTTCGGGGTGGGGACACCAATGCGAGCAATGCCGGCCGCAGAGGCCCGTGCAGCTCCCATGTGTTCAGATGGGGCGCCGGAAGAAACCCACGGCATGGCATTTTACATGTCACCTGAGCCCCCATGGCATGTTGTCACAGGGTCACACTGAGGCAGGCATCCTGTAGAAAGAAGGGAAATTTGCATCTTAACATGGAAAGATTTCTGTCGAAAAAGATTGCTGCAACGTAGTCTTCTTGTATAGGTTCAGCTCCACTTAGC
This sequence comes from Homo sapiens, assembly GCF_000001405.40. NCBI lineage: Eukaryota > Metazoa > Chordata > Mammalia > Primates > Hominidae > Homo > Homo sapiens. The sequence continues at coordinate 139,923,203 of NC_000008.11, read as the reverse complement.
GGGGAGATGATTATACAGGGATGTTTATTTCCATGGAGGCTGATGACCTAGGCACGGTGTCCCTCAGTAGATTTTCATTCACCTCCGGAACGGATGGCATCCCAGGACCCTAATACTGTGTTTTAGCTGGCTTACCAGTCCGGCCCATCTGCAGCTCTTCTACAAAAGCTGTTGTAGGGCTTGACTCTGCTGGTTCTGTGGTTTCTGATGAGCCTGATGAGGGAGGCTGCCACAGTGTTTCTGAAATCCAGGTGCCAAAAACACTCCTGCCAATTTCTCTTGCTTGCTTGCTTTAATGACATACCAGGAGCAAAAGTGGCCAGAGAGGTTCCTCATTCTTTCCCTCTCTACCTTCAGCTCTCTGGGCCTGAGCTTCGTGTCCCAGCTCTGTCTAGTGTCCACGGGATGGATTTGGACCCGTCCTTTACCTCTCGCCTGCCTCTGTGTGAGGAAGGCAGGAAGATGCACTTTTCCTTGGGAACCTCAGATCTGGGTCCTGGGCTTTGGCCTCTGGGCCGCGTCTCACCTGGAACTGGGGGAGGAAGCCCTGCCTCACCTGCCCTCCTATGGAGGCTGCCCCAGCTCTCACTGCCAGCCATGCCTGTCTGGAGGCCCAGGGAATGACATGTCCTGTGTGTCCACGTAGACTTGACTCCTGGCAGTCACTTCATTGCCTGAGCTTCAGTTTCCTCATCTGCTTTGTGAAGACAAAACCCATTTCAGGCCAGGAGCGGTGGCTCACGCCTGTAATCCCAGCACATTGGGAGGCCAAGGCAGGCGGATCATGAGGTCAGGAGTTTGAGACCAGCCTGGCCAATATGGTGAAACCGCATCTCTACTAAAAATACAAAAAGTAGCCGGGTGTGGTGGCACGTGCCTGTAGTCCCAGCTACTCAGGAGGCTGAAACAGGAGAACCGCTTGAACCTGCGAGGCAGGGGGCAGGGGTTTCAGTGAGCCGAGAGTGTGCCACTGTACTAGCCTAGTCAACAGAGCAAGACTCCATCCAAAAAAAAAAAAACACCAAACCATTTCAAAGATCAACCTTGGAAGGAAATGAAAATAAATGAGTTAACATATGTGATTGTTGCGAACAGTAAATATTCTCACTCTCTATAGTTAACGTTCTTTACTTTCTTCTGTTGTTTCTTCTCTGTGCTACCTTGCTTGATTTCCTATGTTCTGAACACTAGCCTTTGACATTTATTTCCATGTGGGCTTCTCTGACAGCAGGGAGGGGCAGGTGTGCACACCCCTGGATGAGGCTGGTGTTGGGGGCGGGGGTTGAGCTGTGTACGCTCCCAGATGTGGCAGTGGGGGGCAGGTGTGCACTCCCAGACGCGGCGGGGAGGAGGGGGCAGATGTGTGCGCTCTCGGATGCGGCAGCAGGGGGGCAGGTGTGCACCTGAATGCAGCCCATAGCCCTTTCTTATCTGGCCCCTGCTTACCTCTCAGCTGTGTCCCTCCCCCGGCCCCTCTGTCCACTCAGATGATCATCCAGGGTCCCTGGCTGGCCTGCATGCACTAGTCCACCTGGCTCTTTGCAAGTAATGCTCCCTCTATCTGGGATGGTCCTTCTCTACCCACAGCCCTCTACCTGCCAGCTCCCCTTACTGTGTGTCTTAACTTGGTCAACACTTCTCTCCAGCTCTTCCTGAAGCTTCTCAGGCAGGATCAGTGCCTGATACTGCATACTCCTCTAACATGCTAAAAGTTCTGTATCGTAGCACTTACCACAGCTTACACAAATGAAGCCCGGCTCTCTGTTGTCCATCTCTCTCATGGGCTTCTGAAGCTCCTGGAAAGATAAGGGCTTGTTTCTGATTCATTTTATGTCCCCATGCACTGAGTTTAGGGCCTGCAAGATGACAGCTGTTCTCTGAACACTGCTGAACCAAACCCAGTGTGATTTGTCCCAAGCTTCTGCCCTCAGATCTGGCCCTGGGCGGCATCCCTGTTTCTGCCGTGATGTGATGACTGCCTGCCCTCACACATTAGCGGGAGGAGTCGCGTGGTATGGTGAGACTGCAGGGCCTCAGGAGACTACAGCCGAGTGGTTCCATCAGCCTGTGTTTCACAGGAGTGGCCAGTGTCCTCTAGCTGTGCTGCAAGATCCAAATTACATGAGTGTGATGGGGGCTGCCAAGGTCCCGCTTGCTTGGCAGGGTGGCCTCCCAGTTGTGGCACCCACACCTTCAGAGACCTGTTACGGCAGGTGTGGGATGCAGCCACATCTGTGGCAGAGGTGATGGAAGCAGAAGCAGACTCTGTGACCACCACACTGCCATTCCTTGACCTCTCTCCTCGAGTTCAGCCAGGCATTCCAGAAGAACCTAAGAGGAACTGAGAGGAGCTGAGATTTTGTCAATGCACCAGCTTTTCATTTAAGGAAGTGTGGAACTGTAACTTAGCTGCCTCTGCAGGTGCTGCTGGTCCTGAACCTAGTTCCTTCACCTAGGCAGTTGCTGTGGTAGCAGATTTTTTCCAGCTTACTGTGAGCTGAACATGACGCTTTGGAAAAGCAAGGAAACACTCTGGTTCTCTGTCATCTAAGGCAGAGAAACTTCAAAACAGTTGATTTTCCATTACAATTCAGAAAGCAGGAGGGAGTGAGCCCTGTTGGAGCCCCAGCTGTGTGCCCTGCCCTGGGCCCACGTAGGTCACTCACTGGCTCCTGGCTGCCACTGTGTAGGCAGCGGCTCCTTTCTTTACAGACCAGGAGGGAGGCTCAGGGACAGGGTGACTTGCCCAAGGGCACGGCAGATTAGAAGTAGACCCAGGCAGAAACCAGGTCTTTCAGACTTTAAATGAATAGCAGAAAAGTGGTAAAGAATCTTTGTTTGTTTGTTTTGTTTTGCTTGAGACAGACTTTCACTCTATCACTCAGGCTGGAGTGCAGTGGCACGATCTCGGCTCACTGCAACCTCCACCTCCTGAGTCCAGGTTATTCTCCTGCCTCAGCCTCCAGAGTAGCTGGGATTACAGGTGCGCGCCACCACGCCTGGCTAATTTTTGTATTTTTAATAGAGATGGGGTTTTACCGTGTTGGCCAGGCTGGTCTCGAACTCCTGACCTCAAGTGATCCGCCCGGCTTAGCCTCCCAAAGTGCTGGGATTACAGGCGTGAGCCACCGCGCCCCAGTGGTAAAGAATCTGATAGATATTTTAATCTTAATACAAACATCTTCAGAATTTTCAGTGAGGAACATTGGAGAAAACCCAAAAACCCACCGTTACAGACAGAACAAATCTGGAAGAGTGTTGAAATGGTTCCAGCACTAGGCGGAAGGGTCCGGGCAGTGCCATGCCGCGCCTGGAGTCTGAGCGGGTCATGAAGGGTAAAACCAGGGAGCATGGAGACCGTGCTGCCTTGGGCCCTCAAGCCACTGCCTTCCTGTGCATGGGGTCCTCCGCACCTGCTCTGGGCCACACACTGGTAGCATGGGGGGCACCAAGTTGAAGAAAACAGCTCTGACACAACCAAGGTAAGGATGGAGTGGAGACGCAGACACCCTGATATTAGCTTGAGTGAAGTGTTACCTATGAACACAGGTCAATGGGTGAAAATAATGCCCAGAACATCTCATATTTATCTTGCATTTTATACCTTCACAAAATGTCTTCCTAAAAGCTACCTCGTTTGATCTTTATCATGATAACTTCCTTTAATAGCCATATTTTTTAATAACAGCTTTATTGAGATTTGATTTGCACACAATGCAATTTACCCATTTGAAGTGTACGGCTCAGTGATTTTTGTTTATTCACAGAGTTGTGCAACCATCACCGTCGTCCACTTTAAAACTTTTGAATTGCTCCCAAAAGCATTATAATAGCTATAATTGTTTTGAGCACCAATTATGTGCCAAGTGGTTCAAATCAATTCTCCCAAATCCCGACTAGCCCTGCAATATAGGAGATCCACGTTGTGGATCAAAAACCAAGGCCTGGGGACACTCAAGTGACTTGCCTCCGGTCACAAAGCAAACAGGTGAGAAGAGGGTTGCGCTCCAGTCCGTGTTGCTGCAAGCCCATGCCCTTCCTCGGCACAGCACCCCTTCCCGAATGCAGCCCTGCAGCCGGGACACTAGCCCGGGCGCCAAAGCCTCGGGGAGTCGAGAGCAGTGGTGGGCGCCTGAGCTCTGCCTACTGACTCCAAGACCTGGCCCTGCATGCTGTGTGTCAGAGGCCGTGGGGAATGAAGCTCCGGGCACCGGCTCCTCCCTGCTTTTGCTGGACCTGTGGCTGTTTGGACCCAGCGGGCCAAGCAGTCCCGTTAAGATGGAAAAACTGCTTCCTCAGGAGGCCTCTGCAGAAAGAAATCAATTTAAAATGACCCGTGGTGCAGGAGGAGCCCAGGTCTTGCACTGCCTTCTGCCGTTTGGAGAGGGAGGGCAGCTGGCAGCCAGTGGCATTAGGTGAATTCCATTTTATTAAGCACTATTTTCTGCGCTGAAGAAAACAATACTTAAAGGTCCTAAAATAAACATTGATCCGGAGAAGTGCAAGCGAAGGGGCTGTGCTTCCCACAGCAGTGCTGGCTGGGATGGAGGGAGAAGCTCCCGATGTCGGGCACTTCCACGCTGAGAACAGCACTGCTCGGGGAAGGCGGTGTCTGGCTGAGTCCTAAAGGGCAAGGGGAGCCGGCTCCGTGGTGGGAGGGCCGGGGAGGGCCCCTCGCTCTGGCCGGTTTGCTCACGCTCTGGTGACTGGCGGGTAATTTCCACTCATATGAACTCAGTGCACCTCTCTGTGACCTGAGGGTAGTGATATAGGATCTCCGTAAGCATAAAATGAGAAGCTGTGTATTTGGGGCTTTCCCAGTGCAGGGTCGGGGGCTCTTCGCAGGTTCCCTCCCTGGGAGACCAGCCAGGCTGACAGATCGAGGAAGCAGAGTGCTCAGAGCACACCATCCCTCTTCGGAGAAGCCACCTCTGCAGCAAGAGGCCACCGTTTCCTGATGCTCACTCTACTTCCAACCCTTGGCCTTCTCTGAACTCACAGAATCCAAACTGAAGAAATAATGGGCCTCACGCAACCTCCAATTTACAGTGAGGAGCTCAAGATTCAGAAAACAAGATGCCTGCGAATCACAGACTTCCATGATTGAAGGAGTGCGAGGCTCTGTCTCATGCTTGCACCTCCCCAAGTTTCTCCCATTGAGTGTTTTCTCTAGCCCTACATGGAGCAAAGAACAGGACCACAGACTGCCTGGCCCCAGGCCACAGCTTGTTTATTTGCAGAACGGACCTCTGGCAGAGCTCTCAGTCCCCTAACTGCATGGGCCACAGCTGGCTGTGGGAGTGCTGGGCTGCTTGTTAACAACGAGCAGTATTATCTCCAAGCACCTGTCAGCATGTGTGCCCGAGTTCAGGCGATGGGGACGACTCTGTGGACCCTTTCAGTCAACGCTTACCACAGGTTCCTGGCTCCTGCCAGCCTGGCTTTGACTTCTCCGTCTCCCATTTGCCATCTCTGTGGCCTTGGGCAAGCGACCTTATTTTCTGCAACAGGAGAATCTGCTCCCTCCCAGGGCTGCTGCGAAGATGGAGGCGGTGGCGACCGAGCCTGTTGCTTGGCAGCGGGGTGGGCCCACAGCAGGCCCGGGGGACGGGGGCGCCATTGCTTTGGTGTTGGTGCATTCTCCGATGGTGCTTTGATTGGATCACCTAGAGCTTTGACTTTCAAAATACAGCTTATCTTTCCCCTTTAATTGAAAATAATAATGGCCGGGTGCGGTGGCTCAAGCCTGTAATCCCAGCACTTTGGGAGGCCGAGGCAGGCAGATCACAAGGTCAGGAGATCGAGACCATCCGGGCTAACACAGTGAAACCCCGTCTCTACTAAAAATAGAAAAAATTAGCCTGGCATGGTGGCAGGCGCGTGTAGTCCCAGCTACTTGGGAGGCTGAGGCAGGAGAATGGAGAATGGCATGAACCTGGGAGGCGGAGCTTGCAGTAAGCCGAGATCGCGCCACTGCACTCCGTCCTGGGCAACAGAGCGAGACTCCGTCTCAACAAAAAAAAAAAAAAAAAAAAAGAAAATAATAATGAAGAAGGATTTCTCTTTTTTACCATAATTGATCTAGGAGGCTGAAGGATAAAATGATCCTCTCTCAGGGCGTGATCCATACGTCCGTGTTCACGCCGTTTCCTTGTCTGCTCAAAGTCCCTTCTCATTCAGGATGGACGAGTCAGGAAGATGACTGCTTCCCTCTCACTTGGCATCGTACTTCTTTGCAAAACAGCATAGGCTGGTGTTCTGCACAGGCAATCGATTCACATATGATGTACCACATACATTTGGAAAGCTAGTCTTATAACTAACAACTATCTCTCAATGAAAGTTCAGTTGAATTATATGTGGCTAGCCTCCTGAGATCCGACTCCTTGATTTGTATTTAAATGTCATTGTGACTTCCCTGGTGAGGCTATCCGCTGTTCAAAGACTGAATCATATGATCTGGTATTTTAAAAACCACCATTTTTTTATAGACTCTTCAAAAATCACAGCACCTTTTTTTAGTGCCAACTCTTGACTATTATTGTCACATTTGGCCATAAAATTAAACATGAAAATTGGCATTCAATAATAGTATTAATTTTATTTAACTCTGCCGTCAGAGATGAACAGAAGCAAGTAGTGGTGGAGACCGTCTACCCGGGAGGCCGCGGAGTGCCGCGTTCCGAGGAGTGGATGGAGGGCCGGCCCCGCATCTGGTATTTGAAATGAAGCCCCTCCTTGGCCTTGCTTTTCACTTTGCAACCTTAGGTCATCTCCTTAGCGCCTCAGCTCCTTGGTCTCTCCATCTGTAATGCGGGTTTCAGAATCATGACAGCAGCCACTATTTATAGAGCGCTATTTATGTACCGGATGCTTCGCTGACCGTTTGTATCCACCATCTATCTTATCTAATCTACACAAAATCTTACAAAGTGGGGTGTATCAGCCTCAATCAGATTTAAAAAACTAAACCCCAGTGTGTTTTGCACATTGTGAGGAACTTTAAAATTGTGAGCGAAGGTGACTATTCCAGGAGGACAGTGTCTTGAGGGGTTTATGTAGTGGGACAAGCCTCCCAGAAGAGCCATAGTTTGATTGTGTGTTTTATAGGCCTGTACAAAAGTAATTGCACTGACCTAAATATAAGCTCCCCTGAAGTCCTGCCTTGGAAGATTTGTGTGGGCCTGGTCCTTTCCTCCATCTAGGATTTAAGTCTATTCCCTTTAGCGAATCTCTAGAGAGCATTTCAAAGTGCCAAGTGCATTCACACGCACAAGCCCCTTCCTCACAGGGTGACCAGTGACCCAACAAGTATGCTTCTTATTTTCCAAAAGGAAGTTTGGGTGTAGAGAAGCTAAGGCTTGTGTGGAAGAGACGCAGGTGACTCAGACAGCCCTTCCCTCACAGAGCTCCCAGCCCAGGACCAAAGATTGCTCTCTGGGTTAGCAGACAGCTGTGGCAAGGACTGGCCTCTTGTCCCCTCTGCCCATTCAGGGAAGATGTCTCTGCCCTGATGTTCCCCGCAGAAGCCCTCCTGTTCTGCAGAGAATCCTGGACTGTGGGCCCAGACCCAGATTCTTGTCTTGGTCAGACACGAACAGCGGGTAATACGCCTTGTCCTCAGCATGAAGTCCTTACTTTATTAAAAATTGAAACAAGGCTGGCGTGGTGGCTCATGCCTGTAACCCCAGTATTTTGGGAGGCCGAGGTGGGAAGATCACTTGAAGTCAGGAGTTCGAGACCAGCCTGGGCAACATGGTGAAACCCCATCTCTACTAAAAATACAAAAATTAGCCAGATGTGGTAGTATGCACCTGTAATCCCAGCTACTCGGGAGGCTGAGGCACGAGAATCGCTTGAACCCAGGAAGCGGAGGTTGCAGTGAGCAGAGATTGCACCACTGTACTCCAGCCTGGCCAACAGAGCAAGACTGTGTCTCAAAAAAAAATCAAAATAATAACATTAGAACCCACTCTAGCAAAAAGGCATCACTCAAAGAGCTGTTACCTTGCTGGGCAGACCCCTGGGCAGGGCCCGGCACCGCCACCGCCACCCTCCAGGAGCCCGCCCAAAAGGCCATTCCCGCCAACACCCGCTGCAGACGAGGCAGGTGCCTTCGCCGTCAGTTCTGCGCGGGTTTCCTCACTGGCCTTTTCCACGCAGTTTCCAAAGATAATGATTTCCCACCCCTTTGCAGTGACTTGCCAGAGCATCAGCCACGGTTCCGAGTCACTTTTTGGAAACCTTCTGATGGGGAATTGCATGAATATTCTCTGATATGTGTCACTGACCCCAACATAAGACCTCACCTGTGTGTTTAAGCTTAAACCCAGGACGAGGAGGGATGTGCCGTCCTGTGCAAACCACACCTGCAGGTGGGCAGGCTTCCGAGGCTGCGGGGGCCAAGTGGTGAGGGCGGTGGCATGAATGTGGCATCAAGGCGTCGTTGCTTTGTTGTTGTTATGAAAAGTAGCTTGCTCATTGAGAAAGCCGTTATGGAGCCATCAAGGCACTCAGCTGATCGTGGCCTGTGGCCTGGTGACAATAGACCCTGTGTGGGTGCTAAGAACATGCAAACCCTCCCAGCTGTTAGGTGCGGGTGGCACTGACTGCATTCCACAGAGATGCTCAGGGAAGTGTCAGGCCTCGCCCCAAAGTCACCTCCAAGCCGAGCTGGGCATCCAGCCCAGGTGGTGGGCTCTGAAGCCTGCCGCCATCTCCCGCTGCGCTGCTGCCCCGGTGCCTACCACGATGGACAGGCCACTGCCAGCTACACCTCAGCGCCTTCCGCCCTTCCTCTCTGGAAGATGACTGCAATAGGTGATCTCAGCTTCGTGCCCCTCGGTGGCCCTGGGTTTCTTCCTTACCTTCCAGCACCTGGGTGTCCCTGCCTGCGGGTCGTCTCCCTGTGAGCCTCTCAGCCAAGCGCCACCACCCCGCATGCCCTCTGGCACTCCCTGTGGGGCAGACACCCCGTCCACATCTCTCCAGCCACCCACCGTCATCGGGAGCTCTGCTCTCCACAGGAGTGACAAGCCTCAAACCTGATGGCCTCGGCCCTCATTCAAAGTTCTGGCAGTGCTGCCATTGAATTTAGAGCAAGGTCACCTACCAGGGCAGCCGGCCAGGGGCTCTCGCCTTCCATCACGCAGGCCTTGCAGCTGCTGCACACAATGCAGCAGTGTCTTCCGGCAGGGGTGAACCCAGGTGTGAGGACCCCTCCATGGGAAAGCCTCTCGCAGTTTTCCGGGTTAACAGTCACAGGGCTGCCGTCACTTCCTGGTGGGGAGGAGCCAGGAGGAGGGGGCTCAGGTTTAGGGGCTGTGCCTGGGACCAGGTGGATAGAAGTATTAGAGGTGGATAGAGGTATTAGGTAGAGCCCCTCTGTGGTTTGGGGAATTCATCCTTGGCTCTTGGAATTCTGGCAATAGGACTTGAAGCTGGGTGACCTTAGGTGAGTCACTCGATTTCTTGGTACCCCAGTTTTGTCACTGCAGGAAAAGGAACGCGGCCTTTGGGATTTTTGCCAGCGTCGGCCATCCCAGGGCTGCAGAGGAGAAGGCAATTGTAAATGTGGGAAGCAGTTGGCCGTTAACACAAGCAGCAGGCCTGTTGGAGGCAGGGTCTGCAGTTTCAGGGTCTCTGTCCCATGCTGCTCTGCAAACAGCATGAGCAAGAAATGGTCTCTCTTTAGGTGTCCTGCCTAAGCAAAGCAGAGCCAAGTAAAGCTCAAGACAAAACACAGAGGATGGAGTCTGTGACACAGGCTCTGAGCGAGGCTTGCTAGCTCCATGATGTTGGGCCAGATGGCTTGGGCACCCAGAGGTGCAGCCTGTCATCTGTAACATGAAGCAGAGCTTGGCCTTCCCTGGGCTGGCTGTAAGTTAACAAAGATGAGCGTACACACAGAACACCCAGCGCCGGGCTTGGCACACAGCAAGTGCTCCTTACATTTTGTTTTCTTCCCTTTTCTGTTTTATGGGCAGAGTTAGCTACAGTTTTGTTAAGGTTGGAGGAGGATAATAGAGTGTGATGATTACTCAACCAGAAATTGTTTGAAAGATACCCCCAGATTAGATATCACACCGTTGTAGTTCCAGTGGCCGCAGCATCCAGCGTGTGCTCTGACCCAGGGAGCTGCCTGCTGGCTGTTTCTCTTTTCTGTGTTCAACAGGAAGAGAACCTGGTACTGTTGTCAAACTCAACTGAGAGGTGAAAGTTATTAGTTCCTTTTGGATTATCAAGCAGTGAACTTAAGCTGGCCTTTTTCATGAAACTTAGGAAATATTCTGACCTTTTGTTTGAAGAGAGCACTAGTTTGCTTCAGTCTGCCTTTGAGGCGGGGAAGTAAGAGGAGCTTTTTGCTGGGTGGAAAATTAGAAGCTCTTGCTGCACGGGTAGGTTACTCACAAGAGAAGAAAGAGACATGGTTAGTAAGCTTCTGAAAAAATGTTCAACCTCAGGGGTAATTCAGACCTCAGGGGTAATTCAGACCTGCACATTAAAACATCAGTGAAGTGGCATTTTGCCTATTACTAGCAAAGATTCAAAACTGATCATCGCCAGTATTGGCAGTGGTGTAGAGAGGGAGACAGGCCTGTCCATGCTGCTCGGAGATGGGCTTCTGGAAGACTCGGCCTCTGAGCCTGAAACACCTCACACCCTCCAATGAGTGGCTCCATGTCTGGGAACAGTTCCTGAGAGTCAGTCGTAAGTGCAGGCAGAAACACTCAGCACAAAGATGTTTGTCAGGTCTTTTTCTACAATAGTCATTTTTTTTAAACTTGGAAAAGAGCTGAGAGTCCAAAAAATAGGAGAACCATTCTGTAGGCTATGATACAACCCTAAGATAGAATATTTCGCAGACTAATTTTTAGCGATGGGAAAATATTCATAGCATATTAAGAGAATAAAACAAGACTTCAAACTATGTATGTGGGTGTATTTCTTTGTGTATATGATACATCATGATTTATACATATATATGTAGTGATTTTAAACTATGTTAAATACAAATACTTAGGGAAAAGACTGTAAAGATGTTAACATTAGAGTATAATATTTGAATGCTTTTATTTTCTTTTTTATGCTTTTTTCTATCTTCCAACTGTTTAACAATAAGCTATCTACTTAGAGAACCAGAAAATAATAGTAAAAGTGATTTTTTTAAAAACCATGTTTTGCCACAAAAGCACTGTCCTCTGCTTGCGGGGAGCGTCTCTAGCTCTTGTGTGGCTCAGCCCCGCATGTCATGCCTCAGGCTGAATACTAGAGATTTATTGGCACTGCAGTAGTTCTTTCCCAAGCTGTCGTGGAGACTGAGACTTCTTTGGGTCTTATCTTGTCTTTATATCCCCTTAACAGCAGGTCCCCTTATTTCTTGCTCGTTCAAGGGAATAGCCACAGAGGCCAATTAGAGCATGGTTTTGCTGAATGTTTTGGCCACAGCACAATCTATGCAATAATAAAAAAAAAAGGCCTACTTTTTTTTTTTCTTTTAAGACAGAGTCTCACTCTGCCATTTAGGCTGGAGTGCAGTGGCACAATCTCGGCTCACTGCAACTTCCGCCTCCTTGGTTCAGGCAATTCTCCTGACTCAGCCTCCTGAGTAGCTGGGACTACAGGTGTGTATCACCATACCTGGCTTATTTTTGTATTTTTGGTAGAGATAGGGTTTCACCATGTTGGCCAGGCTGGTCTCAAACTCCTGACCTCTAGTGATTCTGCCGGCCTCGGCCTCCCAAAGTGCTGGGATTACAGGTGTCGCACCCGGCCCAAAACGCCTACTCTTATCCATTGACTGATAAACCCTCTGTTGTTGTATTAGTTTGTTTTTATGCTGCTGATGAAGACATACCCGAGACTGGGCAATTTACAAAAGAAAGAGGTTTAATTGGACTTACAGTTCCACGTTGCTGGAGAAGCCTCACAATCATGATGAAGGCAAGGAGGAGCAAGTCACGTCTTACATGGATGACAGCAGGAAACTCCCCCTTATGAAACCATCAGATCTTGTGTGACTTATTCACTACCCTGAGAACAGTATGGGGGAAGCCACCCCCATGATTCAATTATCTCCCACCGCGTCCCTCCCACAACACACGGGAATTGCGGGAGTACAACTCAAGATGAGATTTGGGTGGGGATAGAGCCAAACTCTATCATTCTGCCCCTGGCCCCTCCCAAGTCTCATATCTTCACATTTCAAAACCAATCATGCCTTCCCAACGGTCTCCCAAAGTCTTAACTGATTTCAACATTAACTCAAAAGTCCACAGTCCAAAGTCTCATCTGAGAGAAGGCAAGTCCCTTCCACCTATGAACCTGTAAAATCAAAAACAAGCTAGTTATTTCCTAGATACAATAGGGGTACAGACATTGGGTAAATGCAACCGTTCCAAATGAGAGCTGAGGGGGGGCTGTGGGAGGGGCACGCCCACCTGGCCTGAGAAGGAAATGGTAGGGGGAGGAGGCAGACAGCACTCAGAGGATAAACAGGCAGTTCCCAGTGGGCTGATGGATCCCCAGGGTTAAATAATTGTCAGCGTTCTCCATGACTGCACAGGAGTTTAAGTCGCCATCCAGCTCACTATCTATGGCACACTGGTTCTTTCCTGCCTTGCTGTGTTATGGAATTGAAATTTTTATCTGGGGTAACACAGGTCTTCCCAGAGGTTTGAAGCAATGACTGTGTCTTCAGCTCCAAATTGTGTGTTGAACCAGCTCTGAAGTCAGGGCCACCTTAGGAGTCTATTATTTCATTTTCTTGGAATGAATCCGTTATGAATTACTAACGATAATGATTCATTATAGTGTCTCACGCTGGCATGTGCTGATTCTCCAACAGCCGGCAGAAATTGCCCTACTGATGAATTCTCTGCTGTGTTTTCCCCTTTCTCGTAGAATGGCTATTCAAGTGGACAAGTTCAACTTTGAGAGTTTCCCGGAGTCCCCTGGGGAGAAGGGGCAATTTGCAAACCCCAAGCAGCTGGAGGAAGAGCGGCGGGAAGCCCGAGGCCTGGAGATCCACAGCAAGCTGGGCATCTGCTGGAGAATCATATCCTTTTCCAGGGGCCACCTGGGCCTGGGGGCACCTTTGCCCAGGGTTCCAACCTCTAAGAAAGACCCGTGAGGGTCTTAGCTATTGAATTTTCACCACAGGTAGCTCAGAAATGCTGTGGCAAGGAGATGTGGACCAAAGGCTTGGCATTTCCTTAACCTCTTAACACTTCAAAGGCCCCACTCGGAGCAGTATTGATTGGGGGCGAGGAAAGGTCTTCTCGGAGCCGGTGGTGCTCTCGTCTTTGGATCACATGCTTCTTGCCAGTGTTGATATTCATGTTAGTGACAGGTTCTAATGGCCACCTATCAGTGCCGGGCTCAGGGGGTTCACAGACTGACAGCTGAAAACACAAGTGCAATTGTCTGAGAAACTGAAATCGGATTGTACAGCTTACCGAGGCATGAAGATGCCATTTTGAAAAGTTGGAGAGAGTTTTCAGAAGGATTGTGCTATAACACAGTGTTTCACACAGTCACTGAGCCTGGTCTGAACTTTGGATCAATGGCTGACTCCTTGCAGACACTCCACTGACTGACCGAGCACTTTGGAGAAGCCCAGGTTCCCTCATTTGTTTGTTCAGCAATCTTTGGAGAGCACCTACTTTTGAGTCAGGCATTTTGCAAGGCATTTAAGAGGCTGAGATGCAAAGACAAGGTCTCCATGCAGTTGTTTGTCTAGTATGAAGTGGATGTGTCCTCTGGGAATTGAGCACTGTTGGGGAGCGAAGGCAGAGCACCCTGCCGAGTGCTGCAGGTTCAGAGGCCACTGGGTGGGGGCATTCAAGGAAGGCTTCATAGAGGAGGTGACATTTGAGTGGCTGCTAGAAGTAGATAGAAGTTTATTAAGGGGACAAAGGTAGGAAACAGCCCCAAAATACTGAGGCATGAGAGCCCATCTCCGGGGAAGGGGCAGCTCTGATGGGAATGTCTGTTAATGATCTCAGTCATGCACACATTCTGCAGATATGGGGATACACACGTTGCTCCGTTGTGTGGTCTGGGATCCTTCCAGATGGCCTCCTGGATTCCGAAAGTGTCCTCGCTCTACACAGCATAGTTTCCAGAACCTGAGGCCAATTCCTTTGTTCAAGCTAAAGGGACTTTGAGCCTGGCAGACTCACTGTCTCCAAGGAGTTTGTGACAAAATAAGCACTTTACATGTAGATAGAAGGTTTTGTGAACCAGACATGAAAAATAGAGTGCTTGGGGACTCACGTAGTGAACAGGAACAGTCTGTTGTGGAGTTACCGGTGTTTATCTCTGGTACAGAGAGAAGTAAAAAGGTGGGGATAATGGGAGTTGTCTTTCCCTTGTATTCCCCACAGAGCTTGGCACAAAGTCAGGGTTCAGCCAGTTCTTAATGAGCAAAATGCCATAGCAAGGAGCGAGTCAGACTGGTTCCTACTGTGTCGGGCGTGCACCCATCACCCCATTTATCTCCTCCACATCTCCCTGACCAGCACTGTGGCTCCCATGAAGGAAATTGAGTCTCAGCCATGAGGGGTAGGGCCAGGGACCAACCCAGGTAAGTTTGCTGGCAAAGTGCTCACCCCCGAGTCTCAGGCTTCAAAGGAGAAGGCTCCGCAGGCAACTCCCACGCTGCCAGGCTGGGGAAAGGAGGGACCCCTGGCACTCACCTCCCAGCGTCTATGCTGGGTCTTGGGTCTTTCTGATAGGCCCATGTTTCTGATAATCTTTCTGTCTTTCTGTTGGGTCTTTCTGATAGGCTGAGGGTTGGAGAGGCTCTATGTGAGGCAGGAGGCATCTCTTACTCGGGTCTCAGAGATTCAGCCTCTGGCCGGGCGCCCCATGCAGAGCAAGGCGGTCCTGGATGGGTCTGATGCAGCCCCAGCTCAGCGCCAGCAGCACCAGTGGAGGAAGGGGCAGGTGCATGGTGGGCCTGGCAGGAGGTTATTCATTCTCCTGAACGATCTCTCTTTGGGCTCAGATAAAAGCCAGAGCCCTAGGATGGTTGGGATTTTGACCTCTGTGTCCCCACGCTTCACAGAGATTGAGCCCTCCCCTCCCCTCCCAGGGCCTCATTGTGCTGGGCACACAGGGGCACCCTGCTAGTGTCAGAGCTGCTGCCTCCCAGACACCACCCTGGGCTGGTGCTGCCCTGGGCCACGTCACCCTTGTCGGCAACCTGACTCCTGGGGCGGTTTCATTATCCTGTCTTCCCGTCTTGCAGATGAAAACTGTGACTCCACTTCACAAAGAGAAAGTGGCGTGGCCAGTTCCTGCACCCCGTAGCTTGTCTGCCAGCCTGCAGTCCCCGCCCAGCACATGCTGCCTTCTAATGGGATGATAGTGGCCCACAGAACTCTTGCGTTCTTTGAAAACCAGTATCAAAAAAGTACAGAAAATGTCTTTGCGTTTGACTTCTCTATTTTCTGTATATTTGCTTAATAATTCATGCAACACATATTTATTGATTGCCTACCATGTGCCAAGCACATCTGCCCCATACATTTACTGATCGGAAGTTTATGAGAGCTTGATTGTCCCTATAGGCAAATTTAGTGAAAGAGAGTTAACATTAAGGACATCATCCCTCCCTCCCTCCCTCCCTCCCTCTCTGCCTCCATCCCTTCCTCCCCCCCTTTCTCTTTCTCCCTCTCCTCTCCCTTCCCCCCACTCTCATCTGTTGATGACATCTGGTGTCAGAGGAATAGCAGAATTTTGCTATTGTAAACCTGAATTCAAGCAGATGGAAAGACCAAAGATTGAATTGGCTAATAATTTCATTATGCATTTTAATAATATTTTCTAAACATTTAGACTTTTTACAAACATTTGAGCTTAATTTGATACCCGTCCATAGTTGTAGCAGTTGCCCACCTGTAGCGCATGGGTCTGGATAGATGCGTTTTAAAGGAAATTGGGGATCTTGCACTGGGTCGATGCACACCTGTCTATGAAGCAGCTACGGTGACACGATGGGCAGCCCAGGGCTGCCGGGAGCTCTCACCCCACTCTTCACCTGTTAATGACAAATATGGTACAGATTTGCTTGTTCTTAGGAGGTGAGCCCTGGAGATGCCCCCATCAAAGGGGAGGGGACAGATACAGAGATGGGCACTTGCAGTGCAGCGTTGTGGGGCTGATGGGAGCTTCCCTCAGGTCACGCCTGGCAGGAGTAGGTGGAGATCTCAGCCCATTCCCGTTCACGTAGAGAGATGAAGAGGGCCCAGGGTTCAGCATGTGCTGTGCTGTCCTCAGCAGGGGACCCAGAAGGCAGGGTATGAGCATGGCCACATTGATGTCTTTGAAAGCCACCCTGGCCACAGTGTGACAAGTGGGTTGCAAAGATGCAAGCGCCCCTGGGGATGCTGGTGGGTTGAGGAGCCACTGCGTGAGCAGCTCTAAGTCAGGGACCGTGAGGGCCTGAGCGAAGGGAGTACCCAGGAAAAAAGTGCCGAGGGACCACAAGGGCCTGAACAAAGGGAGCGGCACAGGAAGAAAGTGCAGAGGCGGCCACCCGTCACCAAGAACCTGCAGGGTTCAGACTTGCGGGTGGCCTCTGAGTGCCTGTCCCTTCCTCTCTCCTTCCCAATCCTCTCTTCCCCCTTCTCTCCCTCCTGCCCCTCCCCTATGCCCTTCCCTACTTAATTTCTGTCGAAACAGAGGGTTAAACTCAGTAGCCTCCTTGTT
The DNA here is from genome assembly GCF_000001405.40 of Homo sapiens. Classification (NCBI taxonomy): domain Eukaryota; kingdom Metazoa; phylum Chordata; class Mammalia; order Primates; family Hominidae; genus Homo; species Homo sapiens. Next base: position 139,906,487 of record NC_000008.11, on the reverse strand, counting down.
CTTGTCCCCTCCCTCAGACCCCACGTGTGATTGGGCACCCCCGGGCACTCCTCCTAGAGTGCTGGAGGGCTGTGGGTGGCCTCTGAGTAGCGCCCAGCCCTGCTGACCAGCCCCTTCTCCCATTCTGAGATGGGGCACGTTTATCACAAGGAGCCCAGGGCCAGAGAAATTACAATGAAGACACCTAGGATCATGTCCCAGGGCACTGGCCGGGCACAGGGCCTGTCCCTGCTGTGGACAGGGTGACCTGTTGTTGGGGAGGTGGCCCAGGGCGGTCAGCCATCCTGCTTCCAGAGTGGGGGTCACATTCTGGTGCTGGGCCTGACCGGATGAGCTAATGGGTTAGGTACCCCTTTTTTCTTTTTCTTTTCTTTTGTTTGTTGTTTTTTGTTTTTTGAGGCAGTCTTGCTTTGTCACCAGGCTGGAGTACAGTGGCCACAATCTTGGCTCACTGCAATCTCCGCCTCCCGGGTTCCAGAGATTCCCCTGCCTCAGCCCCCCGAGTAGCTGGGACTACAGATGTACACCACCACGCCCGGCTAATTTTTTTGTATTTTAGTAGAGACAGAGTTTCACCATGTTGGCCATAATGGTCTGAATCTCCTGACCTCGTGATCCGCCCGCCTCGGCCTCCCAAAGTGTTGGTATTACAGGCATGAGCCACCGCGCCCAGCTGGGTACCCCTTTTTTCTTTAGGAAATCTTTTCTTAAACCCTATTTATCATTCTTATTATTATGACTATGAAAACCACTTCTTGTGTGGCTGCTATGTGTTAGCTACTGTACAGCAAGCTTTCCTCACTACCTGCCACCAAGCCTGGGGCCATGTTTCCCACGAGAGGCTGGGAAACCTGGTCAGACACAGGCAGTTTCCTACCATTCTCCCACCAGTCCCTGCCCCGGGTGACCTTGGTCATGGCCACCTTCTCTCTCTGCTTCTCTATTCTCATCATGAAGTGGGGACAGCAAGGGCTTCTGCTTCCCCGGAGCTGCACGGGGCGAGTCCCTGCTCCTGTGGCACACTCGGGAAGCACTCTCCCTGTGTCCCTTCCTGTCACGCACACGCCAGGTTGGAGGGCTTCTGCTGTCTTTGTGCATTTATCCTTATTCTATCCCAGGATCAAAGTTTTCACAAAGGACTCCTCATGCTCACAAGTCTCTTAAGCCCTTTCTTCCACATTTCCTAGGCTTTCTTGCCCACATCAGCCTGCTGATTTTAAAGAGAATCCTTCCCCCCAGCCCCCCGACCCAGACCTCTCCTGCTTGATAAGAGCATGCTTGTTTGTAATGTCTGTGCAGTTTCCCTGGAGGGCGGGGGCATCTCTTCCTAGTACATGCAGCATCTGGCCCAGAGAGCTGGGCTTATTTGCTATACAGTGATGCTTTCTGGATAAAACCTACCTACCTTTGGTACCTTCTTCTTTTAAGCTTCTTCTTACCCTCCAGCTACCAATACTGGACAATTTTACTGAACTTGGGAAACCTTAGCATAGCCAACTCTCTGTGAACTCTGTTAATAGCAGATAATAGCCTTTACCACGTGATCTAGAAATCTTCTATATTTGCCTTTGGGATAGGACTAATGACGCCACATTGTTGAGGACTGGAGCCTGGGGTCAGAGGCTGGCCCTGCCACTCCCAGCATCCAGAAGGGGAGACTGTGTGACCTGAGGGCCATGTACTAATCTGTGCAGCTGGTGTGACGGAACCTGCTGCAGACCATTGCTGTCAGGATGAGTTCGAAGAATCATCGGCCTTTTTGGTCACCTATGGGTGAGCAGAAGCATTTTCCTTACCTCAGACCTGCAAAGCAGGTAGTACCTACCCCTTTCAAAACATAAGTAAATTTTGGAAGTTCAATAACTCACCAGAGATTGTGCAACTAGAGGCATAGTCAGGATCCCAAAACTTGTTATTTTCCTGTTGACTGCTTCAACTGAGATCACATCTGCAAGGTGCAGACATAGCTTCTGGCCCTGGAAGGTGTCAGCAAAGGTGAATGCCCCTTGCCCGTTTCCTGCTGGAAGACCTCATGCCACGCTGCTACCTGACCTCAGGGGAGGCCCTCCTGACTCATCCTTCAGAGTGGACCTCACTGTCTGCTCCTCAGAGCCTTCTCTGCCATCAGCCTCCCTCCCGTCTCGGCCTGGCTGCAACAGCCCCTTCCCTTGGGCTCCTGTGACACCCAGTACTTCATTCTTGTTAGTTACAGTCTTTAATTAGTACAGAAAATTAGTTTTTTTCTGCAGATTTTCTCCCTTGCCAGATTGTGCCGTCTTGAGGTCAGGTGGAATCCTGTTCATCCAACAGCCGTTTATTGAGGCTCTACCATGTGCCAGAGGTTGGACTGAACACCAGGGCACACCAGATGCTCAAAATCAGGTGTGGACCCTGCTCTGATAGTATGTGTTCTCTTTTGCTTGCCCAAGTGCTGTGTATAATCGCTAGCACATAGGTATGAAAACTGTTTGTTTTTTGAGACAGAGTTTCACTCTTGGCACCCAGGCTGGAGTGCAATGGTTGCAGAGAGGTTCACTGCAACCTCCGCCTCCTGGGTAGCTGGGACTACAGGCACCTGCCACCACGCCTGGCTAATTTTTGTATTTTTTAGTAGAGTTGGGGTTTCACCACTTTGGCCAGGCTGGTCTCGAACTCCTGACCTTGGGTAATCTGCCCACTTCGGCCTCCCAAAGTGCTGGGATTATAGGTGTGAGCCACCATGCCCAGCCTAAAATGGTTTGTTGAATGAATAGTTTCCATTTCAATGACACAGCAAACAGAATGGCTACCAGCTCAGCTGCGCGATGCCGAGTGCCGTGATGAGTGTGTGAAAGGAACTGCAACTCACGGGATGAGTCTACATCGCAGCCTGGCTCCTTTTCCAGAGCAGCCCTGCACAGACCGTCTGCTGTGGAAGCAGGGGAGGGACACGCTTCTGGCAAGCCTAGGGTCAACTCACCCTTTCATTTTCCTTGTTTTTGTTGCAAATCACCCTTTGGAGAGCATTTCAGGGATTGGTGCAAGGCTTGCTGAGGTATCAGAATCCAGCTGTGTGAGCTGGAGTAGGAAGAATTGGGTGCGCAGTTTGGCTGATCCCCATGAAGGCGAATGACCTGGGCCGTCTGAGCAATCTCTTCCCACCAGGCGCATCCGCCTCCTCCATTCTGTCTGGAGGAGCATTTTTAACCAATTTGGCTGCTTTGAGAGTGAGTTAGAGGCTGGAGAAGCCCAAGGCAAATGGCTTTAGATACCCAGAGTAGGGGATTGGAGTGGAATATCTGTGAAATGCGGAGGACAAATGAGCAGACATGACTTGGAGAGTGGAGGGATGTGGACGGTGTAACCATGATCTCAGTACAGGGGGCCTTGTGTCCTCAAACAGCTGCCTTCCCGGGCACAGGGAGCCCAGGCACAGCTTGGGTCTCAGGCTGTGCACTGCTGAGGGGTGTTGGATCTTGCAGACAACAGTCACCCTCTGCAAAGTGAAGAGGCTCCACAGTGGCGGCGGTGTTTGTCAGTTTTATTTGGGCTTCACCAGCAGGACAGTGTAAGGATTTTAGGCACAGTGGCCCTGTTTGGGTGATCTCACCTGGAATGCAGTCACACTGGGCTTTGTTCTCCATTTTCAAGACTGCCTTCTTTCCAGTAAGGAGGAGTTGCCTTCCGCTGAGCTATCCTCCCTTTCAGGACAGAGGCGGGACTCAGGCACTTGACGTGGGCTGTGTGGGCCCACCCTTCGGCCTCTCAAAGTGGCTTCTGGCCTATTCTCAGACATGTTTCCTAATGGAGCTCTGTCTTATCTCCTGAAAAAAATTAAATATCTTTAAACAAGATTCTTTTAAAACATAGCACACTGTGTTTTTCTAATCGTTATGTTTGGAGAAATAGTTTTCTCTAAATGAATTTTACTATAAACGGCTCCTGCCATCAGTACAGCTGATTCCTTGATCATCTTAAGTAAAATGCAGGGTTGCATTTTGTATCTGCCTTGAGGGAATTTGGCTTTTATAGCTGTTTGTAATAACGTGGTTCTGAGGCCTTTAATCTCCCGTAGCAGGGAAGCCCTGTCAGCCACAGAGAGACGTCCTGCCTTGCCAGCCAGCGAGGCCGTCACATCACCCTGGCTGTTTGGCCTTCGGTGGGCTGGAGGGTAAGGTGGGAGAGGCACAGATTTGATTGCTGCCTCCCCCAAATCCAAATCTGGTGGCCATGCCCACCTTGAAATGACTTTGAAAGTGGCCGGGGTTTGACACATACTCAGCACAGACTTCAGATCTGGAACATGAGAGCGGGGAAGGGCCTTTCCCCGGCATCCACAGCATCATTTCCCATCTTCATGTGTGTGCATGCATGTGTGTGTGAACGTGCACACGGATCGACGTGTGTTGTGTTTGTGTGATCAGGTACATGTTGGACATATACACACTGTATTTTTAGCGTGATGATTATTGTGAGCATGCGTAGCTTATGTAATAGAATCATAAAGTTACAGAGCTTAAGTAACAGCTAAAACCCATATGGCACTTACTAGATGCCAGGCACCGTTCTGGGCAATTTATACAGATTTATTCCCTTCACTTTCACAACAACTCTCTGAAGTAGTTTTATCCACGTTGCACAGATGAGAAAACGAGGAGGCCCAGCGAGGTCACCTCGCTTGCTGTAGGTCACCCAGCTGGTCCGTGGCAGAGCCGGGGGCACGGGCAGCTGCTGCCCTCAGTGCTGTGTGCTCAGCTCCATCTAGGAAGAAGCACAAGAGCCTCTGGCTTCTGCCAGGGCCTCGCATTATCCCCACTTACCAGAGGAAGCCTATGGAGATGGCAGCATTCCTAGGTCTCACCACTGATTGGTACCCATCGCCCCATGCAGAGCTCTGTCCATTTCACCTGCTCTCCACTGTGGGACTCTGGAATATTCTCACCCAGGCAAGATTTGCAGCAGTGAGCCAGTTGCAGACCTCTCCCCTTGGCAGCGCGTCCCACTGTGTGACATCTTCTGTCCAGTTGGGTCTCTCACACCAGGGAGCTCAGCTGAGACGCTGGGGCACTTACTGAAATGAGAGCGGCAAGAGCATCAGCATTCTGAAAGTTCATGATGCAAATTAGAAAACAAAGTCATGGCAAAGAGGCTCATTAATCATTTAAAGCAGTCTTTCCATTAGTGTAATTTCTATTTATGACAATTTGCTAATTTATTTGATCTGAAGTGGGGCTAAGCTGAGCCCTTGCACCTGTAGTCATTCACTCCAGAGCTTGCGCGTGGGATGCAAACAGCCTATTTTCCAGCAGGGAGAGATGACCCAACTGAAGTCACCGCCACCCCAGAGCACCCACTTCATGATGCTCAACCCAAATCCAGTGTGAAAACCTTCATGTCAAATTCTCCATGATGGAGTTCAAGCTTTTGCTCTGTAGACTTTGGATACTAACCAGATGTTCTGAGCATAGCACTTACTTTTATTTTATTTTTATTTATTTATTTATTTTATTTATTTATTTATTTATTTATTTATTTTTGAGAGATGAGGCTCACACACCTCAGGTCTACAGGTTCCAAAGAGAACCTCACAGATTCCCATCTGGCTTCATGTTTCCCAGGGGCAGAGTGAACTAAGCAATCATTGTTTTCCTAAAATGCCAAACCGGGTCATGGTAGACTTCAGTCACATAAATATAGACAGGATCTCAAAGCTGCCCCATGGTTTCAAATGGTCTTTGACTGCGGTACATTACCAAATATTTTACTGCTAATGGCCTTACAGAAAATGACAAGGAAGGTGTTTTATTACCTTGTGCATTTGCTTTGCATCTGGCTGTGTTTTTCAAAGATTTGGAAGTGAACACTCATAGTTCCCAAGACATGGAGATTAACTGAGATGGCACACATGAAAACATTTGTAAACAAAAAGGCTCTGTACAAATATTGATTAAATAATTAAATGTGATAAATAAGGAAGAATGACTACTGATAATAAGTAGGATATAATCCTTGCCCAGGAGGCTGGGCTTCTTTAACATAGGGAGGCCCCCAACTTGGTCTCTGAATCCCCAGCACCTAACACAGCAAGGACAGGATGCGTGCTCTGCAGGGTGCAGTGGTGGCAGCCAGGGAGGACAGAAGGGTTGGTTTCCAGGGTAGAGACATCCCAGATAAGGCAATGTTTGAGCTCTAGAAGATGGGGGTGTTCACCAGAATGACAAGGCTAAGGGTGCTCCAGGCACAGGGGAAGCAGAGCAAAGACAGCAAACAGCGCCGTCTCTGGAAGTGAGGACCCAGGCACACACGCACACGGGCTCAGGGTCTAAAAGGGGAAGCGGCAACAGGAAAAGCAAGCTGTGAGGGAGCTTATGGATTGTGCTGGGGTGTTGGGACTTTGTCCTAAAAGCAGTGGGTCGCCCTGAAGGGTTTTGACCCAGCGAGTGACGGGATCACCTTCACCGTGAGGAGGACAGACGGCTCTGGTCAAATGGTGGAATGAAGTCTTCCTTTCCACCTGCTCCTGGCCTGGCCTTGTACATCTAGAACACATTTGGTTCTGTGGGGTTGTGCTCCCTGCCTTTGGAAATTAGGCACAAGAGTCTCCAAATGTACATATAGGGCAGTACAGGTCTGTCTCTGCTTTCTCTCCCAGCCTCCTGCCCTCAGCCCTTGGTGAGGCCTTTAAAGGGTGTCGAGTTGGAATGAAGGAGGCCAACTAGGGACAGGATTCTTGCTGGTGTGTAGGTTACCTGACTTGTGAAACTCATTTCTGCTCTAAAGGGTTACAGTGGAAAACCAGAGCAGTGACCCTGCTCTGAACCATGCAGCTTGCAGAGAAGGAAGATGGGATGGGGCCTCTCTCTTGGGGGTAATTATGGGGAGTATCCGGTATAGCTCAGGGCACAGTTGACCCTTGAACAACACAGGTGTGAACTACGTGGGTCCACTTACATGCAGATTTTCTTTCACCTCTGCCACCCCTGAGACAGCAAGACCAGTGCCTCCTCTTCCTGCTCTTCTGCCTACGCAACGTGAAGATAAGGATGAAGGATGGTCCACTTTCACTTCATGAATAGGAAATGTGTCCTCTCTTCCTCATGATTTTCTTAATATTTTCTTTTCTCTAGCTTACTTTATTGTAATAATATAGTATGTAATACATATAACATGCAAAATACGTGTTAATTTACTGTTTATGTTATCTGTAAGACTTCAGTTCAACAGTAGGCTATTAGTAGTTAAGTTTTGGTGGAGTCAAAAATTACATGTGGATTTTCGACTGTGTAGGCGGTAGACACCCCTGACCCCATGCTGTTCAAGGGTCAACTAAATATCCTTTTTTGTTTGTTTCTGTTTTTTTAAATTCTTTTTTTTTTTTTTTTTTTTTTGAGACGGAGTTTTGTTCTTGTTTCCCAGGCTGGAGTGCAATGGTGCGATCTCGGCTCACTGCAGCCTCTGCCTCCTGGGTTCAAGCAATTCTTCTGCCTCAGCCTCCCAAGTGGCTGTGATGACAGGCACCCACCACCGTGCCTGGCTAATTTTTGTATTTTTAGTGGAGACGGGGTTTCACCATGTTGGCCAGGCTGATCTTGAACTCCTGACCTCAGGTGATCCGCCCACCTCAGCCTCCCAAAGTGCTGGGATTACAGGCATGAGCCACTGCACCCGGCCTGTTTCTGTTTTTTCAATGTGTATTTTTTTCTCTTCAAGCCAGATTTTTAAATTCACGGAAGGGATTGAGATCTGATACTGTTGGAGAGAGCGGGGTATGACATATGCAACTTTTGTAAACCTCAGTTTCCCCTTCACAGAAGAGCCACATCCTCTGCATCTCACATGTGGCGGGTATGAAGCTCGAATGTGGCTCTGAGTTGAGTGTGCTGTGTAATCTTTGTGGGCTGAACACACACATAAGACCGCTGCTCCGAGGAAGCGTGGCTTCCTCCAGTGCCAGGTAGAGAGTAGGTGCTCAGTAAATCTTCCCGGACACAAGCTTGTGTGGGTGGACATTCGCTGATAAACTGTGGCCTTGCATAGGTGGTCACTGAAAGCTACCATCAGGTTTCTTCTGCATCATCCCTGGAAAAAATCATTCATTCAGTTGACTTGTACTTGTGACCAACTCTGTGGAAATGAATTAGGGACTCAGAGACCGTAAACCTGCCCCTTGTCCTCAGGATGCTTACCGGGGTCTAGTTTGGGAAATCGGTCATGGCCACAAGTATCTGAAGCCCAGGGTGGCTGGCGCTACCGTGGAAGTGAGGCACGGGGCCCAGAGCCAAGGGGCAGCCTGCCAAGTGCTGTGCTGGGGCTCCCTGCCTGCCATATTTGGGGCTGCTCTTCCTGGGCAAGTAGCCGCCCCTTGCCCCTCTTCTAGGAGGAGCCCCACTTGCGTACGCCACTTACTCCTGGAGTTATGCTTCACCATCTCACTGGCAGGGGACGAGCTGACACCGTTATTGGCCTAAGCCAATAACACAGAGCACATCTGTGTTCCCACTGCCTTACGTCGTCCCCCAGAAAACTTCATGTGTGACCTCACAGGAGAAAAAGGCTTTCTGAGTCCAAGGGGCTCTCGCCCTCTTCAAGGGGCAACACAAGTGCCTCTAACGTTCCACAGCACCCAAAAGTCTCTGTGTCTTTAGTGCTGCTTTGAAGGTGAGCTCCTGACCCCGTCACTCTGGCACGCTGTGGACTTCAGGCTGGTTATGCTGGAAACACGGATTCATGGGAGGAGTCTGGACAGGGAAGGGGGCACTGCTCTTGGAGCAGCAGACCCCGAATTTGAAACCCCACTGGGGTGAGTTTGAATCTACCCCTTTCTGGCTGTGTGGCTTTGGGAGCGTTACCTAACATCCCCAAGGAGGCTTCCTAAACCTGAAGTTGTTGTGAGGACTATGTGGGATGATCTGTAGGTAACTGACACATCACAGGTGCTCAGGGAAAAGCAGCAGGCATTTATGGAGCCTCTACCATGTGGCGGTGACTGGGGTACTGTCCCTTCCTCTCCCAGGGCTTGGAACCACAAGCAGTCCTCTGAATTCTTTCTTTAGTGGCTTGGATTGCATGTTTTCTGTTCTTTGAAATAATATTTTCCCACGGGGAGGCCAAGAAGCTAAGCAGTTGGGAAGGTGGGGCTGCCTCCTCATTCATCTTGCTGGTTTGAGCAGGGATGGCAGAGGAAGGTTAAACTGAGCAGGGCTAGCCCCAGCCCCTGGACCTCACGGCTCACTGCCTCCACAGGTGTTTGACCAGCAGGGCATGTGAGCAAACTGTAATGGACTCCAAGTAACTCAGCCGTGTCTCTGAGGCAGAAAGTGGCAAGCTTGGAGGACGCTGTGAGAGGAATTTGTGTTTCCTTGCAAGGGTGTTAGAAACTGCCTGTGGGCAGCTCCAGATATGAGAACATGAGCTGGGCTGGGACGTGGGTCTTCTTAGGGCTCAGGCACGCAGGGATGTCAGTCATTAAACAGTGGGCATGGGTTAGGGGACTTCTGTGAAGCCTGGGTTGGCCCCAGCAGTGATTTCACAGTTCTGTTGCCAGTGTGTTCATCTCTGTCTCCTGAGAGGCAGGGGCAGAATGGTGGGGGTAAAAACCTGTTGACGATTTGGAAACTTCATCCCCAAGTGCCTAGGAAGAGCCTTGAGGGGAGGCAGCTGCTTCAGCACCATGGAGAGCTCTGTGCTGGGCTTCCCTCTGGGCTGGAAAAACACTGGCCAGGCTTGGTGTGGACACTGACCCAACTGCTGGCCAACTGCAGGGCCTTGGCACAACCTGGCCCTGTGGACAGCAGGATCTTTGTCCAGTGGGACTCATGGCTCCTGGTTTCCAGGTTTACGGTGAGGAGTCAATACAACATATCGAATAATCTCTGAAAGCCAGAGAGCAGAGTGTGGGTTCAGGGGTCAGCCTGGCTGGGTTCAAGCCTGGCCCCTGCCACTTGCTAGCGGCACTGGCTTTCTTTTTCTTTCCATGAGCCTCAGTTTTCTAGAAAAATCTTTGAAATGAAAATAACAGTACCTATCTCATACCCACCATATTCTGAAGTCTTAGCTTGAAAGTGGTGAGTATTGCAGTGAGAAGATGCGTGTTGAGCACTTACCCAGGGCATCCTTCACAGCAAGCACCTTGGAAATGTTCTCTATAGTGGCAATAATGATAGGAACTACTATTGTCATCATCATTATGGATTGACCTCTTGCTCCAAATGCCAGGGTCCACGTATTTAAGAGATAGTAGCCACCCCCATCACTGCCACCATTGCCACTGTATGTTGTAGTATTACAACTGTGGCTGTAATCGCTGCCTTCAGCCAGCCTTGCCATTCTTGTGCACAGGCTGAGATGCAAGACTGTTTGGGTGGCTTACAGGGCTGAAAGGAAGTCGGATATGCATGCAGGTAATTAGCTTTATTAGCTTAGCTGTATAATTTTATGGCTCATGTCCGAAAGCAAATTAATACAGAAATATGCTATTGGAATGGCTTCCAAAGCTCCAGCACCATTTGGCAACTTGGTAATTACTCACAGGCGGACTTGCTCCCCAGACTAATCACTGCAGAGCTTCTCAGCCTGGCCGGGCCTGTTAGGCATGGTCTCTGCTCTGCAGGCACGGGGCTGCTGCCTGCCTCCAAAGCCTGGTGTGAGACTTTTTAATGAAAGTAATATGCCAAAATGTAGGTCTTTATTTCAAGAAAGTGAAAATAAACTCCAAAGAGAATCAGGAGGGAAAGCAGAAAGAAAGAAAAACAAAAATGTGTGTTTTGAGCCCAAGTGTATCAGTGACTTGCCTCCCTAGAGCCTCTCAGTTCTGACCGGGGTGAGGCCCACACTCAAGTGCAGCTGTGTCCCAGCGTCCCAGGCCCATAGTGAACTCTCAACATTTAATTTTGTTCATGATGTTACCAAGGGCACATTATTGTTTACTTTTGTTATGCTAATTTTTGTATTACTTTAAGTAGGTGCACATGGTTCAAAATCGTTTTAAAAAATAGACATTCCCATCTTCCCTTTTCCTTCTCCACCTCCCAGAGCACCCACTTTTATTTGTTTCTTATAGAAACTTACAAAATTTATTTCTGAAATAATAAGTACATGCAAACACCCTTTTTACCGTAATTTTTTTTTACACAAAAGGTATGTATACATTTTGCATCTTGCTTTTTTCACTTACTGCATATCTTGGGAAACTTCTCATATTATTTCATAGGCAATGTTCTCTCTCCTCTTTCCTGCTGCAGAATATTACCGCAAAGCGGGAGCATGCCTGTGTGCCCCCCGCCTCGTCAACAGGGATGCTTTTCCACTTCCATATTGTTACCAGTCTGGCAGACGGGCTCTTGAGCAGGTCCTTTTCCTCTGGAGATGTCGTTTTGCAGGAAAGAGCCTGGCCTCTGGAGTTAAAGTGGCTCCGGGGGTGGCCGTTCTGTCCCCGAGTAGCCCGGGACGTGTGGTTGAGCCCTCCGGTTTCTGGTTCTTTCCCTGAGTAAGAGTGGCAACTGTCCTGGCCCCACCTAGTTGAAGGGAACAGGCACAGCCCTTGTCGTAGTGCCCAACATGGCTCAGGCATGTCCCAACGTGTCTTCCCTTCCCCCTTCCACTCTGGGACCCAGTTGGACGACTCTGAGATTTAGAATTGGCCAGTGGGAGCGTTTTCTTCAGTGAGGATTGGTCACTGCTCTGAGCGTGACTTCGTGTGCCCATGAGCCATGAGGGCCGTGAGATGACAGCTGAACGCCGAAACCAGAAACAGTGAAACTGAGCTCATCTTGCCAGCACGGCACACACGTTTCCACTCTCCTCTGCCTTTGATTAGAGTGAGTCACAGCATGGCTCACAGGGGTCTGGTCAGGAGTGGAGGAAGTGAGATCTGATGTCTTTTTTACTGAAGAGGAAGTTGCTCTGTTCTGTGGGGGCTGCAAGGGAAAGAGAAGCAGCAGCCCCCCCCTCCCTCCGCTGCAGGCACTCCAGTTCCCGGGGTCCAGTCCCCTCACACTCCGCAGGGGATGGCGTTTCCTAGGAGGAGTGGCGCACTCAGGGCACCGCAGCAGTGGGGCTGAGCCCAGGCCACTGGTGAGGTGGGGGCTTGGGGCAAACTGACTCAGCAGAGCTGACCCCTCCTGGAAAGGACAGCACCCCCCCAGGATCACCCAGTCGTGCGCGGTGACCAGTGGTCTCGTTGGGGGTTGGCATTGGCTCTCTCCTGGGCCTCCCCGCAAGGAGGGAAACAGCTTTGCACACTGCTCGGTGAGGGTCTTGTTGGTGCCGGGACTCGACAGGTAGAAAGTGCAGGGGGCTGCCCTGAGTTAGCCTGAGACCTTCTAGAAACTTACCCTAAATCAAAATTAGTTGCCCGAAACCTCTAAGAATTCTCATAAAGGGCACTGGCTGTGTTTTCCTGCCAGCAGTGTCACAGCACGCAGGGCTGGTGTGGCCGATGGAGTAACAGGAATTGAGGCAGCTGCAGGGTGGCTGTGGGCAGGGATGCTGGTGCCAAGCGGTTGCCACAGAAGAATTCACAGGACTGGTCGGAGTTATCTGGGAGCAGGCTTGCATCTGCCCCGTGCCCCTGTGGGCAGGGAGGAGTTCCGCTCTGTGAGCATCACGTGGTGCTACGTGACATCCCAGGTTGGGGCTAGCATCCTGCCTGTCACTCAAAGCCAGCAAGTTGTTTGACCTTCCCGAGGCTCGGTCCCCTCACATGTTAGACGGTACTGGCTGTGTGTGCCGACTTTGTGCCAAGGGCCAGCATCAGTTACCTCCTGGTGTGCCAGAGTAGATCGTCAGGGAGCCACTCTGTTCCTCATGCTGAAGATGAGTTGTGGGTGCACTGCTGGTGAAGGGCAGCTTTTGATGAATACCGTCATTTTCTTTATGCCTACATTCATGCAGACTTGCCATGCATGTTTTCATTACATTATTTAATCCATGTTTATGGAGCTACTTTTGGTCCGAGGAGTTGCATGAGACATGAGAGCTTCAAAGAAAGGTGTTCACGGTTCCTCAAGGGAAAGAGACATGCAAGTGCCAACTGCAGCATTGCTGGATCACGCTCGAAAGAGCATTGTGCAGACCGCCAGGGCAGGTTGGGCATGTGGCTGTGCTCAGTTGGCTCCCCTGAGGGGCATGGTTGTGTTGGGTCTGAAAGAGAGGAGTCTGCCAGGTAGAAGAAGGGGAGGGACATTCCAGGAAGAGCTGGGCACAGAGCCTGAAAAGGAGAGAGCAGGGTGCGTCCAGGTCTGCGGCACGCCGTGAGGATGTGGATCTCCAAGTCCACTATGAAAACAGACATGGAAATGGACAGTTAGCATGGAGCCCCTGAAGCTCCACAGGAGAGGCATCTCGCCAGGGCTGTGGGGCACAGAGGAAGGAGCCCCTCACCAGGGCTACGAGAAACACGGCACGTCTTGGTTTGTAAATCCTTAGAGGGCAGAGTGAGTTTAACTCCCACAGGGCCTGTAGCATCAGTAAGGTTGAAAGCCTTCCCCTCTATCTTTTCATCCTCCTGACCACCTGCAGAACGGGCACTGGGGACTCCCTCTGTCCAGAGTAGGTGTCGTTGTGGACTGAGGCTGTGAACACTGCACCCAGGGCCCCTCCCCCTGGCTGATAGACGACTGGGTGCCAGTGATGGTGCAGCTTCTACAGCAGAGGAGTGCCTGTGGCTTGACACGCTTCTACAGTGGAGGGATGCCCACACCATGGTATAGCTTCCACAGTGGAGGAGTGCCTGTGCCTCGATGCGCTTCTATAGTGGAGGAGTACCCAAGCTGCTGTGTGCTTCTATAGCGGAGGAAAGCCAGAGTGGTTTTGGAGCAGGTGTGGGTCAGGCTGGGGCAACCTTAGGAGCCCTGGAATTGAGCAGTTTTGGAATACACTGTACAGTTTCCAAGAAAATAAACCGTGGGTGCCTGTCCCAAACCTGTGGTGCGTGTTACCCGTGACTGGCAGACGTCATCATCGTAATGCTCACAGGGCCAGCCCTCTGGCCTATTCTTTGTCTTCCTCTGTCTCCACATTTTCTCCTGTGTCTCTTTATCCTAGTGGGGCCCTAGGACCTCTGCCTCTGAGATTCTTGAGGGCAGACAGTCCTGAGAGCTAGACTGTCATCAGTTCATCTGCAGGAGGTTCTCCTTCACCTCCTCTCCAGAGAGAGGCAGCTGGAGTCTCAGGGCCACCTTGGTGCTCCCCTCCCTCTACCCTGACCTTCTCCTAGGAGGGGCCTGGTATGAGCCATCGTGGTGTCCCTTGGGTACTACATGGGGAGAGAGGGCTCCATGCCGGGGTGGGGGCCAGAGCAGCACAGCAGTGCAGGAGATTTCCCTGGCCAGGAAGGAGCGGGGCCCTGAAGCTTCTTAGCAGCCTTGCCTTTGTGCGGGACTCGGGGTGCTGCGGCGCATGTGCTTGTGGCGGCCCATGTATGGGTATGTGCCCATTCACACTGGTGTGCATGCACATATTCATGCAGAAACATGACATTCGGGGCCTGGTATTGTTGCCCAGTTTCTGTAACTTGGAGGCCTTTGGCAGTGGCTGAGAACGCAGCCTCTGGGGGCAGAGTGGGCTGCCATGTGGTGTGTGGCCTTGGCCAGTTTCTTGACCTTTTTGTGCCTCTTTCCTTCTCTGTAAATTAGATAATGCCTACCTTGTAATGCCATGATGAACGTTAAATCGCTGAGCACGTGTAAGCTGCTTAGAGCGGGCCCTGCCTGCAGCACGCACCCTGGAGATGGGAGCTCTTGGCTGTTGGTCTGCCCACCCCCACAAGTGTGCAGATCCATGGGGTTATGGTGGACTCTGCATTTTTTGCTTGCCCTCTTGAAAGATGTCAAGCCCCGAGTTTGATGATAACTCATGGATTCAGGGAGCCCCAGCGGGGAGCAGGGTGCAGCCAATCCCACCTGGCCCGTGGCCACCAGACCAGGAGCTCCAGGAGGGTGCCGCATGTGCCGCTGAGCTGGGTTCGGGACCCTGCATCCAGCCCAGGGCCCAGCCTGAGTGGATGAGCACGTGCATGAGGAAGCATAGGCGTGGGAACCACATAGCCCTGGGATTGCATCCTAGCTCCAGCCCTCACCCAGCAAGACTGTAGGGAGGGTGAAGTGCAGGCTCCTGGGCTGAGCACCTGCCCCTTCACCACTGGACAGGTGTCCCTGGGCCTCTCCGACGTGCCAGATGCATGCTTTGCTTCCTCCCCTTCCTTCAGAAAAGTTCTTTAATCTTTGCTGATGAGATTCCCTTACTCTCACATTCCTCACCTTGACAAGTAATTTAATATGGTGCCTTGAGCATTAAAATGAGGATATTCAAATCTGTGGGTTCAAAGGAAGAAAAACAATTCACTCATTATCTGTGGCAATGAAACCCTGCAATGCCCTGCTCATAAAGACACAAACCTTCCCAGCCAATGAGTTCTTAATACTAAGCAACTCCTCTTAAGAAAATAAAATTTCTGGGAAGCTGAGCGTGGGTTGCCGTTTACTCAGGCATTTGGCCGTGGACAGGGTAGGGGAATGGAGACCCATTCGCTTCAGCCATAGTGAAAGCAGGTGGCCTAATCACGGAGCTGAACAGCGGTCCCTTCTTGAGAGCCAGTCCCCAGGCACAGACAGCCACAGATATTTTCTTTTTTTTTTTTAAATTTTTAAATTTTTTTATTTTTTATTATACTTTAAGTTTTAGGGTACATGTGCACATTGTGCAGGTTAGTTACATACGTATACATGTGCCATGCTGGTGTGCTGCACCCACTAACTCATCATCTAGCCACAGATATTTTCTAACCTCACTTGGGGCCTGAATCGCCTGAACTAGGTGCTGGGTTATGAGAACAGATGTTTCCAGGAGTGCTCAGTCCCTGAGGGAGACAAGCCTTCGCCTTCCCGTATTTGAAAACTGAGAAAACAGACCGGGAAGGGGTCCCTCACAATGGCCTTTGACCCCTCGTCGCCCAGCCAGGCCAGCCCTCTCTCCACCTGTGAGCCTGCCACATATCCAGAGCCTAAGGTCCTCCCAGGAGATGCCTAGGAACCTGGTTTCACCTCAAGTCTGGGGCTTGGCTGGCCATGGACTGCCCTGGGCAGGCGGACATGGTGTCCTTGGGCCTGGCTGTTTCTCCTGAGAAGAGTGCAGTGGTAGGGAGCAAGCTCAACCTCTGCAAATGTCCCTGGGCCTGGAGCAGGGCACCTCCTTAGCCCTGATGGGGTGCTCGGAACGGAGAGCACGAATGGCCAGATGCCCGTAGGGCCTGACCTCCCTGTTACGGCTTAGGGCTTGGGAAGGGACCACACAGGTCATGCCTGAGGTCCCAAACACCCCGGACATCCAAACCCACTGGGTTCCACGTGTGCTGGCTCGTTGAGGGAGAGTCGGATTCGCTTTTGCAAAAAGATAAAGGAGCTGCAGGGCGCTGCTTCCTTGAGGGGTGCCTCGCTGCTGCTGGCGCTCAAAACAGGCCCGGGGCGGCGGCCTCCGTCCTCATCGTGGGAGATGCAGGAAGGCAGGACCCCGATCCCCAGCTGTTGCTTCCTGTGCCTACTCCCCTAGAAGGAGCACCCCTCATGGAGATGCAGCCTGACTGCTGAGGGAGGAAATGGCCACTGACGCAAAATGAATGAACACACAGGGCGGCTGCATGCTTGATTGGAGGAAGCTGCCTGCAAAATTGCCTTAGGAAGGACGAGGGGGCCGCAGGGGGGCTGTCCTTGTCCAGTGCTTCCTGAGCTCCTGCTGTGGCCCTCTGCTCAGATGCCGCTACCCTGCGAGATTTCTCAGTTCTCTGTTCCTGATTATGGCTTCCTCCGGGCTTCCTTAGCGTCGCTCTGCTTCCTAATTATAGCCTCCTTCCTGGGTCGGCATTTTAAGAAAATCTACCTTCGTAACTGTGCTTCAGTGTCCAGCTCAGGAGTGTGAAACATTTTCAAATTATCATGCAGCCATTGCCACCATCTGCTTCCCGAACTTTTTCACCTTCCCAAACTGAAACTGGGCACCCATGAAACACTCCCTCCCATTCCTTGTCTCCCTCAGGGACTGAGCACTCCTGGAAACGTTTGTTCTCATAACCCAGCAAGCACCTAGTTCAGGCGATTCAGGCCCCAAGTGAGGTTAGAAAATATCTGTGGCTGTCTGTGCCTGGGGACTGGCTCCCGAGAAGGGACAACTGTTCAGCTCCGTGGTTAGGCCACCTGCTTTCACTATGGCTGAAGCGAAGGGGTCTCCATTTCCCTGCCCCGCCCACATCCATTCTGTCTCTGTGGATTTGACCAGTGTAGGTGCCTCAGATCGGTGGAATCATAGGTGTTTGTCCTGTTGTACCTGGCTTATTCCCCTTGGCATAATGTCCTCAAGGTTCATCCATGTTGTAGCATGTGTCAAAAATGTCCTTTTCTTTAAGGGCCGAATAACATTCCATTTTGCGGATAGACCACATTTTGTTGATTCATTCATCTGTTGGCAGACTTTTGGTTGCTTCCACCCTTTGGCTATTGTGAAGATCACTGCAGTGAACGTGGGTTTGCAAATATCTGTCTGAGTCCCTGCTTTCAGTTCTTTTGGGTATAAACCTGGAAGTATGATTGCTGGAGGTCAGCATGTTCTGAAAAGACTGTCTGTTGGGTCACAGTCAGCTCCATAACCCTAAACCCTAGCTCAGATAGCTGCCTGTTAACTATTGAATGAATGAGGTGAATGCTAGAATCCGAACTTCCAGGATTGTCACAGGGCAAAATGAGATAATTAAAAGTTCATTGCAGAGTATTTGTCAGTAACAATATCAGTTCAGCAAACATAGGCTGTGTGTGTAATGAGATGGAGAAAATTTCGTTTGGAGAATTCTTCTAAGGGAGGGAATTATCTTTGCAGGAAACACTTTGATAAATTGCTTGCGCGAGAGTAAGACCCCCAAGGGAGTTCGAGGCAACAGAAATGGTGGGTGAATTCCTGGGGCAAGGAGAGAAGTTTCTGCATCTCCTCCGAGAGGGAGGAGGAACAGGAGAGAGGAGAAGAATGGGGATGAGGCTGATGCTAACAGTAGGTGACACTTACTTAATGCTACCCACAGGCCAGGGGTATGATTCCGTGCACTCCTCATGACGGCCCTGTGAAGTTAGCACTGCTAGCATGCTCATCTTACAGATGAAGAAAGTGAGGCCAGGGACTTTAAGTAAATTAACCAAAGCTCATTCGTGGGGGTGCCAGGATTCAAAGTTGGGCCGAGTCTCCAGAACCTGCCCTTTTCGGCACCAAGCTCCACGAAGAGAAGAGAGGGAGCAGAGCCAGTGAGGGCAGGAGCTGTTTACTCAGGGCCAGGGCATCTCTGCCGGCCTCAGAGCTTCAGCCACAGCTCCCAAGCCCTCGGATTCTCTACTGAGGGAGGACGGGATGAGTTAGACATTTGGGGTGCTGTGGAATGAAGCAAGCAGCATGTGCGGACTGGAGCCAGGAGCAAGAAGACCCTGAGCAGTGAACCCTGAGAATGTGCAGAAGCCATCAGCAGGCCCACGGGTGTCAGGTGCAGGAAGGTTTGCTGAGTCTCATAGCCACTGCACTGTGCTGCGTGTGGAGGGGCTACGGGCTGTGCTGCTGAATGAGGCGTGGCCTCTGCACTCCTACCTGGGACATTTGCTCATTTAGTGTTCATTTATTCATCAGGCAATATATATTGAGCAACTTCTGTGAACCAAACACTGTTCTAGGCCCTAAGACCAGGTCTCTGCCTTCATGGAGCTCACAGGCTAGGGCTGAAGCCAAGTAACAGGAAGATGACCGTGTCTAGCACAGGTTGTCATGGGATGCATGCACACTTTCTGGAGGGTTCCTGCAGGAGAAGCAAGGTCAGGTTGAGATATAAAGTCAGGGAAGAGAAGAGGGCAGGGAAAGACATTTCCAGGCAGAACACGCAGAGTGTGGGAGGGGAGGCTTGGAATTCAGAGAGAGCACACAGTATTTGGGAAGAATTGAAAGAAGTCCAAAATAGCTAAACTAGGGCTGGGCACTGTGGCTCACGCCTGTAATCCCAACACTTTGGGAGGCCAAAATGGGCAGATCACTTGAGGTCAGGAGTTCAAGACCAGCCTGGGCCAACATGGTGAAACCCCATCTCTACTAAAAATATACAAAAATTAGCTGGGCATGGTGGCGGGTGCCTGTAATCCCAGCTACTCGAGAGACTGAGGCAGGAGAATCACTTGAGCCTGGGAGGCGGAGGTTGTAGTGAGCCGAGATCATGCCACAGCACTCCAGCCTGGGTGACAGAGTGAGATTCTGTCTCTAAAAAAAAAAAAAAAAAAAAGCTAAAATAGGACACAGGAGTGGGTAGAGGTTCCCGAGCCCCCAGGGCAGCATGTTGCTGACCTTAGCCTGTCCTGCTGCTGGTGGCTGTGGTGGTGTGACCGGCGGGCTCTCTTGGGCAGCCTTCTTGTCTGGACAGCCCTCTGTGGCTATTGCATTGGACCATTGATGAGGGGGATATGCCCGCTCTGCTGAGCACCTCTGAGCCCGACTCCCCCATGAGCCAGCAGGAGAGACCCAGGGGCCTCCATTTCGTCCTGCTCCCTCTCTCTCGCAATGCTCAGCCTCTGCTCCATTCTACCTCAGACTGCAGGAGCTTTGTTCCCATAGGACTGTCCCTGGGGTTGGCCAATGCGATTCTCAGGTTCTACGTTGCTGCCTTCACCAGAATGGGAACCTCTCAGCTTCAGGGTGCGTGGCCCACCCTTCCTTCATCCTCAAGGCCACACCACCTGCTGTGCATGGTGTGCTTCAGATGAACTGGATGTGTTTGTTGAATGGAATTAATTTATGAAAGGAAGAAGGAAGGTGGGGTATTTTCTCCACTTTTGCAGTCACTAGAGAATGTCAGAAACTAAAATTTTCCCCTTTTATTGCAACTTAAATGTGGTGGCTTTAACTTATGTAGGAAAAGGGAAAGAGGTTTACAGATCTGAGAATCACATTGGCTGTTTAATACTAGCGCAAGGGAGATTTCTGTTTTCTACATTTTTAAACCTAATTTCTTCACCCACTGATACTTGCTGAGAGACTTTATGGCTTCCTCGATTATGAGCTTGCTTAAGTGAGTTCGTTCGTAATAATATGTGTAATTACATCAAGAAGGATAACAGGACCGACGTGAAACCAGCATGAAACTGACGCGTGTCAAAGAACTCATGGGTTGTATTGAACAGTGAACCAGTTTGCATATTTTATTAAGGAAAAATAACCTTCCATTTCTCTTTATTTTCCCCAGCAAGAATAGTTGTTGGATTAAAATTATCCCAGTGGATTTCCCTTTCTTACATAACAGTAGTTTAATTTACCAGATTTGAGGGGTAGGAGGACAAGCACTTGCTGTTTTATATGCCCCTGATGTCCACATACCCAGGGTGATGTCATAGTGGTTGGTTAGACAGTCCCTTCAGAAGAGGGGAGACATCTGCTGTAGGAGGTTTCCCATCTGAGGGTCTCTGTCTAGAGACTTCTAGACGTTCTTCTGTCCCTGGGCTCCGCAGGAGTTGCGTTTTCCTTGACCAAGGCTCACCCCTCCCTGAAGCGCAGTGGCGAGGCGAGTGTGGAAGGACTCCTGAACCAGCTCGTCCTGGAGCACCTGCAGCTGGCGCCTCTGCAGTGGGGTGAGTACCCGCCAGCCACCCATCGATTCTGGGTGGATGTGCTCCTTTTCTCCAAATGCACGAGCAAGGTCTTGGGGGGTGTGGCTGGGCACCCCAAATGTTGGTGGGTACTGAAGGTCATCACGGGAAACCTTGGGGGAAAAAGACGGGCTCACCATACTGCGCCAGCACCTCTGTGTGAGGTCATCTTTGTTCACCTAGGCGGGCAGCTCAGCACTCCGGTGACAGTGCAGACATGAGAAGGGCTCATCGCCCGTTGAAACAGGTGCAGCAGGCGGATCTTGGCCTACATCTTGACTTGCACTTGGTGTAGAGTGGGCCGTCTTCCGAAATGGCAATTGACTGTGTCTGGCGGGGTGTGTGCTCTGCAACTGTTTCCAGAACTGAGAGTGGCTTGGGATGGCAAAAGAGAACAGGGTGTGGTGAACCCCTTGCGTTCACCCCACTCACCACGACTATGCATGGACAGCTTTTCATGCTGTCTGTGTGGAAAATTGTTTGGTTTGTAAATGCCTCAACTCAACGTTGTGTTCAACCCCAAGAGAACGCCATTACTGGACACTTAGCACAGTTTATTTGACTGCTTCTTCTTGTTGCACCTGGGAACTTCCACCCTACACTGTGCCTTTCTACATTGAACTCAAAAATATTTTGCTGAGAAACAAGCTTAGCATTTCTTTTGAAGTGAGAATCTTTATTATCTGGAAATTATTTAATCAGCTCATCTATTTTGGATCCCCTGCAGACAGTCAGTTGCAAGCATACATATCCCCTTTCTTCCTCTTCTTTACCCAAGAGGTCATTGTGAATGAGTAGCTCCTCTTTGATCCAGGATCCGGTTCATTAATAAATTTGTTCTGCCCCTTTCATGGGCTAGAGACACATGGAAATGATTCCAGTGGTGTGAGGAGAAAACAAGCCTTTCTCCTTGCACTCCACCAGCGCCCTTCAGCCTGGAGACCCCCTGATCCTGCAGAGGCTGCCTCCTGGCTCCTCACAGGTGAAAGCTGTCGGGACCAGGTGGGCACCGTCATGGCGGCTATGGGTTTCCATTTTACACTCGGGCTCCTTCTGTGGCCTCTTCCTCCTCTCTGAGCCAGCCTGAGTGGCAGGAAGGAAAGGCTTGGTGTTTCTGCAGAGGGTTTCACAGTTTGGTTCTCTGGAGGCTTCCCTGTAGCCCAGCCACTTTTCTAGGTGGGAATGTCCTATCTATCTCCTGATGACCTGAGCACAGTCAGCCGTGTCCCTAGACTCAGATAGCTGAGCCGGGAAAGACATCTGGGCCCCCCTGGCCGTGAGATGGGGTCAGGCCCAGGGGGATTAGCTGTATTTTATCTGTTGCCAGAGGAGATTCCACCAGGTAGCTATGCAGGACTTTCATGGGGCAAATGAGCGAAGGGAGGGCCACAGGCAGAACAGGGGCCCAAGAGCAAAGAACAGAGTGACTTGGGGTGGGGAAGTGGGCAGCAGGTGGGCTCCTCCCTTCTGTCTGAGGGTCGGCAGCCCTAGCCCCAGGTAAGGGTTTTGAGATGGCTTGGGGGCCTTTGTTTGGGTAGGTGACCAACGGGGCACCCAGGAGCAGAGCCCTGGGGGAGAGGTTCTGATGGTACAAGGCTGAGCGGGGAGAAGTCCCTGCAGTCTGGAAACAATGCCCTTCCCAGGGCACGAACTGCCCTTGACACTGTTCTAGGTGGGCCCTAAGGGTAGGGAGGGTTCTGGAATTGGAGAGGCACAGGACAGAGAAGAGGGATTTATGGTGTGCCAGACACGTTTACAAATGTCGATTCACTTTGATTCTGAGCCTCAGAGCAATGTGTGAGGTCGCCATGGGAGAGGTCCATGCCGCCCTAAGATGGGGAAATGGAGGCTCAGGGTGCCTCCCTGGTGCAGCATGTCAGATTGGATTGTTGAGCATCTCCTGTCCCAGGCATTTTGCATAAGAGCTGCCACGCACTCCTCACCACAGTCCCGTGAGTGAGGTTTTCTCCATCATTTACAAACAGGGAGACTAAGGCTCAGAGGCTGGCACTTGCCCCAGGGGCTCCAGAGTGAGCAGAGCCGGGAGCACTGCGTTACAGGCCACCAGGCCTCTACCAGCCAGGGATGAACCTCAGCCCGGTCCTGCCTGAAAACTGGTGGGGCGCCTGGAAGAAGCCTGGGCAATTTGGGAATTTCAGATGAAGAAAAGCTTTAGTCCTTAATGATCATAAAGGTCCTTTCTGTTCATTTTGCCCTCTCCCCTGGGTGTACTAAGAACATCCTTTAAAAATTTACAATAGTGGGGAAATTAGAGAGAACAGTGGACAATTAGAGCCAGGACTAGGAAGTTGGTTTGGCCCCAGGACGCCTCTCAGCACAGAACAGCCTGGAAGCTGCACACGCCTGTGTGGGCAGAGGTGCCTGCCGGGAGGCGTGAAGGCTCTAGGCTAGGCTCAGCCCCCTGCTGTGTTACATGCTGCTTCCATTTCTTGCCCTGATTTTCTTCCTCTTTGTACTAGTTCATTTTCTGTTGCTTATAGCAGAATACTTGAAACTGGGTAATTTATAAAGAAATGTATTTCTTAACAGTTGTAGAGGCTGCAAAGTCCCAGGTCAAGGAGCTATGTCTGGCGAGGGCCCTCTTGCTGCTGGGGACTCTGCAGAGTGCTCAGGTGGTGCTGGGCATCACATGGCGAGGGAGCTGAGCGTACTCATGTGCTAGCTCAGGTGTCTCTTCCTTTTCTTATAAAGTCACCATTTTCCCACCCATGAGAACCCAGTCATCCATCAACACATTAATCCTTGAATGGATTAATCCATTCATGAGGGCAGAGCCCTCACGACCCAATCACCAATTAAAGGCTCCAGCTCCCAACACTGCCACACTGGGGATTAAGTTTCAACGTGAGTTTTGGAGGAGACATTCAATCCGTAGCACCCTTTTTTCATAGGGGGGCTCAGGGATTTCTTTTGGAAATGTAGTTTGGTTCCATGGCCTCTCAGGATCAGGTAGCCCTGGACTCAGATCCCAGCTCTATCATGTGTTAGCTATGTGACCTTCAGCACATCACTTCACCTCTTTGAGCCTGAGTTTCTTCCTTTATGGAATGGGATGATGCCTGCTGGATAAGTTACTCCAGGGATTACATGAGATGATGTCTATTATGTGCTCAGTGCAGCCCCTGCTACCATGCACTATTGTTTCCTCTGAGACCCGCACCTGTCTCCTCGCCACCCTCCTACCCCCTGTGCTGACTCCCTTTCCCCATAGATGACGTGGGCCAGTGGTGGGACCAGGCCTGCGCAGATGCATACTGGCCCCCACAGCTGGGCTCAGTGCAGGGTGAGAGGTGACATTTCATTGACGTTGTTGACCTTGTTTCACTGCAGCCTCTGGGGGAACAGGTAGGGGGACAGGGTGAGAGAAAAGAGCCGTGGTATTCACTGCACTCTTGTCTGAACGCAAAGGCCTTCTTCATGGTGCTTCAGTCCCCTCTGTGGTGTAGTAGAGGCTTTTGGTGGAGCCAGGGGTCCTGGATTTATGTTTCGGTCCAGCCACGTGCTGCGTCAGGGAGGCACCCTGAGCCTCCATTTCCCCATCTCAGGGCGGCATGGACCTCTCCCATGGCGACCTCACACGTTGCTCTGGGGCTCAGAATCAAAGTGAAATGACATTTGTAAATGTGTCTGGCACTCCATAAATCCCTACCGCCTGCAAAGCAATGATTTATTATAATCACTTCTGTTTTAAAAGCTACAGAGTCTTTTATGCAGATATTTCTGTTATTCCTGGAAGATCAACCCAGTTCTAGGAGCCATATACCCAAGCCCTGGTGTGAAAACTCACAAGGGGCTCTCCTTGAATCTGTGGCATTCATCCTCACCACCCCCTTGCCCACCCCAGGGACTGGGCAGTGCATAGACCCCCTTCCTGGCATCCATGCATGGTGGGGCCACCATCAGAGGGAGGCCCAGGCAGGAGCTCTTCAGTCTGGGGGACAGTAAGGAGAGGGGTGAGGCCCTGCGGTCTGGAGTGTGGCCCACGGCATTAAGAGGTGGTTACATGTTTTTCTTGCTTTCAGCGAGTCGGAATTGGCCCAAGAGCTGCCATCTTTTTCTGTCTCTGTTCTTGGAGAATTTGAGAAGGTGGTTTTAAGGTCTCGTTTGCATGGCATAGAGAGATGGTTAGCAGTTGGTAGGCCAGCTGTTTTTTTCTGGCATAGAGAGATGGTTAGCAGTTGGTAGGCCAGCTCTTTTTTTCATAACTAAAGAAAGGTAGCCTTGCCTTTGTTAGGGTGGTGGTTTGAGACGCAGCACTTCAGCCATCTGAGGACAGTCATCAGATGTGGGTGAGTGACTTCATCATGAGACCAGAGCAGGTCTATTTGCTAGTTTGGAGGACATAATTCCCGCTTCAGCAGGTTGTTAGGCAGCTCAGGTGGTATAAAGGGTGGATAGGAGATGGGGCGCTTACCACATGTGATGCTCTGTAAATGAGTGCTGAGCAAACCAATTGGCAGTCAGATCTATTTTTGTTAAATTATTAAGGTTTGAACAGAAAATACATCTGGATCTAAAGGAATTCGGATTCCCTAAAAAGACTAGTGAAAATGAGGTTCAACTTGTCTTAATATATTCTATCAGGCAAAAGAAACAAATTCCCCAGGGAGGGGTAGTCCAGCTGCTGCCACTCCTGGAGTGAGCCTGTGGACAGTCTCTCCAGCCAGAGGCCACCAGAGGAACCTCGGGAGGGCAGGAGGCTCCTTCTGCAGCACCACGTCGTTTCTTCCCCAGGCTTGCTTTTTCTGTTTGGTAATTGATAGTGTTTGGGTTGCCGGTTGTGGGCACAGAGGCATGTTGGCAAATAATGCGAATATAATCCCTTTATCCTGGAGAAAATGCATGGCTTTTAAGAAACAATGCTAAGATCTGAAAGGCATTTCTGCCTTCAGGAGGTGAGCCTGTCCCTGTGGGAGCCCCGGCAGTGAGCAGCTCAGCGGTGCGCTTTTAGTCGCTGGCGGCACCTGCCAAGGCCAGGGCCTAGCACTACAGTGTGGAACCATTTCCAGAAATGGGGCATGATATTTTCCTGTTTGCAGTGTCACAGTTTATCTCACTATTATCATATCTTGCTGTTTCCAGTGAACATGTTAATACATACATTTTGATTCGATTTTCTGACTAGACAAGTTTTCTAGTTAAGAGTTACTGCTAGGTCAAAGGCTATGAACCTTTTTAGGGATCTTGAGATGTTTAGTCATCACATGGGCACGTGACTCTCGATTGTGACGTGGGCACTGTTGGAACTTGGATTTCCAAGGTGATCTTCCAAGGGGGCACAGGACACTCAGCCTTCCCCTGTGAGGAGGGTGGGGAGTGCAGGGAGGGTCTGGGTTGGGTCAAGTCCTTAAACCTTAAACGGGACCCCAGCACATTCTTGAGACTTTGCAAGTCATAGGGCATGGGAGCTGAACTGGGTAGCAGGGGTCAAGGTGACTCCAGCCCCCTCCCCAATGCTACAGCTGGATCTGTGAGTCCCAGTGGGGCAAGGGTCTTGCCATGGCCACCAGGGTATCCATTTCCACTCCTACTGCATTCTGCCACTTAAGAGGCCCTTGGCATCTTTGCTTTGCTTGGGAGCCATGGCTATGCCGGCCGCCTGCACACCTGGGTTGGTCCCTGACTGCAGCAAGATCACAGTGAAAGCCTGCAGGGACCTCAGCTGAGTTGAATGGCATCTCTTCCCGAAGAAGCCATGTGGGGGTTTTCCATTTCTGAGCAGAGTCTTCTCTTTGAGCATTGTTTGGGATCACACATTTATATATCTGTGTATATACAAAGAGAGGGAGAACAGGCACCTTGCCCTGTGACTTATAGTTCAGGCCCTTGGGATGTGGAGGAACAAGCAGACGCGGACCCCATGGAACGATCTTGGCTTCAAATCCCACAGACCTGCTTCTGGTCTCAAGTTTGCTGTGTTTTGCCAAGTTGGCCGAGTGCCCTGAGCAGTTACTTATGCTCTGAGCTCTGGTTCTCTGTGAAGTGTTGTGACTCACCCACCTTGCAGGGATGTTGGGAGAATGAAACAAGCTAACACAAATAATTCCTTGCCATGTAACCAGTGCTCACAAATCGAGCATTTAAAATCTCCCTGGTTTCTTTCTCTGTCTTCTCTCTCTTCATTCCCTCGAGGAACTCCAGGCTAGGAGAGGAGGTGCCTGGTGTAGGACAGCAGGGCCAACACAGGGGAGGCCTGGGGAGAGCCTGCGGGGGCCGGAGCAGCCTGATCCTGCAGGCAGAGGGCATTTGGGAGGAGGGGAGATGGCTCTGAAGGGAAGGGGCTGGGATGGTGTTGTGGAGGAGGGAGCTCTCAGTTAGGTTAGAGGGATGGGTTGAGTTTACCATCTGGGCAGGGACAGGTGGAGAGTTCAGACCTTAGTTAGCCAGCCACGGTGTGGTGGTGCATGAGAAGAGGGTGAGTTTTGTCTGCCCCTCACTATGACCACGTCCTGCACCTGCCTTCAGGCCCACTGGGAGCACGTGTGGTGCAGGGTCCACATCCAGGGACACAGCCCAGGAAGCTCCCCTCCCATCCCGCGCAGTGGAATCCAGGTCTCGGACCCACCCACTCCTCACCCCCAGCCAGGGCTTTGGGGCTGCCGTGTTCCCTGCGCCCCACCCCCCATGACCTGGGCTCCCCTCACCATTCTTCCAGAGTCCCCTCCAAGGATGAACTAAGGCTGCAGCTCCCTAGAAGCCCCCATGGCCTGTGGGAGTTTCTATCACACCCGTAGGCCGCCATGCCGGGCTGGGCCCTCGTTCCCTGGCAGACTCAGTATCCCCAGCTTTGGCCTGGCCTGACTGATTCTTTCTCTGACTTGGAGCAGGCTCACTAATTCAGTTCAAAAAGGAAAAGTTTCTTCTTGAATTTTTGAATTTGTACATAGTTTTGAGACAGGCTCCTGCTTATCGCTCAGGCTGGAATGCAGTGGTGCAATCATAGCTCACTGCATTCTTGACCTCCTGGGCTCAGCGATCCTCTCGCTTCAACCACACGCAGCTAATTTTTGTATTTGTTATTTGTATTTGTTAATTTTTGTAGAGATGGGGTCTCCCTATGTTGCCCAGGCTGGTCTTGAACTCCCGGCCTCAAGCGTTCCTTCTGCTTTGGCCTCCCAAAGTGCTGGGAGTTCAGGTGCAAGCTAGCAGGCCCAGCCTCTAATTTCAAAGCAACTGTTTTGCAGGACAGCTCACCTGCTGGGCCAGGCGTGAGGTCTTTAGGTTGTTATTTCCGAGCCCTGCCACAGCCCTGAAGCCTGAGGTTCTCCCATGTAGAGGAAGAACTTGAGCTCAGCACAGCTGGTCTCCCCCAGCACTGCACAGCTGGGAGGGAACAGCCCCCAGGTTCAAATATGAGTTCCTTCCACCAGAATCTCAACCTCCGGCTAGATCACTTCATGAAAGGAATATATTCTCATGGTAGAAGATGAGAGACAATCAGAAAACATAGATAAAAAAACAGCCTTTCCCTATCCCCAAAACAACCTCTAATTCATTTTTGTGCATTCCCAAGTCTTTTTGCTACTTTCCAATTCTAATTTTGTCCATAGGGATGATCCTACTGTATTTATACTTCTGTGTCCCTTTTTACGCTTGACAAAAGTATAAGCATTTCCCATGTTATAAACATGTCTCGCACATATTGTTAAGGGCTGAACTATACTTTATCAAATGAATACAAGATAATTTAATACTTGTTCTATTGTTGAACATTTAGATTGCTTCAGAATGTTTGCTATTATAAAAGTTACATGTAGTGGCTTTTTCTAGAGCCTTTTCTGTGTTTTGGGGCGATTCCCTCAGCGTGGATTCTCAGAAGTTATTAATATTTTATGGGATCTTGGCAGAGAGCAAAGCTGTCAACTTTATTGTGTGATGATGACAGCAGTTGCGTGGCTCGGACTGGCAAGGAGTCAGCGCTGAGCCAACTGGGGTCTCGGCACAGCCTCCGCTGCACCCTCGTGGTGAGTCTTGACTTCAGCTGATGGTCAAGTCCTGTGAACTTGGGTTTCCCTCTTGTAAAGTGAAGATACTTAGTGGAGGTTTGAAGAAACCCCCAGGAGCCCAGCAGAGAGCATGTTCCTCATGTTCCTCAGGCTTGGAGCCCAGCAGAGAGCATGTTCCTCAGGCTCACAGAGGCGGGTGTGATCTTTGGGGGCTGTGCTGTGGGTGCTGATGCCAGACTACGGGCAGTGGGGGACCACCAGAATCTCCCTGCTTCTGGGGCCTGAATCCCGGAGTGAGTGTGTTCCTGCTGCAGAGGGTCTGATGGCAAGGCAGGAGGCAGAGGGCAGGGCTGGGCCAGGAGCAGGGCCATGCTCACAACTGGACCCCGAATCTGCACATCGGGCTGGAGCTCCCGAGACCCCTCCGTCTCAGCCCATGAACAGTCCTGGAAAGGGTGTGCTGCTCCCATCCTCCAGGTGGGAAGAGCAGGAGGTAGGGCTGGACCTTTCTGTGCCTGCTGCAGAAACCCAGCATGCTCCCTGACTGTCTATTTTGAGGACCATCTTCCAGGCGTTTCCATAGAGACCCGGTCATGGTGACTAATGGGGCTAGGCATTTGCCATGCGGATTTGAGTGTCCCACGACTGTGCCACCCTCCGCCTGCCTCTTCCACTGCTAACACTTTCCTCTTTATAGCTCTTTGTATTTTCTCAGATGCATCAATGATTGGTCTGTGCTGTCTTTCATAGACATCCAGTGAATACAGATTAGGTTTTATCCACATTATGGAGTGGATATTTTCAGTACACATTCTCCAACTAATCACCAAGCAAATCCCACCGTGAGCTCCAGTTCTGAGCTGTGATGTGAAGGCTGCACATGTGGGAAC
The DNA here is from genome assembly GCF_000001405.40 of Homo sapiens. NCBI lineage: Eukaryota > Metazoa > Chordata > Mammalia > Primates > Hominidae > Homo > Homo sapiens. Next base: position 139,877,003 of record NC_000008.11, on the reverse strand, counting down.
GAGGGCAACACCAGCCTGGGAGGCAGAGCAGCCACCTGATAGCTTGTGTGCGAGACAGTCCTCTGCCTTATCTTGGAGGAGATGTGGTGCTCTCACATTTGGGGAGCATGGCTCAAGGTCCAAACTCTTCATGACTAGGAGAGTATAGCGGACAGCAGATACAAAGGCCTAGAAGAGTGAGGTGGGGCTGGACATGGTTCGTGGGGACAAATGATTGCTGTTGTTGGAGCCTGGAACCACAGGGAAGATGGGTGGGCTGGTAAGGAGAGGGAGGTGAGGCTGGGGGCCTAAGGTTGCATGGAGGATGTTGATTGATTGATTGATCCATCCATTCATTCAATAAACATCTGTTGATCACTACTCTGCACCAGGCACTGTCCTCAGTGCTGGGGACCCAAAAATAAACTCAATCCCTGCCTTAGAGCCACTCTCTGTCAGATGAGGGCTGGGGTTCCAGATCAGTCAGCAGGTTGTTTACACAGATCCTGGTATTTGCTGGCCTCAGAGCTTGTGCAGATGTCCCGGAAGCAGAGGCGAGAGACAGACTAGAGCCTGACCCCCAGCTGCCGCCTTCCTGGGAAGGAGTCCCGGTACGCATGAGGATGTGGCTCAGAACCCATGGGCCTCCCCGAGGACAGACCACCTGGAGCAGGCTGTGGATCCCATGGTGTCTGGGTGTTGCTGCTTCCATCTGAACAGCACCTTCTGCCCTGAGCCAGCTCCGTTCAGGAGTCTGGAGCCCACGGTGCCAGCAGCCAGTGCTCTGCCTGGTGCCTCTGAGGCTGAGCTGCGTCCTGGTGCTTTCTGGGGCTTTGCAGAGAGACATGTCCCTACAGCGAGAACGTGCCCTTTCATCAAATTGTGTAACATGGACATCATGTGGGGAGCTTTGTTTATTTCTAACATGAAATTCATGTAGAATGGCTGCTACGAGTTGCTGAATACATTCAGAGCTCAGACTGCCTGGAAAAGGGAGTGAGAAAGCCGGCTCCCACTAGCCGGACAGTAGGACAGCCGCACCGATGGTGGCAGTGGGTGCCCCAGGCCACCCTGGCAGCTGGGCTTGCCCACCGGCCCTCTGCCTCCTTCCCAGGTAGCTTAGCAACAGCACCAGCAGTGGATTTTTCCAGCACAGCCCACATCTCCAAACATCTGCTCCAGGCCAGTGTTAGTCAGTACTTCTGAGGCCTGTGGAGGAGCCTCCGCCCACTGGGGCAGGTGAACTGGGTGGTTTTGTTGACTCTGAGGGCCTGGTCTGCCTGAGCTGAGAGCCACTTCCTGGAGACCACGATGGTGAATTGGGTGGTTTTGGTGACTCTGAGAGCCTGGTCGGCCTGAGTTGAGAGCCACTTCCTGGGGACCATGACGGCTTGTGGCAACTGGCCTGAGGCCCAGCTTGCCCGGCAGTGGGTGTGGGGGGCGAAGGCTGTCGCATGGCCCAGTTGGCATCCCTGGGCATGGGTTGACAAAGAGGATCGTTTGTTTTTCTTTACAAAAGTAGTTACCTTCTTTTTGAAGGGGGAAAAAAAATGAAAACAACCTATATTCAGAGGAAAAGCCCCAGCTCCTAATCCCCCATTTGGAGAGGCCTCTGTTCACAGGCCCCCAGTGTTCCATCTGTGGACATGGCTGCTGTGTTTCAGGCGCAGTCTCCTTTCTGCGTCCCTGTGGCAACCCTGGAGGAGGTTGCTACGACATCCCTCATGTGGACGGGAGAAAGGAAACCTGGAATGTGGCAGCCCCAGGGCCACCTCATCCCATCTGAACCCAGGCAGCCTGGATGCAGGGCCTGTCCCCACCCTGCCTGCTGCCTTGTCTCTCTCCTCTCCCTCCTCTCTCTTCTTCCCCCGTCCTGTCTACCTTCACTCCTCAATCTTCTATTTAGCTGCAGACATCTCTGTTTGAAATACCATTTGGGAGCCTGCTTAATTGTGATCTTGATCCCCAAAAGAAAAAGTGTTTGTGGAGCACCTACTGCGCCTTTCAGGAAGGCGTAACTTCCAGCGTCCCCTCATCTGTTCCTCCCAATGCCCCAGTGGGGTAAGCACTGTCTGCTTTTGGAAGAAACCGGTGGGTGGAGAGGCTTTGTGACTGGTCCCATAGCTGCTGTCCCTGCCCCCGGTTATGCGCGTGTGGGACTTGTCTTTCCCACGGCGCTCAGGGCGATCTTCCACCTGTGGCCATGCTTGTTGTTCTCCTACCTGGAGAATTCTCATGGCTACAGAGCCCTGAGGATGGACTCCCAAGCCTGGCCTTTGGCTCAGAAGGCCCCCCACTGCCCACAGCGCCTTCTTCATCCTTGCCTCCCTTCCCTGGGCCTGTCTATCTTCCCTGTGACCTGGGCTCCAGGCTTCCTCAGCTGCAGTTGCTTGTCCCTGTGAGCCATGCTCCCCCCAGGCCTTCATACCTGCTGCCTCCCATAGGCTTATCCAGCCCTTTCCTTCTAACTCAGGTTCTTGTAGGCAGCCTGCCTTGGCCTCCCTGGCCCCACACGTTTGTGCCTCGCCTGGGCCCAGCTGCATTTCCGCCTGCGCGTTTCCCCACCCCCAGCATGGTGTCTTTCTCCTTAAGGTTGTACTGTCTGCGGGCTGTGTCTTCCGCTGCTGGTGGGTGCCTGAGAATGCAGCAGCATCCTCAGCACCTGCGGGTGCTCAGTAAGGGTTTGCTGACTCCATCAAAGAGTGAATGAGGCCATCCTCCTCCTATCGGTCCAAGGCCAGATTTGAGCCTAGGCGTAGATGTCATTCTTCCACATGATTTAAATAGTTCCATGTTGATGTGCCCAGATGCACTGAGACAGTCCCTTATTATCGCTTATTAATGTTTCATTTTTCCATTTATAACTCTAAGGCACGTATTCCTGGCATCTGCCTTACGACAGCCCTGGTCAGTTCCCAAGGATCCATTCCCAGAGCAGCCTTACTGGTGCAGCGTGCGTGCCTGTGGCCAGCCTGGCCTTCAGGGTGGTTGACTGACCCATGCTCCTGCCGAGAAGAACGGCCTGACTGTGGGTCAGTCTGGATCCTCGGCAAGGCAGCAGCCAGTTTGAGAGGATGTGCGCTCCAGTCCTGGGAGAGGGAGGTACTAACCCCAGAGCCAGCACAGAATGTGGCACCATGGTGGCTGGGCTGGTGTTTGTTTCCGGAGGCCAGAGGTGGACTAGGGGTTCTGATCCTAGAGCCAGGGCTACATCTTTCTGAGCCAGGTCTCTGGAGAAAACTCCAGTACAAAGGACAGGAATATGGCCGAGAACAGAAGCCAAGTGGAACGAATTGTCCTCCCAGCCCCTGGCTGCTTCCACCTGAAGTAACTCTCACTGCAGGAGGCCTTCATCACCCTTGTCTGCTCCTGCATGACACCCCCTCCCATTTACTTGGCCATTTGTCTGTCCTCTTCCCAAGACTGTGAGCTCCTTGGAAACAGTGACTGTGTCCAGGCAGATGAGAGGAGGTGCTCTGCCTGGCTTCCTGGATCCTCCTGAGCAGGGCATGGCACTGAGGGAGAGCAAGTGCAGGGAGCAGTTGGCTTACCCCCGGCACTCACTCACAGCCTGATGGAGGGGTGGGGGAAGGTGCTGGGGAGAAAGGGACAGTTCTGCCCAAACCAGGATGCTGGGAAGGGTCCAGCTGATGCACTTGTGAGTGTTCACTTATTACTGTTATCCTTTTATGATGAATAATATGATCACCTATCAGTGATCAATGTGTTGGCATCCTCTTTCTATCCATGAGGAAAATGAGGCTGGGAGATGCTGATGGACTGACCCAGCGTTCCCAGACAAATCAGCAGTAACGTCAAGACTGGTCTTGAAGCACTATTCTAGACTTTCATTCGCTTACTTTTATCCTCCAAGCATCCATTCCCCATCCCTGCCACCTACCCACCCACCTATCCAACCATCTACCCACCAACCCACTCATCCATCCAACTATTTACCCACCAACCCATCTACCAGCCCACCCACCCATCCATCCATCTACTCATCCAACCATTTACCCACCAACCCATCTACCAGCCCACTCATTTATCCACCAAACCAACCATTTACCCACCAACCCATCCACCAACCCACCCATCCATCCATCCATCCATCCATCCATCCATCCACCCACCCACCCACCCACCCACCCACCCATCCATCCATCCATCCATCCATCCATCCATCCACCCACCCACCCACCCATCCACCCACCCATCCATCCATCCATCCATCCATCCATCCATCCACCCACCCACCCACCCACCCATCCATCCATCCACCCATCCATCCATCCACCCACCCATCCATCCATCCACTTATCCAACTGTCTACCCACCAACCCATCCACCAGCCCACCCATCCATCCATCCACTTATCCAACCATTTACCCATCAACCCGTCCACCAGCCCACCCATCCGTCCATCCACTTATGCAACCGTCTACCCACCAACCCATCCACCAGCCCATCCATCCGTCCATCCATCCATCCATCCATCCACCCACTTATCCAACCATTTACCCATCAACCCATCCACCAGCCCACCCATCCGTCCATCCACTTATGCAACCGTCTACCCACCAACCCATCCACCAGCCCATCCATCCATCCATCCATCCATCCATCCATCCATCCACCCACTTATCCAACCATTTACCCATCAACCCATCCACCAGCCTACGCATCTATCCATCCACTCATCCAACCATTTACCCACCAACCCATCTACCAGCCCGCCCATCCATCCATCCATCCATCCATCCACTCATCCAACCATTTACACACCAACCCATCCACTGGCCCACTGATCCATCCAACCATTTACTCACCAACCCGTCTACCAGCCCACTCATCCATCCATCCACTCATCCAACCATTTACCCACCAGCCCATCCACCAGCCCACCCATCCATCCATCCATCCATCCACTCATCCAACCATTTACCCACCAACCCATCTACCAGCCCACTCATCCATCCATCCATCCACTTATCCAACCATTTACCCACCAACCCATCTACCAGCCCACTCATTTATCCACAAGCCCATCCACCAGCTTATCCACCAGCCTATCTACCCATCCATCAACTCATTCATCTGACCACCATCTGTCTGCTCCCACTCACCCATCCATTCATCCAGCCACCCACTAACTCATTCATCTACCTACCCATTGATCCATTCACCCACCTATCCGCTCATCAGTCCATCCACCCACCTACCCACCCACATATTCGTCCATTCACCCACATATTCACCCATCCAGCAAATTGCTATTGAACACCTTTGGTGCCAGTCTGTGCTAGACTCAGGGGGGCTGCCTCTGGGGTACCTCAGCTCTTACTCCTCCTCCTCTAGCTGCCTGCTGCTTTCTTTAAGAGACATCTTTTTTTGGAAGGGTAATTTCTGCAGTCGTCTATTCCTGTGGGGGAATGGGACATGGGGCCATGCCTTTCATCATTTGATTCAGATTCCAGGAAATATAAGGTTCTAATAGTCCTCCTCAGTGTGGCATTAGGCCAACTGGTGTGCTCCTAGTGCCTTCTGGCTCGCGGGGCTGGGGCAGACCCTCCAGCAGGAAATGAGAGACACAGTATAAATGCCTGCAGGTGCTGAGGAAAGGGTGATGTGAGTGCAGCTGTCAGGTTCTGAAAACAAGCTAAGGAAAGAAGTCTGAAATCTCCATAGAGTGGCAAGTAGCAGGTTATTAATCCTAATAAGCCAAGAGCTAATAAAAATGGACTCAACATAGCATGCCCTATGCCTACCCAAGGTGGGCCCAGGTGTCCGGGTTATAACAAAACTCAGCCACAGAGCGAAGGCACCTCTCAGCTGGCGGACTCTCACTTGTAATCAGCATAACTACCTTTATTGAGAAGCCTCTACTGCAGGGACTTTGCTGGCATTTAAATTCACTCATGTCACACAGTCCTCACACAACCTCATCAGATACATAAAACCACCCTTGTTTTACAGAGAGGGAACTTGAAAATCATAAAGCTGATTTCATGACCACCAGCGAGTAAGTGTGGGAGCGAAGAGAGACGGCCCGCCTCCCAGCACTGCCCCACTCCCCACTTCCAAGGGAAAGCCTCAGAATATCAGTGGAAAGCCTTTCTCCCACTGCATGGTAGCCCCTGCAAGCCAGTGCACTAAGTGTTTATTTGCTTTATTTATGTTGCAAAGAAAAAATATGCACAAACATACTTCAGAATTTAGGAGGTAAGAAAGGATGTACAAGTCTCCTTCTCCTTAACCCTGATCCTCTCCCCATGGGCTGCTGTTGTCCCATTTCTGGTTGTGTCTGCAGACATAGTCTGTAAATTTCTTTTCCTTAATGGTGTCCTGTGACAGCTGTTCTACCATGTTTGTTTATTTTTATTTTTTCACTTAATGGTAGATCTCGGGTATGTTTCCATCTCCATCCTGTGGAGCTGGTGCATTCTTTTGAACCTATGCATCAGATGCATCCTCCTTTATTTACTCTGTACCTTTTGATGGACGTAGGTTGTTTCTAATGTTTTGCTGTTATAAGCATGATGGCAACAAATATCCTCGTGAAATATGTCATTCCTCACCAGAGTGAGTCGCACTGTATGATATTCCTTTCAAATGGAGCAATCTCTTAAAAAATATCTTCTGTGTTGGAACCATGCTTTAAAAGACCTGCTTCATTTGGATTACATTTTTAAAACATTCTCCCATGTTTTCTCCTGGTACGTTCATGGTCTCATTTGCTTTAATATTCAAACCTTTTATTTATCTGGAATATACTAAGGTGAGTGCGGCATGGGTCCTCCCTTTGTTTTTCTAAAAAGCCACCTAATTGGCCCCAAGTCATTTAATCAATAATCTATCTTTTCCCAATCACTTTTCTCATATATTTAGGGAAATTGTTGGACTCTCTTCTGTCCGTGTACCCAGGAGTGAGCACCACCCTTGTAGTCGTTCTAGCTTTACAGTACAGTATATTTTAATATCTGCTATAGATAGTCCTCCCTCAATGCCTTTTTGCCTTTCTAAATATCTACCTGTGGGTTGCATATTTAATTCATTTAAAATTTCCTATTATAAATACAGTTATTTAAGGATATGAATTTTCCGGTGGTCCCTGTTTCTACTCTTTTCCATGTTCTAGAATTTAATGTTTTAATGTTTGATATGTTTTAGGCATTCTGCAATTAATTTATATTTCACTTCTGTCCCGAGAGTTAAAAGATAGTTTTTAAAAAAACTTCCTATGGTAATTACTTTGTTTTGTTTTCTTCTTTTGTTATTGCTTTCTAATATAATGGTATTATCAGTTCAATACTATTTTTACCACTTACAATTTACCAAGTTTTCTTTGTGCTAAGATTTTTGTAACTATGCCATGGACATTTTTAAACAAGTTATGTTCCTTGTTTTAAGTGTATTGAGTTGAAAATGTATCAATTAGCTCTACTTTATTAATGATACGGGGTAGTTCTTTAAGATCCTTTCTTATTTGATCTACCATGGGGTTTGAGAGGTGAATCACAACTAATGCTCATGTGGGTCCATTGCACCATGAGTGATCTTGTATTGATGTGACATGTGTGTGTCCCATGATACCTGCAGTGTGAATGCTGATGGCCTGTGGCACACAGATGCTCATAACTGTTGTCCTTTGGCTGTCCCCTTTATTATTTAAGATGCCCTTCTCTGTCTCCTTTCATGTTTTTTGCCCTTATTTCATCCCTCTTTGATATTATAACTACCACCCCTGCCTTCTTTTTGTTTGGCTGGTATACTTTTGCCTATCATTTGAATTTAAACCTTTGAGAATCACATTTTTATGTGGTTCTCTTGGATGAAGCATTGAGTTTTGCTTTCTGATCCAACTTCAAAGTCTTTTTAATTCATAAGTGAGTTTAGGCCATTTATATGCATTGCTGTGGTATAAATGTTTGGTCTTGGTTATGTCATACATTCTGTTGGCTTTTTGTGTTTGTAATTTTTCTATATACTTTTGTGATCTGCTTTTTCTTGGTTTTGTTCTGTGTGATAATTTTCTTCCTCTTTCTTTTTAAACTTTCCTTCTACATCTTCTGTCTGACCTACCACTCCTTCCTTCCAAGGTCTGAGTTGCTTAATTTTTCTGCACAATTGTTATAATACTCTGATATTTAGTCATATCACAGATTTGTTTCTTGTTTGTCTCTCTACCCTCATTAGAATATAAGCTCCATGCAGGACGGATTTGTTGTCAGTGTATTCTCAGAGCTTAGAACTGTCCTTAGAGCATCTATTACATGCGCAATAAATATTTGATGAAGAAGTTAATAATACAGACTTTACAACAATCTCCAGAGTAGGTAGTGTTATTACTACGCTTTAGGGGAGAGAACAAAGCGTATGTGAGGTTGTCATTCAGTCTGCAAAGCAAGGACCAGAACACAGTTACTGTGGTTTCAAAATTCACGTTTTTCCCAATATATTTATATTTCCCAAAATCATAATGATGAGCTAGTGGCCTCCATCTGGATTTCAAGCCTTGGTCTGCTGACTTCCAACCACGTATTCCACTGCAGCACGCTCCTTTAAGAGGAAAGAAAGGAAATAATATCATGCACAAACTTGCAGAAAAGCTGCAAGTATGGTAGTAAGAATTTTCTTTTCCTGAACATTTTATTTATTTATTTATTTTTGAGATGGAGTCTCGCTCTGTTGCCCAGGCTGGAGTGCAGTGGCGCAATCTTGGCTCACTGCAGCCTCCGCCTCCTGGGTTCAGGCAATTCTGCCTCAGCTTTCCAAGTAGCTGGGATTACAGGTGTCCACCACCACACCTGGCTAATTTTTGTATCTCTAGTAGAAACAGGGTTTCACCATGTAGGCCAGGCTGGTCTTGAACTCCTGACCTCTGGCGATCCACCTGCCTCGGCCTCCCAAAGTGCTGGGATTACAGGCATGAACCACTGCTCCCAGCCTGAACCATTTTAGAATATGTGGTTGATCTGATGCCCCAAACACCTCCAAATTATTAATGTGTATTTCCTACGAACAAGGACATTCTCTTGTATAACCACAATACAGTCATCAAAATCAGGAAATGAATATTGATATATGATGATCTCATGCCGAGATCCCATTCCAGTTTTTCCAGCTATCCCAGTAGTGTCCTTTATATTTAAGATTTGGGTCTCATGCAGAATCATTTGCTGCGTTGAGCTGTTATATACATTTAGTCTCCTTCAGCCTGGAACAGTTCGTCCATCTTTCTTTGACTTCCATCACCTTGACACTTTAAGATATTACCAATCAGCGATTCTGTAGAATGTTCTCACTTTTGGTGTATGTGATGTGTCCTCATGATTAGATTCAGTTTTGAACATTTTTGGCAGGAATGTCACAAAAGTGAGGCTGAGTCCTTCTCTTTGTGTCTATCAGGTGGCCCACAATCTCTAGTTGTACCATTGCCGGTGATGGTTATTTCACCATTTGATTAAGATGGTGTTTGCTTCCCTCTACTGTAAAGCTACTCCTTGTCTCTTTGTTGTTACTAAGTATCTTGCGGGAAGGTGCTTTGAAACTGTGTGGATATCCGATTCCTCATCATGGATATCCGATTCTTCATCAGACCTTTAAATGTGCTTATTTATATTTGTATGGATTCATCATTTTCAATTTTATTCATTGGGTTAAAATTCATTGCTATTATTAGTTATTTCGATACCCAGATTATCCTGATTTGACCTCTGGGTGCTCCTTCAGGCTGTCTTCTGTGTCTCTTGACCTGTCTGCATCATTATTCTTTGAGCACACACTTATTTTCTGGCACAAGATATTCCAGGTTCATCTCAAACATAAGCCCTGATATCACTCATTTCTCACAGGAGTCTTGATTCCCTCTAATGAAAATTGATATTTAGAGGCCAGGTGCAGTGGCTCATGCCTGTAATCCCAGCATTTTGGGAGGCCAAGGCGGGCGGATCACTTGAGGTTAGAGTTCAAGACCAGCCTGGCCAATATGGTGAAACCCCATCTCTACTAAAAATACAAAAACTAGCCAGCTGTGGTGGTGGGTGCTTATAATCCCAGCTACTCAGGAGGCAGAGGCAAGAGAATCACTTGACCCTGAGAGGTGGAGATTGCAGTGATCCCACACCAACCAAGATCCATACTTTGGCAGGGTGGGGTGTCATTCATATTGGGATGTTGCTGTTCCCAAGCATTCTCAGAGGATGGAGCTGGGAAATAGACATATACATATGAATAGAAATAGACACACACACACACACAGCCTCAACATCTCTTTCTGTCTGTCCACCTTAACAGTCACTGGCCCACACTGACACCACTAATCCCAATCCACCACTGCACAGTTCCTTATGGTTTGTCCCTTTTCCTTACTGGTACCTCATGTCCTCAGCATGGAGAGGTCGGCTTTCATTATCTTTACTGTAATCTGTAACTTATCGGTCTTCCTGTATGTAACCAATCTGCCATCTCCATCCCAGCCCTTCCCACACTCCTAGGCTCTCAACGGGTCACCAAGGGGACCCAGCCCAGAGATCCCACAGGTTCCTGCCTTCCCCTCTCACTCCTGCTCTGGCACCCAGGCCAGGCCTCCCCACTGTGTGGATGCCCTCCTACCCTGGATGGGCTCTGGTATCTCACACGGGGTGCATCAACCAAAAATAAAGTTCTAAGGCCCCCTGACCATCTGAATGGACTTCCTCCTCAGCCAGGGCTCTTAAAATTGAACCTGAGAGACAGGTTCAGGCCATCATGGGACGTGGGGGTGGAATATTCCTCATTATACCTCCCCAGCATTAACATCAACACATTTAGGTCTGATAAGGAACATTTTGCAACCTGTTGTCTCTGAAGCCCGCTAGCTAAAAGCTTCATCAGCATGATAAGACTTTGGTCTCCACAACCTCTTATGCTAACCTGACATTCCTTTGATCCCAGGTCTTTAGCCAAACTCAACCAATTGTCAACCAGAAAATGTTTACATTTACCTATAGCCTGGAAGGCCCCCCATGTCCCCACCCCTTTGGAATTGTCATGCCTTTTTGGACCGAACCGATGTATTTCTTAAATGTATTTGATTGATGTCTCAGGCTTCCCTAAAATGTATAAAACCAAGCTGCACCCCGACCACCTCGGGCACATGTTCTCAGGACCTCCTGAGGGCTGTGTCACGAGCCATGGTCACTCATACTTGGCTCAGAATCAATCTCTTTAAAGATTTTACAGAGTTTGACTCTTTGGGTCAACAGGTGGCTCACACACGGGGCAGCTCTGCTGTGCGGATACCTTCCTCCCCCTCCCTGGACCAACTGGGTTCTCTTGGGACCCCATGGCTTCAGGCTGAGTTGTTTGGGGAGGGAAGGGGTGGCCTCTGACCTTAGGTCCCTGCCTTTTCCTGTGACATTCCCTTCCCTGCCGTGTCTCCATAGCTTTCCTTGCCATTCACTCTTACTCATTCTTCCCGGCCTAGGTCAACGGTGGCCTGGTCTCAAACATACCTTTTGCTTTCTCCTCTCTCTGCTCCCATCCCAGGGGTGGCTCTTTCTCACTCCCCTTTGATGATCTGTGTCTGTTTCACCCCCTCTATGAACTCACAACACAGAGTGGGTACAAAGTAAATGCTTGTTGAATGAGTGGTCTATAGTAAGCCTTCAACAAATACTTGTTTTGTGAATGAATGAATCAGAGAGAAACAGTCCGTCTCCTCAAGGAGTCCTCAGGCGTGTTGAGGAGAAAGTCTGTCTTCTGCCAGACCAGAACGCATGGACATGGGACCTGATTCCTTCTGCTGTGGGAGAGCCACCTCTGTCTATAGAGATGCCTGTGGCTCTTGCCCTGAGAGCAGCCTTCTGAAATGCTTTCTTCAGACCCCATGGGGACAGCCTTAGTTGTGATGATGGCTTCTTTTGCTGGGCCTCCTTGAGTTTTTCCTCTGCCGCCACCTAATCACAGCAAAATCAAGAGAATGTAGACCGCTGGCTTGAACCGGTGCTAATGAGTGCAGATGTGAATCAAGCCCAGGTCTCTGTGGGATTCTTAGTTCCAAAGTTTCACGTGAGCTTCCGGGCAATGTTCAGACATGGTTCCTGCGGAGCTCATGGCGTCACCCTTGGACCTGGTGATATTTATTCTCCTCATCTTAGGATGCTTTCGACTGGGATGTGTCCACATCGGTGCAGGTGAATAACTGCTGGCATTAAACACCTTTGTTCCCAGCAGATGAGCCAGTCTGGGTCCAAGCGCTTTTCTTTTGCTGAGACTTCTTCACCTCTAGGATCAGGACAATGACCCTGGGAAGGGCGGTAGTGCCCACAGCCCTGCAGGGCTTGCTGGCGGTCGGCATGCTGCTGTCTGCTCTACAGACGCTGTCCATTGCTCCCGGCAGGCCTGTGGAGCAGGTATGCTACTGTCATTTACAGAGATGGAAGCTAGGGCTCTGCAGTCCCCTAGCCAGGAAGTCACAGAGTGGACGTTTGAATCAGCATCTGCCTGGTGCCATCCACAGGACGAGGCCTATGTCACAGTGTCCCAGATGTATTCCATCCCTTAAATGAGAAAATGAATTTCAAAAGATATGACGTGCTAAAAATAAGTGATGGAGATTTCAGTCTTTCTACAGTTTTCCATTGTTTCCTTCTAAGATTAAAAACAAATTTAACCCCTGGCGCCTTCATCTTGCAGGAATTTTTATATCCCCGAATTTTGCAGCCTTTCCAAACCCTCACATTGAAGGACGGACGTGGAAAGAGAAAACATATGTTGTTGGTAGAGATAAGAGTAATTGAATGGGCTATTTGGACGTGGATCAGCTGGGACTTACTGTACCAGTGAATGGAATCTCTTGTTTTTCTTGGATGCCTCATCCAAGGACAGCACAGGAAAGAGTCCTGGGCGCCAGCTGAATAAATGGCTCCTTGAACTAGCCTCGGGCTGCAGGAGAGGGAGGGGGGCTTTGTGGTGGCCTGATGGAGCTGGGCCAGAATGTTGGGTGCTTAGCAGGGCAGGGAGGCATTGGTCCCACTGGTGGGCGGTGCTGTCCCCAGCACCTTGATGCTCTCTGGTCCCAGTCCTGGCTGGGAACTGTGGGGCTTTCTGGCCATCCTGGGTGATGTCAGCTAGAGCCTCAGACCTGCACTCTGTTTTCCAGCCTGCCCGGTGTGAATGCTGCTCCTTGCCCGCTCCATATCCCCTCCCGTGCCCCTCAGTGGCAGATCTATTTTTAGCTGCAGCTTCAAGCCAAGGCTGCAGACACAGCCAGTGGGGATGAGTGGGGTGATGTTCGGGGTTGTCCCTGCCTTCCCCACGTTGACGTGTTGAGCATCTCAGCCTTTCTCAGAGGCGGGAACAGCGATTCTGGATGGGAAGTGGAGGCCCCTTCAGGGAACGCCTGCTGAGCCATGCCTGGCAAGGGGCAACAGTGCTCCTGCTGGGTAGTACTGCACCTCACACCATCTGCGAGTAGAAAGGGCCTCACCCCGCAAGTCCCGGGTCCCGAGCCTGACCTGTTACAGTGCTCAAGGTTCCACGCTCTGGATTTCACCACAGGCCTGGGGCAGCATCCCCAGCAGAGGAAGCAGTGTCCTGCCAGGGGAAAGAGGTGCTCCCCGGCAGCCTGGAGAGCATGTAGGGGCCAGGCGCACCCCTTCTTTGGGCCCTCCGTGCCTCCTCCCTGTGCTGCAGCTGGGCAGCGGGCAGGTCTCTGTCCTTTGGCCCTTTCCGTCTCTGCAAGTCCTGGGCTTCCTGGGGCTCAGGCCTGCTCACTGAGTCCTGGGGAGACAGGGACCGCGCCTGTGGGGTTAGTGCATCAGGCACCATGCTAGGACCCACCTGAGCGAGAGCTGAGAGGGGCTGCAAAGTCCGTAGCCTTCCTGGCTTCTGCCACTTTGCATAAAATGCAGCCAATTCCTGTGGTGTTTTCTCCCGGAGAAGACACGCCAAATGAGCTTTTGTCAGTAGTCTGGGAACTGTCTCCTGAGATGGGAGCAGAGCCTGGCCTCAGAGCCCTCCCCTCTGTGTAGGTGCTGGAGCTTCCTGGCAGAGGAGGGGCTGTGCATCCCTGTGCCTCTGCCACATGCCAGGAGATTTAGAGAGGCTCCCAAGGGCCACCCACCGGATCGAAAGGTGGCGCCACACGGAGCACACATGTCTGTACAATGACCTAGGCTGTGGGAAGGACACGGCACCCAGGGGGAATGCAGTGCCCTGGTGCATGTGGGGCCGGACCAGGGCGCTGTGACCCTGGGGAGCCCCTGGCCTCACCGTGCTTCCCCTCCCTTTCTGTGGCTTACTTAGGACTTGCCCAGGACTTGCTGAGTATGCACAGAGCAGGTGCTTCATGGAGAGTGAGATTAAGACACTTAATGTCCCAGGAAGGAAGAGAGGTCTGGTAGCACACGTAGGTCAGTTTAGGCCTTGGTACTAAGAGGTTTGGGGGAAATCACTCCTTCTCCTTGGGAATCAACAGAGGAAGTGATCCTTACAGGCGTCCCCGCCTCTGGGCCCCTTTGAAGCTGACCTTGAGCCTGATGAGGCAACTTCAAAGACAGCCCCTGACCTTTCCCAGGCAGCTCTTGCTGACATCCTCTCCCCAAGGCCCAAGGCTGGTGCTCCGTCACTGGATGGCTGGGCCAGCCCAACAGCTGGAAGAACACGGCTGAGTAACCTTTGCTCTCTGAGACATCAGTGTTCCCAGAGGACAAGCCCCTTCTCTAGAAACAAGCTCACAAGTCCCCATTGATGGTGGAAAAGGCAGAGACCTGGTGGGGCAGGGCAAACACAGGCAGCAGCCCTTTTGTGAAGCAACACAGGCCAGGAAGAGCTGAGGCCCTGGGGCCAAGTGCCCTGGCGGTGTCTCCCAGCAGAGCCGTTTTTGCTCAGTGACCATGACCTTACAGAACCTGTTTCTGAATCTGTAAAATGGACCAGAGTCCCAATGTGTATGGCTTCAGAGAGATGAAATCAGGTAATGTACACATTGTATCTGCCTAGCAAAGGCACCTGATGGTCTTGCATTCAGACAGGCAAGTAGTGCTTCGCTGATCTGTGTCCAAGGCTCTTTGGAGAATGGAATGATAAAAACACGTGGACACAAAGTTTCATCTTTCCCCTTTCCAGGGAGGTGACCATTTCACCCTTGGTCTACCTGGGAGGCCCCAGGCTCTCGGTGAAGACCCCTGCTTTTGTGGGGGATGGAGTGATGCAGCACTGGATCATGGCAGGCAGGGGAGACAGTGCGTCTTCACGTTTTCCCATGTGGAGACCAAGGCTTGGAGACTCAGGGGGTCTGTTCAAAACCACTCGATTTGTGGGCTCCATAGCACCCCAGAGCACATCCCCTCTCCAGTGGCCTAGAATGGGCAGAAGGAAAAGTGCAGAGCATGTTAAATATAAGTGAACCCCAAGTTTCTTTTCAAAGAATCAATACGTCAGTATGTTCAGCTCTCTTATTCTTTGATTCTCCATTTTAAAGTTTAACTTCCTGGTTCTCTTCGCCCCCTTGCTTCTAGTTTCAGTAAACAACTTTCCCAACAGTCCTAGTCAGTAGTTCACATCTGTTCCCCTGGTCACCCAATCCATCCTGACTCATCCTGGTCACCTGCTCTGACCTAAGTCACCTTTAGTTACCTGTTCCTAAGTGTCCTTCCCACCAGACTACTCACCCCACCACTCTGGCTCATACCCCGGCTCTCTTTAAAGTAGCCAATCGGAATTAGCTTAGACTGTGCAGTCCAACCCTAGCCAATAGGGGAATGACACAGCAGTAGAGGCTACCTGCATCAGGAATAAGAACTCGTTCCCCTCCCCTGTCCAGGTGTGCTCTCACCATTGTTAATCTGCAAGGAGCACCCTTTCTGCAGAAAGTAAAAATTGCCTTGCTGAGAAAATTACATTTATGTTCGAGTGCTATTTCTTTGCGGCAGCAGGGAACAAGCATTTCTAACAAGCACAAACGGAACCCAGTTCTTCCCGCCAGCATATGCCGCCTGACAGAAAATATAGAAGGGCTGCTGTGGGAAAGTGCCAGAAAGCCGGTAGGCGCCAGCCTGTGAGACGCCTGCTCCACCGGCAGCCACAGCTCCCAGGCTCTCCAGGCTGTAGTGTTTGTTGACTGTAGCCTGGTAAGGAGCAGCTATTTCCAGGTGGTGAAGGTGAGGGTGCAGAGCTTACAGCCTGGAGGTGTGCAGGGCTGGGAGGCCCCTCAGCAGGAATCTGCCACTGGGCCCGAGGAACCTGGGAGAGAGGCTGCCCTCCATGTGAGGGCCCACGGACGGCGACAGGCATTGGTCTGTGCTTAGTGAGGGATTTACTCGGTTAGCACTTGTTTGCTGACCATAGACCATGGACCCAGCTCTGGGCCAGGAACTGGGGTGCAGGAGGGATGAGCTGGGGGGAAGTGCTGAAGGAAGTGTGGAAAGAGCCAGGTTTGGGCTTCAGACAGCCTTGAGCTCCAGGCCTGGTTTGTTGGATTACCTGAGCATGCATGAGGACTGTCAGAGCCTCTTTGAGCTGGGGGCCGGGGATCCTGTGACACACAGCAGAGGCCTAGATCCTGGCATTGGGGGTGACTATCCCGGAAACAGCCATTCATTCACCAAATGATCATGCATGTAGCACAGAATTATGATGGCAGCAGAAGGTCTTGCACAGGAGTGGCCAGTGGCTCCCTGAGGTTGTTCCCGACCTCCACCCCTTGGAGCCGTGTAACAGCCCCTTTTGGACTGGGTTCTGAGAGCCTCAGCATGTGTGGGGTCATACCCGGCTGGTCTTCAGTGGGCTAGCTCTACCTTTTGAAGATGATGTGGGCTTTTTTCTAGAGTGCATGTGCTTGGTTAAGGCTCACTGACAGCCATGGGTGGTTTGGGAGGATCATTTATTCAACTGTTTATTCACTCCACAAACATCTGTCCGGCTACTGGATGTGCTGACACTGTGCTGATACTGGAGCTGCAGAGATAAAAGATGACCTGTTCTCACAAAGCTCACATTGCAGTGAGCAAGTGTTTGAACCAAGAGTCGAGGTGTGAGTCATCCCCAAAGCGTATAAAGTTGTACCCATTTTATGACTGTGAGTTCCTTTTTCTGGGAATAGGGTCCATAGTTTTCATCATATTCCCAAGGGGTCTGTGGCCCCAGAGGGGCTGGACTTGTTTTAATTAAAGAATTAGCAGAGCAGGTCCCTTCCCTCTCCTATCGTGGTTCCTTCAGGGTACTGCCTGCTGTCCCCCAACCCAGGTTGCTGGCCACAGAGCTCCCTTGACGATGGCCAGAACATACTGCAGCTCTTCCCAAAGACGTGCCTCTCTTCTTGGCACCCAACATCCTCTGGGTGCCAGGGCCTGGCTGAACTGTTATATGTCCCCAGCTTCTCTCTGGCCGTCTGGCCGCATGGGGCAGATCTGACATCAGGACCCATTCTGTGTGTGTAGGCTGAGTGTCTCCGGTTGGGGAGCAGAGCAGCCACTGGTCATTCTCTTTTTTGGAATGGAGAAAGTGTCATGATGTCATCAGGGAGAAGCATGAATTTTCCTTCTTTCTGAAGCTGTGACATGTTACCATCCAGATGCCTCTGCTATTTCTGGAAGCGTGAACTTTATTATGCAGAAATTCAGCTTTGCTTAGTAAGCAATAGAAGCGCTGCCTTAACTAAATGTCTCTGGGGGTCATTAGGACAGTGAGCGGTAGTGATTGCTGCATCCAAAAATGGAAGCGCAGGCTGGGCTTGGTGATCAGGAAAGGAGCCGGCCTAAAAGCTCCTGGGTGCTGCGAGCCAGGAGTCCAGGAACGGAGAGACCCCTCAGGTCACACGGCCACACAGGGGCACGTGGCATCAGACGCAGGCAGCTCGGTGCACAGCGGTGACTCCTCCTGGACTCTGACTCGGGCCAGAAACCGGGGGGCTGGAGGAGTAACCCTGGAGAAACAAAATCCCTCAGCTTGGCCTCCACGCCACTCCTAGAGCATAGAGGACAGGGAGTGCTGAAAGGGCAGCGTCTGCTGTGGGAAAGGAGGGAGAACCCATGAAGACGTGACATCTCAGAGATATCTGAAACTCGGGGCCCAATTTCACCGTGCAGAAGCAGAGGAGACGGCTTCTAGATGGAGACCGTAGGAGGAGCCAAGACTGAGAGATGGGACTTATGCGAGGCGTGTTTAAAGGGACAGGTTTAGAGCGGGTGGGGAGGGTGTGCAGACTGTGCCCCCCCCGGATTCACAGTCCCGGTCGCAGTGGCTACTTGTCGGCTCTGGCCTCGGCAAAACCGTTGGTGCTGCTTGAAGGCACAGAGCATTATCATTGAGCAGTTAAGTTCCTGCAGGTGCCGGCTGTGTTGCAGGTGTAGACACTCATGGACGAGCAGACTCTTGGGGAGGGGGCCCCTCACCTGTGTCCTGTCCCCTCTAGCACTGATCTCCCACCCACCCAGTCCCCAGATCTACTGGGGCCTTCCTGGCTGTCCCCTATGTATACACACCTGACAGTGGAGTGCAGAGAAGATGTGAGTCAGTTGCAAAGTCAACTAAAAATCTTGGGAAAGATGCATGTTTCTCTAGATTGATAAAAATGGCATGGAAGAGCTGCATGCGGCTGGAGTCCCACCCTGAGCCGTGGAGGAGCCCGGCAGAGGAGCTGGCCTGGGTCTCAGCAGCTGGGCGGAGGCCCCGGGGAGGCACGGCAAGCATCACGCAAAGATGCACAACCCTCCTTATGATCGCGGAAGTCAGGTGCAAAGGAAGCACCCCATGCTGTGCTGTCACACACGTTTGTCAGAAAAGTACAGGAAAAAGCAGCCAAAACTTGACTCTTTCTTTGTTGTTGTTGTTGTTTAAAGAGTTAGTCCTTATGGCAAAGGGAACCTGAATTTTATTATGTATGACCCCTAATAAACTTGTTTTCATAATGTTTTTAGATTTCATTTTTCAAGGCAAAGCCCCAGTCACATCTTATTTGCCATGATGCTTTGGTCCCACTTCTGAGCAGGTTCCTTCGAGTAGCCTTTTTGGAAGCAGTTCTCCCAGATGGTGAAGCCTCCTTTCTCTTCCTTTCTACTGCCAGATGTTTATCCACAGTGGACAACTGGGAAGGCCCTGATGTTGAGCTGATGGCTCGATGGTTGGGAGACAAGTGCTAGAGATGGGGACAACTGCCTCTTCGGTGACCTGTCAATAACAGCTGAAGGCAGCAGGGTCCCTGGCCAGGCCACCTGGGTCCATTGCACCTTTTT
The DNA here is from genome assembly GCF_000001405.40 of Homo sapiens. Classification (NCBI taxonomy): domain Eukaryota; kingdom Metazoa; phylum Chordata; class Mammalia; order Primates; family Hominidae; genus Homo; species Homo sapiens. The sequence goes on along the minus strand of NC_000008.11, from coordinate 139,857,807 downwards.
TGGGGCTAGTTGCTCTCTCCACCTGCTGCTGGCTGTGTGCAGCTGTTGGCAGGCAGCCCAGGGCACCCAGCCTCGTGCTTCCTGGTGAGCAAGTTGCTTTACAAGCAGCGGGCCGCCCAGGCAGGGAGGAGGCAGAGGTGGTCAGACGGCCCCATGCTCAGCTCCTGACTCTCAGAGGGCACCATACGGAGCTCCTGTGGCTGCTCCGGCTGTTGTGAGGCTGCTCTGTGGCCACCATGCCTTCCTCGGCCAGTGGCAGCCGTGAGAGTGAACGGGCCTTGGACTTGGTGTCAGCAGGCCTGGACTGGGGTCCACGTTGCCCCATGTGTTTATTGTGTGACCCTCGGCTTCCCCAGCTGTCAAGTGGAGATAAAATGGGGACTGTCGCCTTGGGTTGCTGTTGGGATGTGGGGAGAATCGCACTCAGATTGTCAGCGAGCACACTGGAAATATTGCTATGCCTCGCCTTGCCTCCATGGGACAGGCCTTCCCCTGCAAATGTTCATTAGCACTCTTTATCCTCAAGATACAAACCAGACTCCTGCGTGTGTCCTGCGATACCAGGCCCATGAGCCGCCGCCAGCCTCTGGCCTCACCTCCTGGCGCTCCACCGCTCCCTCCTCTGCTGTGCTGATCCCTGTGCACTTGCTGGAAACCATGGACTCTCACACTCCCCTGCCTTCACACATGCTTTCCTTCTGCCTGGAGTGCCCTGGGCACCTTTCTGCTCTTTCACCTCTGTCTGAACCAGCTCCCCCCGCCCAGATTCCCAGGGCGTCCCGACTGTCCCGTTGCTCCTTATCACCCTGCTTCCTCTCTCAGACCTCAGTGCTCCCGGGAGCAGAGGTGTGTGCCCGAGTCATCTCTGTGTCCCTGTGCTCAGCAGCGTCAGGTTCACAGCAGCAGCTTAGAGAATACTTGAATGAAACATGACAGACAACATTAGAATGAATGGGTGGGTAGATGAATGTTTGAATGAATGAGCACGTTCTCCTTCCACCTCACTGGTTTTGCCTGTACTTTTCCTCCATCCCCTCCCCTTCCTTCAACACTTGGGTTTTTTTTTTTTTTTTGCAGGTGCTGGTTTTTGACATGGGAGGAAATTAACAGTGAAAGCAAGCCTGTCCTATTTACAAAGGGAGTTAGTGCTCACAGTGCAGCTAATGCCGTTGCTCTTGAGAACATTCACAAATCCATTTTGCACGCCACCCCCCGCCGCTGTCCAGCTGCTTTGCTGTTGACCTGTGTTACCCATGAGCTCAGGGGAAGCTGAGAGGACATTGTCCCACACCTCTCTCCTGCTAGACTCAGGCTGCAGCGGGGAGCTGGTGGGTTCGCTTCCCAAGGCCAAGTCTCCTGGCCTCCCGGTCCCAGAGGGGGAGGGCAGTAGAGGAAGGGGAGCCGCCGCAGGGCTGTCTGAGGTCTTGCTTTCTGGGGAGCAGAGATGGCTTCAGGAAAAAATCCCCGGAGAGGGTTGGCCTTGACCCTGAGGTGGTTGCAGGGAGAGGTGGCCAAAGGCTGGAAGAGGTATGCTGAAATTCAGTCCCCAACCTGCAGCCCCTCCAGTGCCTGTGTGCCCCTCCACCCCCACTCCACAGGCCTCTCCTCCAAATCCCCACATCTGAGGGGCCCTGGCTGAGAGCACGGCACAGAGGGAAAGAAACTCAGTGCACTGGCTCAGTCTGTGCTCCGTGTCCCTGGCTGTGTGCGTTGCCTCGGTCACCCTCCCACACAGCCTGTGAAGCTGGAGAGCATCATTTTTATTTTAATGATGAAGGCCCTGGGACTCGGAGTTGGGGAACTTGCTCAAGGTCAGACTAGATAGAGAAGATCAAGAATTTGAACCCAATTCTATCTGTCTCAACATGCAAATGCTTTTTACCAGGCCTCACTGCCCCCTAGTTCTGTGGGGGACCCAGGTTTCCTGTTACTGATGAAATAAGAGGCATATGGCTTGGCCCGTGCCTCAAGCAATTGCCAGTCTTATGAGCTTTATAAACCACGCATCAAGTGGCCTCTTCACAAGGGCGGCCCTGAGGTGCTGGGGTCGAGCGGGCTTGCGGCAGAAGACAGGACATGCCCCACATGCCGCTCCTGGACATCCTCCCACCTTGGTAGGGCTTTTCATTAGAGGTTCCCAGAGAGAGGCGCCAGGGCCTGGGCTGACCGCATAAGACTCCCCTGAAGAGCGTAAACAGGGGACTTCCCACTCCCTCACCTTCCAGGGAATCTTATCTAGAAGGTCAGGAGCGGAGCCGAGATGACGCGTCGTGTAAGCACTTGCACAGCTGTGGTGAGCTGCCTGGGAATTTCTTTTTATCCTCTCGGGTCTCCACGTGGACCTGCCATGTTGATGATGCCGTTGTCATTTGAAGGTATTGAATCTGAAGTTCAGAGAAGGAAGTGACATGGCAAGGTACCCCTGCCTGCTAGGGCCTGGAGCTGAGCGCCAGGCACTGCACTGACCCTAGGGCTGCGTGGGAGCAGCGTGGGATTCTAAACAGGAGGTCTGGAAAGCCCAGGCCTGCTCACCTGATTACCGAGGAAAACAAATATTTAGCTGCTGCCTCTTCACTTCCCATACCTATTTTGGTTTGATAGTCTAGATGCAGAATCTTTGGGCCTATTTTATTTACTTGTCTTTTGATCTGCAGCCCAGCTCTGGGTTACAAGGAGACCAGGTAGGCCCGATTGGCTTCCAGGGATGTTTGTGGAGGAGGCAGCGTCTCCCGCCTCTCAGAGACATGAACAAATAATGGTTTAATCATTGACGCATCTGCCTCAGGAGACCGTGCCAGCTTTGAATGAAGACGATTGATAGGAAGGGAAGGAGCCAGCCCATGCCAAGGCTCGGTACCCCATCAGCCCTCGCTTCAAGCCAGGAAGGGGGTAGCCAGGTTGGGTGATTTTAGGGGGCATGAGCAGGCCAGTGTGCTTCCCAGGCAGGTCGTAGGGAAACCAGCGCTGGCCTCAGTGCCTGTTTGGCACCCTCTTTCCTGAGCTTATTTGAGAACCTGCCACTGCCAAGTCCTCAGATGCTGCTGAGGGTAGCTGCAAGCAAGGCTTCTGTGAGATTTGACCAGGAAAGAGAAAGCAGAGAGGAGAGGATGAGAGCAGCACCTACTAGGATTTTACGTGTGCAGGCGTGATGCCGAGTGTAGCTACGGCCCCTGCTACTCTTACCATCTCACCGAGGCTCAGAGAGGTTAAGCTCCTTCCGTGGAGCCACATAGCTGGAAGTGGAGGAACCAGGGTTTGAATCTGGGTGGCTGATGGGCTGCCCTTACTGAAGGCGTTCTGTGTGCTGGGTCCTGTGCTGGGTGCTCCAGGTGTCACCTCCCTGACCCCAGGGCACAGACACGGACACCAAGGGCCTGGCCAGTGCCCAGCTTCCGTGGCTGGCAAGTGGCAGAGTGAGGCCTGCCCCAGCGTGGGCTCCTGCCTCTTTCCTGTACTAAAAGCGTCATTCATGGCAGCGTCTGTGAGCTGAGGCTCCAGGGAACCAGCCACCCCTATCGATTCTGACTCAAAGAAAGTGAGATGACTTCAGTTCTGATGTTCCAGAGTCATGTAGGGGGTGGAAAACATTCCAGAGTGTGGAAGAACTCGACCTCCTGAGGTTTCTGAACCCAGAAAGCCTCGCAAATCCCTCCCAGGGTCCGATAATCAGATAGAGAGTGATGAGTTTTCTCCTGTAGAATGTTGAAGGCAAAAACGTGGTCAGATGTGTTAATTTTCCTGGTTTTATTGTTTTGTTTGGATGACCCTTTCAGTGAGACCATTTGCCCTGAGGATTAAAACAAAATTAAACCATAAAATTAAATAATATTTTGGTATAATATAGTATTATATACGTATGGTATACACATGTATGTGATAACTACACATATGTAGGTAGTATAAAATATTAACATATTTATTTGCAAATAATTAGAAAACCCAAAACTAAAATAAGAGCCCTTCGCTTCCTTTGTAAAGATACCCTACCTTGGCTCTCAGGCCCTTGTCCATTGAGAGGCCTCTGTCCCGGCTCTACCCTGGGTGCTCAGAGTGAGCACATGTTGCTCTCAGCAGTCCACTGCCCCCAGCCTGCCCCTGGCCCAGCCCCTTCCTGGGTCCAGCCATCATTGGCCCAGGAGGAACTGATGCAAAGGCCTCCTGTTTTTTTTAGAGCTTAGGCCTGAATCCCCACCCTGCAGGAGGTGGTGGCTGAAGCCCTGTTTGTTCATTCATTAGTCCTTGCATTTATTATTTCCTTCCTTTGTTCATTCGGTCAGCAAGCATTTCTTGAACACCTGACTTGTGCTAGGTGCAGGTGATTCAGGATGAACAGAGTTCTGTCCCTTTCTTCCCAGTCCCTTCCACCTGTGGGGCAGAGTCTCTTTGGTGAATAAGATGGGGGAGTCATAGGTACCATGGGCGCGGGGATACAGTTTCTGGCTCTTTCCTAAAAAGGAGAAGAGATTTGGAAAATGCCTCTGATCGCTTGGCCTCCCCTCCTCCTTTTCTCATGAGGACCCACACTGCAAATGGGAAACTGGTTGTCGTGTCTCCCGAAGGGCAAGCATCCTGCACATTGCTCCTGCCACCGCCATGTGCTACAGGAGCCGAGCTTGGGAAGGCTGGCCAGAACCATCTGGAACAGGGAAGGCCTGGGGGCCAGAGGCCTTTACAGAATTCAGCATGGAGCGTCCCCATGCTGACAAGACAGGAGTGGTTTAATGCCAGGTGTTGGCGTCACCACGGAACACTTCTTGGGAAGCCTAGACTCACGGGAAAGAAGATACAAAGAACCTTTGCGAATGACGAACAGCAGCGTATGGCTTGGTCAGCGGCTGACCCAGATGATCAGACAGGGGGCAGGCCAGAACTCAAGATGCCAGTTTGCTCTGCCTACCTCCAAGAGACTATGTTTGCAGTTTCCTCTCCCCAGGGGCTGCCCATATTTTGAAAGATGATATCCCATCCTCTTGAATAAAGGATCATGAACTTACCTTTTCATGTCATCAATCAGAAACACACATCTGCCAACCAGAGCTCCCAGCCAGCCCAAGGTAGCTGGTGTAACCTCATAGAACAGAGACCATGCCAGCCCAGAGGGAGAAAATGGAATATTTTCTTTGGTTTGTGCTGCCCGATGGAAGATAAACACATGATTTCCAACTGATTGTCTGAAATATTGAGAATCATTACCATTAACACCATTAGTGCCTTTGGGAGCCCAGGTAGAAATCATCAGTCTGACTGTTCTCTGTCATTTTATACATTTGGAAACTGCCCACAAGAAGGAAGTTCATCAGTGGCAGAACCAGGACCAGGGAGGAGAACAGATATTGTCAGAGCACGCACTGTGTATCTGGCACTCGGTGAGGAGCCTCCTGTCCAGTGGGGAAGGCGGGCATCAACCCATGAATTCATGATCCGGTACCAGAAATAACATGGGCGCACACTAGTGTTCTGGAGTGTGAAGGAGGGAGAGGTTAGATCTCAGAGACTGTATTAGTCCATTTTCATGCTGCTGATAAAGACATACCTGAGACTGGGCATGTCTTTAAAAAGAAAGAGGTTTAATTGGACTCACAGTTCCACGTGGTTGGGGAGGCCTCACAATTGTGGTGGAAGGCAAGGAGGAGCAAGTCTCATCATCTGTGGAAGGCAGCAGGCAAAGAAAGAGCTTATGTAGGAAAGCTCCTTATAATCATCAGATCTCATGAGACGTACTCACTATCACGAGAACAGCGCAGGAAAGACCTGCCCCCATGATTCAATTACCTCCCACGGGGACTCTCCCACAGCACATGGGAATTCAAGATGAGATTTGGGTGGGGACACAGCCAAACCATATCAGAGACGTCCTTCATTCCCCTGGCAGACCCTCCAGGAGCATCTGTGGGATGCACAGCCAGTCCGTTCACCAAATCCAGTGTCCTTCTCCACCTGCCCCTCACAGAGCCCACCCAGATCCTTCGGGGAGACTGTGCGTGACTGAATGACTTTGGAGATCTCCTGCTGGTGCCAGCTCAGGCTTCTCTATAATGTTAACAGCAAGTACTGTATGCAGCCATGCATATGTTCCAAAGATCATCAAATGTAAACATTTGCCGTGAGTCCGCGGGACCTTTCCCCTTCCCGACTCATTTCCCTTTTGAACGTTGGGTTCGGTTTTCCGGCACTCTCCAGGATTCCCAGGCTGTGTTCTCGTGTTAGTGCTATCCCACTTGCTCTGCTTCCTCTGGAGACCAGAGTTCAGGGACCTGCTCTGATGGATGATTTGACCGTTCATCCCCGTTTGAAATAGGTACCAGGTGGAAAGCAGGCCCGGTCCCATGCCTTCCGGGATGCACCACCGTCTAACCACCATCCTGTTGTCACTCGCATACAGCTCCCGGAGTCAAGATGGAGGAGCAGTTGGTGACATCTGTGGTCAGCATCTATCTTTTGAGTTGCTGTGGGTCTGAGCTCCTGAATTCCAGTTGAAAGTAGCATGGTGACACGGGGAGAGTGTGTGTTCTGGAAGGACATTGACTTAGGTTTGAATCCGGTCAAGTTCAAGAAAGTATGCTGTTCCCTGACCCTGATATACTGCTCTCCTCGGCTCCCATTGTACGTTGTTCATACCTCTCTGCAGTGGTTCATATCGCTGTCTGATCACATTGTTATACAGAAGTTCCTCTATTCACTGACAGGTTAGGCTCTGACAGTAACAGTGTGTAAGGAACCCATGACATCATCTGCTGCTTGGGAGCTGAGCTGATGTGCATTTTCTCCATTACTGATGCTTGTGAAAGTTCCTAAGGTGAAAATCTGTGGATGGAGAGCTTCTGCAGTTTTCTTTTTACACGATGATCTCTTTTAGACAGAGTTCTTTTGAGCATGGAGGATATCTTACTCATCTTGATCCTGCCATATCAGGAATGCTTCTTGGTGTGTGGTAGGACTTCATTAAGTGATTTTTGGGAAGGTGGATGGGGGCTGAGTATATGGGAAGATGAGTTGATAGCTAGATGGGTCAATGGTCAGATGGGTCAGTGTATAATTGGGTGAAGGGATGAAGACTGGATTAGTAGACAATTGGATGGTGAAAGGATAAATGGGTGGACCACTGATGAGTGGGTAGATGGCCATATGCATTTGTAGATGGATGGATGAATGACTTGATTGTTCAACTCATTGACACAGAAAAAAGTTTTCCTTCTGTGACTTATATCCCTACAAATGGCTAATTATATGGCCCAGTGGTTTTCAGATGCATTGGCATGTATATTAGCATTTTGCTCTTCCTTTAACAATTATGATGACTTCTGATTACAGTGTTGTCACAGGTAGCTCAGTTTCTCCCCAGGACAAGGCAATGCTGGGATTGCAATGGCAAGAGAGCCACCAAGAGCTCCTGCCCCATGAGGGGCACTGGTGCTTTGGGCTATCTGGAAAGAACACTGAACTCTGCGAGTCAGGAGCCCTGGGTTCTAGTGTTGGCTCTGCCCCTGCTTATCATGAGAACCAGCCATCTGCAGGGTAAGCATTAATTGATGTCATGCACATAAAATAATTACCACTGTGATCAGCCCATGGTAGACATTCAAAAATTCTAGTTACTACTTCATTCTTCTGAGCCTCTTCTCAGTCCCTCATACCCATTTGTCATATGTATGAGGTGAGAAAACAGATATCAGAGCAATTTCATAATGGTCTAGTCCCCAGGGGAGCACTGAGAAGGGGCTCAGAGTTCTAAGCAATTGGACAGAGATGCAGGGTTGGGCTCAAGTGTTCCTGGGAGCTGATGCGGGAACCGAGAAGCAGAGCAGAGAGCCCCTGGGAGGTCTGGTCACTGGTGGACAAGGAGGATAAGAGCTTTCAGGCCCTCAGACCATTCCAGGCCCTCTCCTGGACAGGAGCCACCTCAGGGCCTCCTTCAGGTCGGAAACACTGGTTCTGAGCCAGGGCGAAGTGAGGTATGCTGGCAGAGCTGGCTCTCTGGGCAGACAGACTCCACTGTGAAGAAGTGGCTTCACCTCCTGACCATCTCATCCTCTGTAAAATGAGGACATTAATATCTTAGAACTCAAGAATTCAGTGAGGCAGAGGGCAGAGAGCACTGAGCACACTTCCTAGTGTGGACACGCTCAGAAAACGTTCACACTCATGATGGTGTTACCACAACAGTGTCCACACACCATATGGCGCATTATTGAATATTACACGAAGTACTCTGATCTATAACCTGGAACATGTGATCTGTTTAATATTGTAATGTAATACATTTACATTATAAAAGTATAGTTATTCCATAATTTCCTTAAGACATTCTTGTGGCTAGAATAAGGTACATAATGAAAATGCAGAACCAGAAGGAGAGGAGAGGGAGCAGCTACACCTGTTCTGGTTTCTGTTCTGGTATCTGGCACACAGCGGACTTTCCCAGAGTCATGGCCTTGGCCGCTGCTGGCCCCTGAGTAGAACACAGGGACAGCCCCAGTGGCAAATGATTGGAGATGCTTGGTGTCAACAGGGAACCTCTCCTGGTGTCAAGAGAGCAGTGTCTTAATGGCCCAACCCACATCACCCACCTCCCATTTGCTCTGTTTCTGGCTGTGGCCCTCTAAGTGGGCTTTTGGAGTTCTCGGGAGATCTTTTCTCCAGGTATCCTAGACGAAGGCTCAATGCAATTTGGGAATGGCTTTGCCTGAGAAATGGCTGGTGATTTGTCATCCAGAGTCCAAGGGGACACTGAGCACTCTCGTTTGACTTGGGGGCCAGTTGGCACCTTGAGTAACTCTCAGGCAGAATCAGGGGGCCGGGAAGTCACCCACATTGAGTGTTCTGAATTGACCAGGCAAAAGCTTTTCAAGATGATTCCATCCAACTTTGGATGTCTGCAAAACACTGCATTCTGAGCAAATCTGTCTCTAGCCTCATATGGCACGGTCAGGCTAGACAGCACACCTGCTGAGGGGCTTCAGTATGTGAAGCAGCAGCATCTAGAGTTGGCGAAGCAAACGCTGAGCCAAGGGAAGGCTGCCTACGGGGAAGAGAAAGACAACAAGGGCTTGTTGGGAACATGGGCACACACCACTCCTGAGTCTTTCTTTTTAAACACTGTAATTCATCTAAGTATATAGGCTTCTATTTCGGGAGCTGGGAGATATATATACCCACACATGCATATTTATATGGGGAGAGCTGTATCTATACATTTGTATGTCTATATATAGAAGGTGATCCAACTTGAGCTATATGCACACACATAGATTTTGGATATATATATGTGTGTGTGTGTGTATATATATATATATCTCACATATATGTTTATTCCATATCTCATGTCCTGGTTTCCTAATAAACACTGGAAGTTTTCCTCTCTGGGTTGTGTATTGCAGGCAATCAATCTATCACCGTGTGATATGCCACTCTAGACTGGATATCTGTGTGCATGTGTGCATGTCTCTCATGCATGTGTGTATTTCGTCTATTTTCTGTCATCTTTAGAGGCAACATGGGCTTCAGTTAATAGTATTTTATCTGCAGTGTTTGCAGGGAAGCTTGCAGAGGAGTGAGCAAAGTGCCCCTCGCGTGTGATGCACACTTGGTGCTCAGGAGGCGGCGGCTGGCTGGACAGGGGACATTTGTCTTCAGTCATGCAGTCCTGTCTAGACCTAGGCTGTCATCTGCCTGTCCCTCCATACCTGCTTCCCTTCTCCCTACAATGCTTATGGAAAAAGCCCTTTAGATGGTGTGATTTGTCCAAGGAAAGAGGCTATGGAGCTCCTGGGACAGGCCCTGCGTGAGGGGCTAGGGGCCTTGTTCCAGTTCCGGCAGACCAAGTCCAGGCCCCACGTGCCCCAGGGCTGCTGCTGACACAGGGCACAGGCAGAGGCGGCAGGGAGCGGAGGCTTTGGTGGTGGTGAGCTTTTTGCCTTGGAGGGTCTTTAAGCTTCTGTTGCCTTCACCAGCTGTCAGGGAGGCAGGTGCTCACACCCATCCCCAGGCCGGGCCGTCAGGAAGGCAGGTGCTTGTGCCCATCCGCAGGCTGGGCCGCCGGAGAGGCAGGTGCTCGTGCCCATCTGCAGGCTGGGCCACCAGGGGGGCAGGTGCTCATGCCCATCCACAGGCCGGGCCGTCGGGAAGGCAGGTGCTCATGCCCATCCCCAGGCCAGGCCATCGGGAAGGCAGGTGCTCGTGCCCATCCGCAGGCTGGGTCGCCTGGGAGGCAGGTGCTCGTGCCCATCTGCAGGCCACGCCGCCAGGGGACAGGTGCTCGTGCCCATCCCCAGGCCGGGCCTCCAGGGAGGCAGGTGCTCGTGCCCATCCCCAGACCCGGCCGAGGCGGGACTGTTGCAGGGTTTCCTCATTGGTCTGCAAGTGTGGTGTGCATTTGGGTGAGGAGTGGGATGAACTGGCTCCGGAACCCCCTGTGCTTGCACGTGTCTTTCCTTCTGACTGAATTAATTGCATTGATTCCATCCCTCAGCCAGGATGGAAATTGGTTCCATTTGTTTTTCACCTCACAGTTCCGGGGGTGTGTGGATGGAAGAGTGTTTCCCCCGCTCAGAAAACCTCTATTGGTTTTGCTGTCTCCCATCAGCCAGCATTCAGCTCTGCTGGCAAAAGCCCTTAGTTTTAGAAGGCTGCTGCATTTGCTCCCCAGGAACCCTCTGATCTGCTTCTTATGGTCTTGCGCCTTCTTCCTTCCCTGTTGTCAGAGCTTTGTCCTGCTGCGCACCCACAGTTGCTGCATCTGGGGACCCTGCAGGGCAGGGATGGCTGCAAGCCCAGATCTCGGCACACAGTCATCTCTTAATAAGTCATCACTGAATGCATGATTGAAGGAATGAATAGTGTGATTGACTGGACCAGATAGCTTCAAGAGCTTGTTAATGGATTTAGATAATCAATTTGCATGATCAAAAAAATGGATTGATTTGCTGTGGTCTTGAATGCACAGCCTGCCTGTACAGTTAGCCTACTACCTGCGCCTGCTCACCCTGGGCCTCCTCCACAGACAGCATGGTGGGTGGCCTGCTGGGCACAGCCCCAGCACAGCAGGGACTGGATGAGGGAGGATGGGAATGGGCCTCCTCCATGCCCAACTCCGGGATGGCCTCGCGTCTGTCAGAGTTTTGAATGTATCAGTCAGCTTCCAATGCGGCTAGCATCGTGTTTGCTGATGCTGATTGACTAGAGCTCAGCAAAAGAGTTGCCTTTTCTTTCAGAGACCATTAAAATTATATGTGTGTGGGGGTGAATTTCTTTAGGAGTTGTTTGTAAATATCCATCTTCATTTTTCTTCTTATTCCTGAGATAATGTATTCACTGCCTCCCCTTGATTTAGGATAATTCACCTCGTCCTGCCAGAGGCAGTCAGTTCGGAGAGATGAGTCTGCGTTTCACAGGCTGGTGCCAACTGGTGGGGCCTGGTCGTGGGCCATGGATAGGAAAACAGCAGCCAAGCCAGACAAGTGTTATCCTGATCCCCACCCTCCCGCAGTGCTGCCTGCTGCGGGGGGTGGGGGGTGGAACTAAGAGCTCAGTTCAATCTGGGATTGATGATTGATCATCGGGTTCAGTGGGGAGCCATGAGCGCAGGCCGGCATCTGTTCTTGCTGGGACTGTTCACACAGCCTCTACCGCTTCCGGCACCAAGCCGAGCTGTCTGACCATGCCTCCTCTCCCTGCAGCCTGTAGCGGTGTTTCTTCACAGAATGAAGTTCAAGGCCCATCGTGGCCAGGCCGGCCCCCTTGGCCTTGGCCTCAGCTTGCGGCACCCACCTCTTCCTCCATGTTTCCCTTTGGAGCTTCCCAGTCCCCACATCCTCTGAAGCCTTCCCTGGTGCTCTGGTCCTTCCTGCTCCCTCTTCAGAGTGTCTCCTCCACCGCTCTGACCCATGGGCTGGCTTTCCGGTCTCATCTGCCAGCCTGGAAACCCTTTGACAACAAGGATCCTGCCTGGCCCCAAAGGCCACAGCTTGTCTGTTAGGGTCTACTTGGCTGCAAGTAGCAGAAACCCCCGAGTAATAGTGGCTTCAGTAAAGCTCACAGGTCTCCGTCACATTAAAATCGAGAGGCAGACAGGCCAAAGCTGATGTGACCTACCAGTGCCAGGCACCTGCACTGTACCTCTGCCGTTGCCCTGGGGCACAGCCTGGAGTCAGGACAGCTGCTCCCACACTGCGGGGAGCATGGAGGAAAGGAGGAAGGCACTCCCTCCCCGGTGTAAGGAGACCTCCTGGAATTTGCACAAACCCTCTCCCTTCATCCCTTGGCCAGACTTAGTCATAGTGCCATACCCAATTGCAAGGGAAGCCTGGAAGTACGGGCTCCATTAATATGCCCAGCTAAATATTGGGGTTCCATTCTTTTGGAGGGAGAAAGTGGATATTAGGAAGCTATTAGCCATCTGGCACTCCAGTGCGTTTTAATGTCGTACGCTTTTATGGAACCCGTATATGTTTATAAAGGCCTGGGCCAGGAATGCAGTGGAGCACAGGCGAGAGTTTGTGCCTCTATTGACTGCCAGCCTGGGCCACCACTGTACCCCATGCAGCTCCTTTCCCCCTCCCCATACCCTACAATGCTTGGTGGCATTAGCCTCATTCCTGAGACCCAGAAAAAGTAATTTTTCCAAGTCATACAACCATATAACCAGTAAATGGTAAACCAAGGGTCAAACCTAGTATCTCCTTAAAGGCGACATCATCCTTAGCTACCTCAAATTGGAGAAACTCAGCTCCGTGTTGCTTGAGTGCTGGGACACACAAGAAACCACGATGAATCCGGGCAGGGCTGGAGAGGGGGCGGATGGGAAGGTGTGGAGGATGTGGTACTGATGGCCCAGTGGGACACCAAGCTGCTGACACGGGATGTGCCAGGCCTGGGGACGGGGTGATGAACTGGGAGCATGGGGGTGGCTGAGGCCTTCAGGCCAAGCCTGGCCAGCAGGTTGCCGCAGCCAGCTGGGGGCCCCGGGCAAAGGCATCGCATTTGTAAGCAACTTGGACCTTCTGAGAAAGCAGGAGAAAGGCCTTGCTTAGCTGGTGAATGAGGTGGCCCTTCCTTCCACAAAATGAAAAACAATTCTATTTTCCCCAGACTGTCCCAAAGCTTATTCCAGTCCCCACTCCCACCAGCAGTCCATGCCAGCAGAGCTCCTCCCCGCTCTCCTGCTCTTACCTGCCTCTCTTCCACCTTTTCTCTTCCTTAATTTAAGGTGTAAAATTTAGAGTCTGTGGTTTGTGTCCAGACAGGACCAGCCCAGCCATAGAGCAGTCCTCACCCACTGCCCGCCCTGCACAGGGCTGTGCATACTCTCCTTTCTGGAAAATTAACGGCCCCTCCGTTGTTCACAGAAAGAGCAGGGAAGGAACGTCTTGACGAAATAGAAAAGCCTCATCCTTCTCTCTCATCCTGTGACATGTTTAGAGCCCAATTATTTCATGTGGGGAGGACAAAGCAGGGGGCCACCCTGGTTTGACCCCCTTCTCCTGCCAGGCACTCTGCCAAGAAATGGACATGACCTTCACAACAGCCGGGTGTGGTCTCAGGTTGCCCTGTTTCACATAGGAAGGTGAAGCTGGGGAGGCGCTGTACCAGCAGGGCAGGGACAGAGTTGGGAGTCTACAGCTGTCCTTGAATTTGTCCTCCTAGCGATGAGGAGGTTTCCTTGATGAAAGCCACTCTATGACTCTGGCGGGTGAGCATAGTCACCTGCTCGCCTGCAGATGGGTCTCTGGGAAGCCGCTGAAGCCTGGAGAAGTCCACAGCCCATGCCTTCTGGAGACCCAGAGCTGAGTGGGGAGGACAGGACGAGATATGCCACACTCAGGTTGCCAAGGAATAGCTAGAGAGCACTGTATGGGGAGTGAGGGCCCAGCGCTGGAGTCCGCAGCTCATCAGCTGCAGCAGTGGCTGGAGGCTGCTCTGGTGAATCAGCGTGCACATGGTGGCTTAAAGCAACACAGATTTATTCTCATGCAGTGCCAGAGGGCAGAGTCAGAAGTGGGGCTCCTGGGCTAAAATTGAGGTGTCACGGGGCTCATTCCTTCTGGAGGCCCTTGAGGAGGATCCATTCCTTGCCTTTTCTGGTTTCCAGAGGCCACCTGCTCTCCTTGGCTCCCGGCCCCTTCCACCAAAGCCAGCAGTGGCTGGTCCAGCCTTTCTCTTGATGCCCCCTCCCTGGTTCTGACGTTTCTACCTCTCTCTTTCACTTTTAAGGACCCTGGTGATTACGTGGGGCTCACCTGGATAATTCAGGATGAGCTTCCTGTCTCCAAGTGAGCTTAATTCCCCTTTGGCCGTGGAAGAACACCAGTCCACCGGTTCCGTGGGTCAGGATCTTTGGGAGGGATCGTTCTGCCTATCACACCTGCTATGAATGACAGAAATTCAGAGGAGTCCAAGTTCACTTGATGCACAAGTGGGCATTTCAAGGCTTCTCCCTTGTGGTTCTGCAGGCACCTGGAAGTCCCAGAGAGCAGTGAGCCAGTGACCAGCCCCGGGGCCGAGTCTCAGCCCTGCCGCCCTCCTGCTGGCTCTGGGAATTCACTTTTCTGAGCCTCAGTTTATCTGTGCATAAAACGAGGCCAGTGGTCTCTGCCTTGTTTACCTCACATGACTGTTTATTCAGCAGATGCCCAAATGCCTACAGCATGCCACGTGTTCTTCCACTTAGCCCTATGTGTCGAGTGCCCACCATATGCCAGGCATGGTATTGCACATAAGGTATAAACCAACAAACAAGACAGCCCAGTCCCCGCCCTTCAGCTGCCTCTATCTGGACCACCAGGCCTGGGGCTGGGCAGTGGCTGGGGCAGGCCAGGTTGGCTGGAAGCATCTGGCAAGGTATGCCCAGCCTGCCACGTACTGTTCCTTCACCTGCCCGGACCTCAGCTTCCTCATCTGTGCGATGAAAATCTGCTTAAGATTAGAGGGGTGACATGAAATGAAACCCGGTTGTAGGACCTGGCAGTGCAGCTGCTACATTAGTGACTGTAAGTGCAGAACTCGGAGGACCCACCAGCTGACCAGGATGCCCTCCCAGAAGCACAATGGCCAGCACCCTGAGCCCGTCTATGGGCAGGACAGCAAACAGCAGGACAGGGCGGTGGAGGGACACTTCTCTGTGCCACAGGCCCGCCCCCTCCCCACCCCCTGCCAGCCCCTCCTCCATGGGAGTCCAGCCTTCTCAGGCGGGGGCCATGCTGTGATCATGGCCCCGGGCACGAAGGCGAGAGCGGATGTTGATTCAATTTACAAATGTGATGAATCGCCTGCCGACTGTGTTTATTTGTCAGGGCTGCTGTGAAGCTGGTGTCAGTGGGGGATGTCTGTGCGATCGAAGCCAGTATCTGCTTTGACAAGAGTTAGAAGTAGGGTTTGTTTTTTCCCTTAGAAACTCTTGCTGTTCACTTTGAATGTGGAGTGCGGAGGCCTGGCTGGAAGCCTTCTCCTCAGGACAAAGAGCTGGACAGCAGTGGAAATTCTAGAGCAAGTTTCCACAGGTGGGAAGCTCTGGGCCTAGACTGTTTAAAAAGCAGGTGGAGGAGGAGAAAAATCCCCAAGGCCAGCAGCAGCAACATTTCAAGAGGCAGTGAAATTAACTCTCCCTGCAGCTGTCAAAAGAGAGGCTGCAAATTGGCCAGGTTGATGCCAGGACAGTGTTTTAAAAGCACAGCTCTGACCAGTGGCCAAAAGTCCAGTGCAGAGTTCCTAGTTTCTAATGCAAGGGCCTCATGGACCGGCCTCTGCTGAGTTCTCTTTCCTCATTTCAAAGCCCCTTTCAGCTGGACTCACACTGCTGTGTTTTCCAAAGCGGTCTGGGCTCTCCCATGTCCCCGGTCTTCACTTGCTCAGTCCTCTCCACCCCAGGTCCCCAGCTTCCCTCCTGCCCTGTCTAGTAAACCTGGACATTGTCCTGTGGCTTGTCTTTCAGAAGTTCCCTGTGTTGTGCAGGCAGCTGGGGCTGCTCCCCAGTGGGTGGTGGCTTCGTCCTGGAACTCTGTCACTTGGCCTTGGGGTGCTTTAGGGGGCTGGGTCCCCCACCAGCCAGTGAGCTCCTCGTGAGTGGGCAGGGCCCAGCATGGGGGTGCCTCCCATCGGCTCCCTACTGTGAGCACTGTGGGTTCTGCGAATTCTGCCTGCACCAGGAGCTCCTGCATCCATGAGGTGCCTGTGACCACACCAGGGACAGAGGAGGCTGTCAGCAGCACCACCCTCCCTACCTGGCCAGCCTTGCCCTGGGATGGATTGGCCAGAGCCTGCACTCGGCAGGTGTGTTGACCATGAGCACAGTCATTTCCGTGCTGCCTGACTTCAGGGGTCAGCTGCTTCTGCCAGACAAGCAGGCACGCTGGGGGAGACAGGGAAGAAACAGCGCAGCAGTGAGGCCCGCCGGCCCCCACCAGCAGGCTCCTGTGCCCCCATGTGCTAGGCAGAGCAAGCAAGAGCCCCCAAGATGTCCACAACCCAACCCCAGAACCTGCAAATATGGTACCTTACATGGCAAAAGGCAATTAGGGTTGCAGGTGCAGGTAGTTACTAAGCAGCTGACCTTCAAGCCCAGGGTAATCACGAAGGTCCTTTCAGAGGAGAAGAGGGAGGCAGAAGAGGAGGGCGGAGTGATGCGATGTGAGAAGGACCACAAGAAGGAGCCGGGGGCGAGGGGATGTGGGAAATCCCTCAGCAGGAAAAGGCAAGCGAGGGGTAGATGTTTCCCTGGAGCTTCCAGGAGGAATGCGGTCCTGCCAGCATCCTGATTTTAACCAGGCGAGGCCGCTTTCATACTTCTAGCTCTAGAATTTCAAGACAGTGAATTTGTCTTGCTTCAAACCACAGCAATAGGAAACTAACATATCCCTTTGTACCTCCCAGACCCGAGGCATCAGATCCTACCCTTCCAAGCACCCTAGAAGGGCTGGCTACAGGAATGTCAGAGTGAGGCAGCCATAGAAAGTAGCAGAAAACTCTGTTCATGGGCACAAGGGAAGGACAAGCCTACCAGAGGCAGCCAGGCCTTGGTGAGCGACCCTGGGCTGTGGGCGGGGCAGGCTGGATGTGCCTGTTGATTGACACATCCGAGAATGGGCAAGGCCAGTAAAGACTGTGAGAGTGTGGACTGTGCCACTGCATTGCTGAGAAACCTCCCACGCGTGGAAACCGCCACCCTCCTGGCCCGACTGTCCAGTGCAGAATCCCCGTTGGTGTGTTGAAGGCCCACTAGGGTTTAGGGTCAGGCTGCGTTTCTGGTCTGTTCTCCAGGAACACGCTACCCTCGCCGACCTCCAATTTGAGTCGTGCAGTTTCCTCATCAACGTCCACCGCTGCTAAGTTAGTTCCTTTGCCTCCTTCCAGGCCCCGTTCACATGGTGCCTTTGCCATGAAGATTTAAGCATTTGAGTCTCAATGGAATCAACTCACATTCCCCGAATCCAGGATCACTCCTGATCCATAGGAGATTAGAATCAATTCTACTGGAACCAGTGAAAAATGAATGAGTGAGGGGACATGAAAGCGGCAGAAGTTTCCCCGCTCCTCAGCTGTTCCTCAGCATCTGAGAGGAGTGGCCATTGCAAGCCACCTCCCTGCAGGGGAGGCCAGGGCCGCCGCAGCCACAGTGTCACAGCAGAGCCCTCTCTGAGGAGAGGCGTGGCAGTAATAAGGTCTGCTTTGTGTGGTTCACATCTCCTGGGCCTGCTCTGCCAGGCCGTGGGATGGACTGCACAGTCCAGGGGAATTTAGTACAGACTCTCTGGTGGTGCCCAGACTGGCCGAACATTTCATTTACTGTGCTTTTGGTGGAAAATAACTACCCTCTGTGGCTCTCACTACAGAAATAAAGTCATTGTTAATAGCCAGGGTTTCTTTGGAACACAGTCTCAGAAAGTGAAGTCTGTTGGCTACAACGTAGAAAACTGCCGTGAAAGCAGGCATCCGGAAGGGAGAGGCCATTTGTTTGTGTCGCTGTCCCAGTGCCTGGCACCGGCTGGCACTTTCTGTCTCCGGAATAGGCCATGCCCACTCTCCCTTTGGATGGTCCGTTTGCTCACCCTGGAACATTCTTTGAACTTGGAGGCAGCACCCAGCAGAGCTGGAGGCAGCGGCATTTCAGCTGTGACCTGAAGGATGAGTAGGCGCCCCTAGGAAACAAGCAGTGGGAAGAAGGAATGCGCCATGAGCATCCGCTTTCGGGGAGCAGTTACTGTGGGTTCCGAACATGACTAATGAGGAGGGATCAGTCTCCTCTCTGCTGAGTCCCTTCACAGAGGCCAAAATCATTGACCCTACTGTCTACTCCCCTGAGAACCTTTCTTGAGCCCGCCATTTCTTCCCCACTGTCCGCATCCCCGCAGAGACGGCCTGTCAGCCCCTCACTACCTGGTGGCCTGTCTGTCCCCTCCCACAGCATGGACTTGGCTTGTCGAAAGCCATCCCTGCCCTGGGGCTGCATAGGACCCCTCCACCTGGATCCCGTTCTGCTGCATTCACTGCCCAGCCCCCGGTGTCTCATTCCAGAGTGGTCTCCATGATGGCATGTCCATGATGCTCACATCCCCTGAGAATGTCCCTGGTGCTGAGCATAGTGTCTAGCGTGGCAGGTGCTCAGCATTTGCTGAATGTGTGAAGTAGCGAGTGCCTGGGCCCAGGCCTGTGCCACGTCCCGGACAAGCACAGTGCTAGGCCCAGCAGTCAGACCTGGGAGGGTTATCTGGCCAAAGATGCACCCTGAGGGAGAGGCAGGGGCTGAGCCACCCTAGGATACCGTCTGGCGTTATTCAGGAGATGCATCTTCTAAATAGGGCCTTCCCTTGTGAAAAGGGAGAATTCCACCCCTCCCAGCGTGGCCATGTGGATTTTGCCCCCTGGTGTGTCCCTCTTGCTGCACATCAGCTGACCTGGATCCTCAGCTACACTCCTGGTAACATCCAGGTGAGGCCCTGGGCCTCTCCACAGCAGGGCTGGACGGGAGAGCAGCAGGAGGAAGAAAACCGATGTATAAGTTCCTAGGCAAGCCCTGGACATCAGGCCTCATTTAGAGAGCCTGTCTGTCAGAGGCAGCCAGAAAAATACCTTTGATGCGGTCAAGAGTGTTCCATGAGGCTGCTCCTCCTCCTCCCAGAGGCTGGCAGGCCTCCTCGGTAACCTTGCCACCCACCCGTCATCACAGCAGCAGCCTCTTCCTGGAGAGGCCTGGCCCTGAAGGAAAGTGGACTAACTCTGCGGCCAAGGAGACCCGCCAGGGTGGTTCAGAGGCTCCCACATTCTCTTCCTTGGGGGGCTCCGAGCAGCCCATGAAAATGGCCCACACCAGAAAGGGCCCTTCCATGGCCCAGGCTCACTCCCCGCTCAGTCCTGGTGCCACCCCACATGCCCCAGAGGTCATGGCCTAAGTTATTCATGTTTGCTTGTTCGTGTTTCGGGTTCTGATGGTAAGCATGACAGATGTGACTCCTGTGCCCCCAGAGCTTGCAGTCCAGCAGGGAAGAAAAGCCATAAGGATGTCACACTTCAGCGATGTGTGCCAAGTGGGAGAACAGGTAAAGGCAGGTGCGTGTGCCCAGCACAGGGGGCAGGGGAAGCCTCCTGGAGGAGGAGATGTTTCAGCTGAGACCTGCAGGATGAGGAAGAGCTATCCAGTCACAAGAAGAGGCAAGTCACGGATGGAGAGCGGTGCATCCAGGGGTTTGGGGCTGTGGCTGTGGGGAACTGGGAGAATTCCACAAAGAGAGAGAAGAGTCCTGGTGTGGAGGCCTGTGGGTGCAGCGAGCCCTTTAGACTCTGTCCTGGAAGCAGGGGCGTCGAAGGCTTTGGGTGGTGTGATCAGATGTGCAGTGTGGAAGGAGCCTGCAGCCTGGGCCAGAAGAGGGGACAACATGGTTAGAGATGGGCGAGCTGTGAGAAGACAGTGTAGCCACCGGGCCAGGAGCTCCTGCTGGCCTGAACTGCCATGCCAGCCCTGTGGACAGACAGACATGGGCCGACTGGATGGACTCTGGAAGGAGAATCTCGGTGGCAAGTGAGAAGCGGGGAGCACAGAGGAGGGCCGAGGGGCTCCTGGCATCTGGGTTGGGTGCCTGGAAGGACGAGAGACCAGGGGTGTGGGGAAATGGCAGGGGACAGCCACGTGGGTGTGCCAAAGATGTGCGTGGACAGAGCTAGGACTCAGCAGCTCAGAAACGCCTTGGGCTGGAGACAGGCCTGCCTTCAGGGGGCCAGTCCCACTCCATGGGTCTCTGCGAGGCCACCCAGTGAGAGCAGACCGAGGCAGTGCAGGCAAGGCCCTCCCTGGGCACGTGAGCCTTCAGGGGGCTGGTGGGGGAGCGTGTTGTTGAGTTCCTGCCATGGCAAGAAGTACCCCTCAGAGTTCCTCTTTGGTCCCATCCAGTTGCTAGCTTTGCCTTGGACAGATGGCTATGGGAGGACAGGGGCCTTTTTGAAGTGCCGTTGGGGGCTGTGGTGGGCTGTCAGGTGGGAGCCGGAAGACCCTGCCCCGTGGCAGCTGTGCACTGGGGGTGGTGCCTCTGGTTACCGTGCTGCCTCGACAGGGTGTCACAGAGTGAAGCACGTCCCCCAGCTGGCGTGAACAGCGGCAGCAGGAGGGCTCTTGCATGTGTGTCACGGTGATGGTAAGAACCGTAGTCCAGCCTTTCTAGGCTTTGCAGATGTATTATCTTGAGCTTTGAAGTTTACCGAGGGTTTCTCTGTTCACTTCCTGGTTTGTTCCCTGAACTAACACCACCGGTGCATAGACTATTAAAACCTAACTGTCACCTGTACAGGTCCTGTTCCTTGTTCCAGGTCTCACAAGCAAGCAGGACTTGAACCCAGATCGCTAGGCCCCAAGTCCTCCTTGTCATTTCCTTTTTTAACAACAACAACGACAAACCCACAGAGACAGAAGGAGCCGTTCACATCAAGCCTTTCTGACCTCCCTGGAGGTGATGGGGTACCATCGTATCTCATTGTTTCTGGCAATGATGGCAAACATCGAGGGTTTATAAAGATCCTATTTTTTAGCTTACAGAATGAAGTATCTCCAATTAGAAGCATCCTCCTGAAAGAGCACTGTTTCTTCCCATGACTAATTGCATGCATGCTGAGATTTTGTGGAGCCTTGGTGTCTGCTCCTGGGAATTCCACAGAATGTCCCAAATGACTCTCGGGAAGCCACGCCCATCTCTCTTCAGTTCTTTTTGGACTTGGGATGAATCGTGTGAGTTTTCAGTCTCCCTCAGTTGCCCCGTGTGGCGGCAGCATCTGCATTGCTGCAGGGGAGCAGTTGGGCTTCATGCAGGCCTGGGCTGGGCCCTACCTCCCTCCCGAACCTTGAGCTTGCTCATGGAAGCTCTTTCTCCTCCAGGTCCCCCCAGCGGCTTCCCATGCACTTGCCCCTGGGGAGAATTGCAGGAAACACACACATCGAGTGCCGGGCGCAGGGTCAGAACCAGGATCGGTCCCGCTCCGGGGTCTGAGATGGAGAGCTGGTTCTTCTTTCAGAACTGCTTCCCTTTACTGGGGTGTGGTGGCTCACGCCTGTAACCCAGCACTTTGGGAGGCCAAGGTGGGTGGATCACCTGAGGTCAGGAATTCGAGACCAGCTTGGCCAACGTGATGAAACCCCGTCTCTACTAAAAATATAAAAATTAGCCAGGTGTGGCGGTGGGTGCCTGTAATTCCAGCTACTCAGGAGGCTGAGGAGGGAGAATCACCTGAACCTGGGAAGTGGAGGCTGCGCTGCGCTGAAATGGTACCACTGCGCTCCAGCCTGGGCGACGGAGTGAGACTCTGTCTCAAAAAAAATAAATAAATAAATAAATGCTTCCCTTTGTGCTACACCCAGCTTTCCTTGGTGGAAAATAGCATTTATGATAGATAGATGGGTAGGTAGATATAGATATATATAACCTGTCCAAACAGCTGGCAAGCTCAGGCCACATCCTCCACTGCTGATTGGGGTGGTGATTCTTGCACTCTCTGCCGTCCTCGGAGCCTCATCCTTTTTGTAACGGATTCTGTGGGCTTTCTAGGGAAGCTTTTTTTTTTTTTGTTTTTTAATCTTCAGCTTTCCCTCTCATGTCTTGGCAAAGCAGTGAGGCCTGGAGTCTCTTCATTTCACTCTGACAGCTCTTATCAATCTCCGCCTTAATTAAAGAAAGCAGATTTGGCAGCAGTGTCTCTTGTCTGCTGTCCTTTGGGACTTGATCGCTTTACAGCAGCAGCACTGATTGGCCTTTCTTGCTGCTTTCCCCACTGTCCCCAGGTTTATTAGTGAGGATGTCTCGTGGATACAAAAATAGATACCTAGATGAATAGATATTAGACATCCATCCGTGCATCCACGCACAGCACGGGCGAACGTGCGCGCCATCACAGTGACACAATGGGGCGCAGGAGGGAAGGCTGGACGGCGGCGAGGATGCTTGCTGCAGAGTCGCAGAGCAGCGGAGCCCCGGAGGACCTGCCAGGTTCCTTGGCTCAGTGACTTCAGAAATTTATTAATCAAAGGCAATGTGTGCACAACGCAGTATGTAAAACACATAAAAAGCATCTCTGTTCTGCTCGAAGTGGGTGAGGAGGTCAGAGGAGCTGGTCAGATGGGGGAGGATTTGAGGGTGCTTTCACCCCTATTGCCTCCAACTCCCCTATTTAAAAACCAGTGCTCTAGTCCAAGGCTCCAAGAGGAGAGGTGATTCACCCAAGGTCGCATTCATTAACAGCGAAAACCCAGTCAACAGAAACCTGCCAACGAGTCTGATGCCCACTCCATGGGGGGCACTTTCACCTTTGAAATCTTCACCTTTGGCATCTGGGCTTCCCTGTCCAGGCGAGTCAGCACCGGCATGAAATAAATCCTCAACAGGTGGGATAGAAATCGCCTATTTAATGACTGCCACGGGGTGGTGGGGAAAACATTGGACTCAGAACCTGGGAGAGCTGGCTCCCAGCAACAGCCCCGCTACTGGGGCAAATGACTTGTTTTCTGAGCTGCGGTTTACATCCTGAAATGCGCCTGATGATGACAGTGCCTGTATCTCTCGGGTGTGAGATCCCTCTCGTGAACTTGGACATGGCAAGGAGGGATGGAAATACCAAGAGCTTTGCAGCCTGCCAGGCAGGACTCCAAGTTCAGGCTACTCTGCCTGTACTCCTGGTAGACCATGGATAAGCCACACTCTCTGGCTTCAACTCCCTCAGCTGTGAGATGGGGCGACAACGTCCCCACTAGTGCACTGGTCCTGAGGACTCAGCGTCATGGAGGGCGGCTTCCCTGCCATTCGCCAGACGCCACGTTCCGCCTGCCTGCTGGCGGTGGAGGGGTCCCCCGTGCCTTGCAGCTGTGCCCGCCCCCCTTCCTCAGAAAGCCAGCTCTGTCTCTCAGTTGTGCATGTCACGTGGTGAACACACACGTCATTGTCCTAGGTCATTAGGAATGTCAGACTCACTGCTCCCGACACAGCCCTCTATGGTCCGTGGAGCCTTCCCTGGATCTCCATTTGCAGCTATGGAGTTGCGTCAGGTTTCTGCTGCCAGCTGGTGTAGGCACCATCATGCAAGAATACCTAACCTTGACTGACGTTCTTGCCTGGCCAAGCCTAGCAGGTGGCACTAACCACACCACCAGCAAGCAGAGTCCCTTGTGACTCAGCTCCCACTGTGACAGGCTCTGGTGGGCGCTGGGTACACAGAACCTCACCTCAGGCTTACAACAACTCTATGCACCGGAGTTTCTCACCCTGCTTCGTTCCAGAGGCCCACACAGGGCTCCATGACTTGCCCAGTGTCACATGGTTACCAAAGCCACGTGGCTGGTAGGGGTTGGGTAGCGATTTGCACACAGGTCATGCCACAGGAAAGCCTGCGTTTCCTCCACCGCCAAGGCACCTCCTCACCAGGGGCTCTCATGTTTCTGATCCCTCCTGACTTTCAGTAGCCATACCCAGGAATAACACCAGGGTGGCCCTGCCTCCCCTCCCCCACACTCAAGTTCATTCCCGGCCCCTCCTGCTCCTGAAGCGGAAGGAAGCTGAAATCAGTCAGTCCAATGACGGGCACACCTCTCAGCTCTCCTCATGAGAAAGTCCACACTGCACATTAGCAGCGGCCCTTCTTTGGTGGCCGCAGCTGCTTCTGGAAATGCCTCTTTCCTGCCTGTTCTGCTGGGAAGGCCACGTCTGGGAAGGGGCAGCACAGTGCCCTGCCTGTGAACCACCCGTCAAGGCCTGCGTTTAGGGCAAGCCTCCGCTTCGAGTAAGGAAATGACTTCTTTAATCTGCGGGGCATTTGCCCTGCCAACCTCTGAAGTCAGCCAGGTGCCGTGGCCGGATTCTTCGTGACCAGCTCCTTCCATTGCCAGAGCAGAAGAAGCTGGGTCATCAGCCAGAGAGGGTGGGCCTGTGTGGGAAAGGCAGGACACAGGCAGCAGCCTGCCTGGGAACACTGCTGGCCCAGCAGGTAGGAGGGACATTCTCTGGAGAAACTGAAGCAGAATTGCTGCCCCTTTTAGCAGAATCTTAAAGCTAAGGAAGGGGAAGTCGGCTGGGGGAAGGGGGCTATAGGTTTTATGAAGGTTCTCTGCTCCAGGATCACAAGGCTAAAATCAGGGTGTTTTGTCAGACTGGGTTCTCATCAGGGAATGGAGAAAAATCTACTTCTAAGCTTGTTCTTATTGTTGGCAGAATTCAGGTCCTTGTGGCTGTAGGACCGAGGCCCCAGCTTCCTGCTGATGTCCGCTGGAGACTGCTGTCAGCTCCCAGAGGCCACCCCCATTCCTGGACACGTGGCCCCTCCATCTCAAACCTGCAGTGGGGTGTTGAACCCTTCTCATGCTTCTCATCTCTGACTTCCCCTTCTGAGATCAGCTGGAAAAATTTCTCTGCCTTTAAAGAGCTCAGCCTGTTAGATTAGGCCCACTCAAGGAATCTCCCTTTTAGCAGAGAATGCCGTAATCATGGAAGCCATAACATTCCCAAGTTCCCACACCCTCATGGGGAGGACGCTATCCAAGGGCGAGGGTCTCCGGGGGTCATCTTGGAGCTCCCCACAGGAAGGGACACGTCATCCACCTTGGAGGTCAAGGCTGCTTCCTGCAGGAGGCTCTTCTGGGCAGGCTCATGAGGCGGAAGAGAAGTCAGCCAGGCTTAGAGCCCCACAAGCAGAGGGAAGGCCTCTGTGCTCACTCTGGCGGACCTTTATTTACCTTTCCCCAGAATATGACACCTGCCCTTGGCAAAGAGCTCGCTGAGTTCAAGGTGGCAAAGCTGAGTCCTGGGGAGGCTGGGGAAATGGCATGGTCCTCCTGCTGGGCCCTCTCCCAACTCCGTGCCCACTGGTCTCCCACCCCCACCAGCCTCCCCTGCTTCGGGCCATACCTGCTCGTCCCAGACCAACCAGCGGCTGGGCTTCTGGCAGGAGCGGCAGGTCTCACTAGCTGCTCCACGCGAACACCCCGCGCATTCTGTCTGCATGGTGTACGTGCCTTGTCAGATTTCGAGTATTAAAAGCAGTCTCTGAGCTGGGTGGTCCTCAGATGTTATCATGCAAATGTAGCTATTTTTACTGGAAGGCCAAGGAAGAAAGAGGCCGTTTTGCTCATTGATTAGAAAGTGCACTCACAGGGTATCAGACTTGATCTGATGAGTCTGGCAGGGCCGGGAGAGCCTTCCCAAGGGAAGCTTGTGAGCTCGAACGAGGCCCTCAGAGGTGGCCCCTGCCCTCACCCTCTCAGAGCTGGTTACTGGCAGGGGACGCCTGTGACAACATGAAAGGTAGGTGCTCGCTATGAGCACCTTGGGAGGGGAAGCAGGAACCTGGAGACACAAGGTTAATGGACACTTCACGGAGAGGAGAAGGGATAATTGAGTAATAGGCACTCTGAAACGTAGCCAGGACAATGGGGCTACTCAAGGCAACGTGACGGAGTGGGCGGAAGCACTGTGGAAAGAGCACGGAGGCAGAGGCCTGGGCAGCCTTCCGCTCTCCCTACTGCAGGCCGAGACACTCCGAGCACGTCCATCCCCCTGGGCCTCCATTCCCCTCTCTAAATTGAGGAGAGTAACACTTTCACTGCGGCAAGTTGCTTTGCAAAGCAAAGGAGCCTCCTCTCACATGATACCTGACCCCCCATCCAGTGGGGCTCAGTGAGGGGTGGGGTGGATGACTGGATGGAGAGGCTGGCACAGGCTGCGGCGGTGGGGGTGTTCCCACAGGCTGTGGGGCACCCAGCGGGGTGGGGAGCTTGGGTAGGAGTCCAGGTCTATGCCAGTTCCTTATAGGGAGCAAATGTAATTAATTTCTCAGTTAAATTGAGGTGATTTGTGTGTGTTTATGCATGCCTGTGTGTGACTGAGCGTGTGTGTGTTAGTGTGCGTGCTTGCATGCATGTGAGTGCGTGGGAAGAGTGTGTGTATAAATTGTGGGTCTCTTCCTGTAGCCCCTGTTAGGATCAAATATCAAGAAACCTCACTGATGGCTGGGAGAGTCTCTTGCCCACCTTCTCCACCCCGGAAACCCAGGTCTCGGCACAAGCAGATCCTCCTCAGAGTCTGTCAGACACACACGACACAGCAGACCACACAAGTCCAACTAATGTGTGGGCGGCTGTCTTCTGCCCCAGATGTGTCCTTGGAACCTACAACAAGAAGCTTAGAGTGTGAACTTGTGGAGCCTGCGTGCCCTGGGTTCAATTCCCAGCCCTCTCTCCTGTTTGCCCACTGAGTGCCCACAGGGAGCTCCTTCCTGTCTCTTAGCAGATGGCTCATTTCTGAAATGGGGCAAGTGCTCCCGCTTCCCAAGGTCGCTGTGATTGCCAAGTGCACGTGAGCATTCGGCACAGGCTGTGTGCAGGGTAAATGTCAGTCAGCGCGGCCAGCGATGGAGCTTGCTGCCGTGCACTTCATCACTGTTCAATAACCCTGACAGTTCAGCCTCCCTGGAGAGCAGGTGTCCTGGGCGGGACCCTCTGTTCGTGGTCACCAGCAGCCTTGCTCTTCACAGTGTGGGCCTGGGATCCAGAGAGGCTTCCGGGCTCCCTGGTGCAGCAGCCGAGGCTGGTGTTTGGCATTGGCTAACACAGCCCCTTCTAGAGGTGTGTGTCTGTGTGTGTGTGTATTTGCATGTGTGCATGTGTATATGCATGTGTATGTGTGTGCATGTGTATTCGTATGTGTATGTCTGTATTGTATCTGTGTATGCATGTGTGTGTATGCGTGTGGTGTATGCGTGTGGTGTGTGCATGTGTATGTGTGTGCATGTGTATTTGCATGTGCTTGCTCGTTTGTGTGTGCATGTGTGTATATGTATTCATGTGTGTATGTGTGCATCCTTATTTGTATCTGTGTACGCATGTGTTTATGTGTATGTGTGTAGCGTTTGTGTGCATGTGTATTTGCGTGCATATGCTCATTTGCAGGTGTATGCTCATTTGCATGTGTATGCATGTGTGTGTATGTGTAGCGTGTATGCATGTGTAATTGCGTGTGTATATTCACTTGTGTGTATGCATGTGTGTGCATGTGTAGTGTGTGTGCATGTGTATGCTCATTTGTGTGTGTATGCATGTGTGTGCATGTGTAGTGTGTGTGTGCATGTGTATGCTCATTTGTGTGTGTATGCATGTGTGTGTATGTGTTTGTATACATGTGTGTGCACGTGCACGTCAGGCTCCTTCCCTTGCTTGCGTGCTAGCAGGCCACAGACCATCGTCCTGTTTCTAGATAGCTCTGTAGGTGCATTTCTGTTTCCAGCTAACTTCAGCTTATGCTAATGGAGTATTTGTGTTCACAGTCATTCATCTTCTCTCTCTCCTTCCATGTCACTCTTCTCCTTGCCACCCCTACCCATGCATGTAGAGAGGAGAGTTCTATGGTACCAGGACCTGGGAAGTGCGTGGTCTGTGGACACACATGTGGCTGGATTCCAGCCCCAGCGCTGTCACTCACTAGGCGTGTGACCTTGGCCAGCCATTGACCTCTGTGAGCCACAGTCTCCTGGTTTAGAAAGTGGGAAAGCCTAGCTCATGTGTGTAGCATCGCTAGAGACAGTAAGGAGCAGATGTCCATTCTTTCTGCATTTTTCGTCCCTTACCTGTCTCTCAGGATCCATTCTTTTCGCTCTTGTGTTACAATATTTGGGATCATAGCCCCGCAAACTGTGTGAGCTGGAAGGGCCCTCCCTCCCAGAGTGCAGGAGTTCGTGTTGATTCTCTCCCACAGCGCCCATCCCAAGGCTCTTGGTGAGAACCAGGGTTGTGAGCATCTCCAGATGGGGGTATCCAGACGTTGCTCCTCCTGGGACTGTGTGTTAGTAGATTGCACTCGTGTGTTTGCGTGCAGATGAGCATTGAGGCAGAGCTCTCCCATTATAGCACGTGTGGGAGACCCATGTCAGGTGGTGGAACGGGAACGGGTCACAAGGCTGCAGCTAAGACAGAGACTACTGCTTTGGAGGCTGTGAGCTTGGGCGAATATTTGACATCCCTATCGTCTGCTTCCTCCTGTTTGTCTGCACAGTGATTGTGAGAAGTAAAGGAGACGATGGCTTTAAAAAGTGGTGCACGCACCAAAGCAGTGATGGGATTGGTTCGTAGAGCGAAGAGAGAGCAAAGACTTTATACCCTCCGGAAGGGCGTCTCCGTACATTTACACATTCTCACACATTAGTCTAGTACACATATGTATGTTACAGTCAGAAAAGAAACTCTCTAAATATAGACGAAGATTTGTACAGGAACAAGGAAAGAGAAGCTTGCCATGTTGATCTGCGGGCATTTTTTTTCTTCCTCCATTCTGCGTCTCCAAATGTAGGAATTTTTAAGCAGAGAACATATATGGAAGGAAAGAAGAATTTCTTTTCTAAGTTTTGATCTTACAAATATAGAATAGTTGGGTATCTTTAGCTGATTTTATTCAAATGAATCTGTCATTTCATTGGGTGAGCCCTCCCTCGGATTGCATGTATTTGTATAAATATTGCTCATCTCTTATTCATTGGTTTCATGCTGAGATTCAGACGTTGGGCTCTGGGGGACAGAGGGCCTGCTGGCATAGTCCTAGGGTGCCGTCTCTGGAGCCAGACAGACCTGGGCAGCGTTCCTTCAAGTTGCTCGCTGGTGATCAGCTTCAGGGAAACAAAATGATGTGTCGATGACCTTGTAGGCCTGGCCCTTAATGAATGTTACAGCCCAGTGTCAGACACCCTGGGGAACTCAAGCAACAAATATTAATTGCATCGCCCAGCCCCATGCCGGGAAATCTCAGGATGTTCCTTCAAAGGAGCATTTCCCGATTTGGTAATGACTTTTCTCAATGGAGCTTGGTCTTTGAACCACTTGGTAGAAAATGTGAGCGGTTATCTTCAATTGACAACCTTTGGTGTGCCTTTGGCCGCATTGTCTGGCTTATTTTGAGGAAACATGTAGTGTGGTTTCCTAGATTAGCTCCTGGGGACCAGAGATGCCAAATAGATCATAAAAGAGAATGCTAGGAGGAAAGCAGCCACCCTTGCAGAGTAGAGGGTATTCTGTCCTCACGCCAGTTCAGGACAAGCCAATACAAACTGAGGACCTCTGTGTACCAGGTACAGTGTGACCCTCAGCAGACAGGCGTCATGTGGGCACACTGGGCAACATGCTGGGGAGAGGTGTGGAGTGAGGGGAACACAGCCCTGCAGCCAGACCCATCGGGGAAGCTTGCTGTAGTTGGGATGTGTGTGTGTGTGTCCCCTCCAAGTCTCATGCTAAAATGGAATTCCCACTGTTGGTGGTGGGGCCTGGTGGGAGGTGTTTGGATCGTGGGGGTGGATTCCTCACGTGTGGCTTAGCACCTTTCCCTCAGTGATGAGTGAGTTCACGTAAGATTTGGTTGTTGGAAAGAGCGTGGCACCTCTCCCTGCCTTGTTCCCACTTTTGCTCTCACTGTGTGACACGCCTGCTCCCACTTTGCCTTCTGCCATGAGTAAAAGCTCCTTGACGTCTCCCCAGAAGCTGAGCAGATGCCAGTACCATGCTCCCTGTACAGCCTGCAGCACTGTGAGCCGATGAAGCCTCTTTCCTTTGTAAACCACCCTGCCCTAGGTGTTCCTTGATAGCAATGCAAGAACAGCCTGGCACCGAGCTCCTCCCTCTTGCTGCTGTCCTGGCTGGCTTTGCCAGGACACCTGGCTTCTCAGAGCCTCCATTCACTTATCAGTCACGTGCGGGCACGCAGTCCTTATTGGCACCACCCCAGCACATGGCAGGCCTGGGTTGAAAGGTGAGACTGCCTGACCTCCTCTTTGTGCTTGCATCCCAGCTCCCGGGGAAGCCAACGCGGTCTCTGTGGCCATCTCCCTTAGCCCCGTCTAAATGCTGCTACCCTGCTCCCGGAGTCCCCATCAGGGGGTTCCCAGCTTGCCGTGGTGTCTTCAGAAGCTGCAAGAAGCTTCAGAATCCCTTCCAAAGGGATTACGGGGATCAGCCATGGCTCAGCCTTCCTCTGTCCTGCATGCAGGGCCACTAGCAATGACGTCTAGCATGTGCCAGACACATGCCTCGGCCCTGCGGATACTGAGATGGTGAAGAAACCAAGGTGCCTGTCCTCCTCAGGCACAGGGAGCCACTACCCTGAGCCGCGAGGCCCTGCTCCAGGCCGAGACCTGCTGTAGGCGCTTCCCGGGCTCTAGCTCACCATTCTGCAACAGCTGTGGGGCAAGTGCCTTCCCTTCCCCATTTTAGAAATGGGCAAACAGGTGTGAGAGGTGTCCTGCAAGGGTTTCCACCTGATGGCTATGTTCTGTGTTAGCTCCTGCATTGGGAGCTACTGCAGAGTGACTCCAGGTTCCGGAAGATGGACCGGCAAGCAGTCTGTCCCTTCTTTGATCACACGTATATTCCCTAAAGACATGTATGTTCCATTCTCTCCGGGCTTCTAACTGGTTCTCCCTCCCCATGGTGTGTCTCCGGCTTCTGTGCCTTGCTCTCTGTACTGATGGCTCCCACAGGGACCTGTACCAACCTCTCTGCAGAAACCCAGGCTCTCCTGCTGTACCTTTCTGTTCACAGTTCAGTGTATCTCCAGAATGGAGTTATTTTCCTTCCCTTCCAACCTTGCTTTTCCCCCGGCGTCCCCAGTCCACAGGAACGGCGTCAACTCCAGCCTTTCACACGAGCCAGAGCCCCGGGCCAGGCTGACAGCCTCACACTCCTCTGCCCTTTCCTGTCCATCGCCGAGCCCTGCCCATGTGGCCTGGCAAGGTCTCCGCTATCCCCTCCTGCTGCCCCACTCCACCGCCTCTGCCGTGGTTCCCACCCTCTTCATTCAGTTGTGCGTTTATTTGGTGCCACTCACAGGGGTCTCTGTTCCCCCCAGGCACCGACCCTGCGGGGGAAGGAGGCCACAGCCCCAGCTGGCCAGGGCTGAGCATGGCTTGCCCAGGCTCACCCGGCCGGCTCCTGCAGCCCCCATCTGCTGAGAAGCCCTGCCTTGTCTTGTCTGGCCCACACTGTCTCTCACTCTCCTGTTCCGTCCCTCCTCTTTTCACCTGCAGTGTAGTCCTCTGGAAGCGCCCCTCCGATCAGTCACACCTCTCCAAGGACCACAGCCCAGTGGACTCCCTGTTTATTGATTCCAGGCCCCCAGAGTCTGGCTTTTAGCCTCTCCCTCCACTCCCCTCTCACAGCCTGCCCCTCTGGGCCTAGAAAGACTGGGAGAACCAACGAGGCTCCAGGTTGGGTCACCCTGGGCTCTCTGTGCCCTCCCCTACTTCAGACCTGGCCAGGAAGACCTCTCCACGCTCCTCTTCCTTGCCCACCAGGCAGAATGGGCTCTCACCCCCACCTGGGAGAGGACAGGGGCCCTGGAGCTCCCCTGCTGTTGCACATCCTCATCATGGCCTGTTCCACGGGCGGGTTATATCCGATGCTCACCTCTCCCCACCAGAGCCTGGCATGGCGCTTTGCACAGGAAATATTCTGATTCAGGAACCCATGGGTGAGGAAGCCCTGGAAATCCTTGGGCGTTGACACTCAGCTCCGGCCATCGTCTCACGGCTGTTGTCTCGGAGGCTCGTCTGCTCTTCGGAATTGCCTCCCTTTTTCCTTCCGGGCAAGCTGGCTGCTCGGCGGTATCCTCCACGGGGCGTCTGATCACTGGCTGTGTCCTGCAGAAGCCCTGGCCCAAAGCAAACAAACCAGAGCCATGAAATTTCCCCCGGGTGGAAGTGACTTTTTTCTCAGAACTTACTATGGAAATTAAATTTCCATTTTTCTTGGGAACATTAATTGATCCCAAAGGGATTAAGGGCAGAGATTCTCTGAGTGGAGATTCAGATCCTGAGGTCTGAGGTTGGGCATGGGACCCATGCAGCCCCCACCTGGCCCTGGTGCCCATCCATCCGGCGCCCGGGAAGCACTTCCTGGGCCCACAGCCCGTCATTCCTTATCCTGCACAGCCATGGGATGGACAGGCCTTCATCCTCACAGGATGCCAGTGCCGCCTGCACCAGGACCTGTGCTTCTCCTCTCCTCCATTCGGCGGGAAAGAGTGGGACCCAGTGTGGCTGCAGGTCCCAGAGGAGTGGCTAGTTCCCTGAAAGACAGGAGCCGTTTCTCTGCCCACCCTGCGTGGGCTGCCCTGTTGGGCTCTAGCTCTGCCTTGAGGCCACCCCATGCCTCAGTAAGACCTTCTCAGACCCCTCTGTAATCCTGTAGTCCCGCAGCCCACGTCCCACGTCCAGGGCCCGGGTCATCTGTGACCCCCACTCCAGCAACCCCACCCCTGAGTGTTCTCTGTGGAATGAGAGGTCCTTTTGGCGCTCTGTGAGGGGGAAGAAGGGCTTCCCTGGTCACGTCCACCTCCCTGCAGGGGACTCACGAGAGCACACAGAAAACCCTGGAGGCCTTGAGTAAAGAAATCTGTGAATCCCATCACACCCAACCGGGCCCAGCCTCCTTACAGCATGGAACCTTTTACAAAGGTAAAGTCAGCTAGGCACAGTGGCTCACACCTATAATCCTAGCACTTTGGGAGGCCGAGGTGGGTGAATTGCCTGAGCTCAGGAGTTTGAGACCAGCCTTGCCAACATGGCAAAACCACATCTCTATTAAAAAATACAAAAAATTAGCTGGGCGTAGTGGTACTTGCCTATAGTCCCAGCTACTCCAGAGGCCGATGCTCAAGAGTCGCTTGAACCTGGGAGGTGGAGGTTGCAGTGAGCCAAGATCACACCACTGCACTCCAGCCTGGGTGAAAGAGCGAGAATCTGTCGCCAAAAGATAAAATAAAATAATAAAATAACATAAATATAAATATAAAGGTAAAGTCCATTAAATCCCTTAAAACGGGTGTTCCCATGGAGCATCCTTTGGAAAGTCGCCCTGCTCAGACGTGGGTTTCCTCCACCGCCCGACGTGCTCCACTGCCTCTCCTGTGGCCCTGGCAGCTCCAAGGCCTTAGCCACGTGGTGACTGATGTTAATGACAGTGCTGTGGTGCTGGATGTCCCTGCAGGCCCCCGAAGCTCTGCACAGGAAGCACGCTTGGCATCGTCACAGTGACCCGGCGACTTCCTCACCTCATCCGTTTTGCAGATGAGGAAACTGGGCTGCCGAAATTACGTGATCTGTACACACACCGCTCAGGGCTAGTTCCAAGACCCAGAAAACCTTGTGGCCAAGACCTGACCACTTTCTTTAATGGTCAAATTCTTTGAGTCTGCTTTCTCCCTTGTAAAATGGGGAAGACATCACCTCCCTCCCATAAGTTTTTGGCTCTGAGTGAAAATGGGGTGAACTGATACACGTGAGAGCCCCATGTAAACTGCTGCCTGCTCCTGTAATAGAAGACCTGGGTATTTTTATCCGGATCCTCACGGGCATGTCTAACAAATTCTCAGCAGTCAGTCCAGCACCTTTCAACTCTCTCTCCAAGACCTTCTGTGCCAAGGGTGGGTGAGAGGGCCTGGAGGGAGCAGGTGTGGGCTTGAACACCATCATGTGGCCGCGAGACCCCAGCTGTTCACGTTTTATTATCCTGAGGATGCCCATCAGGCCTCTCTTTGTGGCAGCGCAGTTGCCTCTGCAGGCCCCAGGGATGTTCAGAGCTCAGCGTCAGCCCCATACCTGGAAAGACTGGCACCTCTGCTGCAGGGCTTCCCAGGAACACTGTCCGTCAGCAGACAAGGCTTTTTATAGGTCTCTGTTTCCACCTGGGAGAGACCCCCGTGCATCCCTCTTCCTGGGCATGGCAGCTCCTGGAGCACAGGCCCAAGTCCAGGGATAAACAGGGGCATCTGCTGGTCTGGGTGGGTCACTGTGACCCTGCCAGAGTCTCTGATGGTTGCAGGAGACATCTGAAGTCCTTGGCGTGGCATTTCAAGCTCTTTGTGGCATGTTTTCAGGCTCCTCAACCACCCACACCCTGGGCACCTTGGTCTCTTCTCTTTCCTGTGAACCCACTCTGCATTCGGGCACCAAGCCTCTGCTTGCTTGAGCCCCTTAGCCTGGATGTCAACTCTCGGTCCCCACCTGCTTCCCCCACTTAAAATCACACTCTTTCTCCACATCAGACCGCTGGGCACCTGGTCCAGCTCAAGCACTGCCTTCCTGTGACAATCAAAGCTCCTCCCACCTCGCGCCTCTGGGGTGACTGGGCACTGGGAAGGGTACTGGTCCGAACTGAATGTGTCCCCCCAAAATTATGTGTTGCAGCCGTAACCCCCAGTGTGGTTGTATGTGGAAATGAGACCTCTGAGAAGGCAACTAAGCTTAAATGGGGGATGAGGATGGGGCCTGAGTCAATCAAATTACTGTCCCTGTAGGAAGAGGCGCCAGAGAGCTGCACACACCTGAGGAAAGGCCATCTTGAGCTCACAGCAGCAGGTTAGCGGACTGCCAGCCAGGGGAGGGCCCTCAGCAGACATCCACCCTCCTGGCACCTTGGTCTTGGACTTGTAGCCTCCAGAACTGTGAGAAATCAATGTCTGTTGTTTAAGCCACAGTGGTGACACATTGTGACAGTTGCCTGAACTGACTGTGGCAGGCAGGAACAAGGCTTTGCTCATGTTTACACTACTGCCACCCTACCCAGCCATGGTCCTGGTGTCTGAAGACTCCATGTGTCAGCGGCAGGCAGCGTGTCTGAGAGGACGCATGCACTCAGCAGGCCTCTGGCAGATGGCAGCCCCTCTGCTGTCCTTCCCATGGAGGCAAGGCAGCCCCCCCCCGCCATCCTACGGCTCTTGGCTCTCAGGTCAGACTCCTCTCCTTGAGGGAGGCCATCTCTAGCACCTGCTTGAGGTCTGGCCCCTGGGTGTGCTCTTTTCAACCGCACAATAGGGTGTCAATACACAGGCCCGGATTGCCAGTGTCGGTGTCCTCACCTGAGCTCCCCAGGAGCCTGGGGCGGGGTCTCCTTGCCCTATGTAGCTGGTACCTGGCATTGTTCTCTCGGAGCACATGAGCACCTGGGCAACCCTTTCATTTTACAAATGGGAGGCCATGCCTTAGAAGGCTGTGGAGATCATCTCCTCATATGTCACTGACCCCAGTAACCTGGGAGCCACTTTGGAGTGGGTCATGCCGTCTTCCAGGTCTGCTTCCTGGGTGCTGGTGTTTGGCCTGGAGTAGATGCTAATACAGGATTGAGGAAGGGACTGAGGAAGTCACCTCTCCTCCCCCACGGCCTGGCCCACAGCTGGCCCAGCTCAGCGCCAGGTAATGGGTTTTTAATTGAGCTGGATGAACTGGTCTGCCCAGAGCCTCAAGGCTGTTTGCAGCACCCCACGGTCCCTAATAAAGCCATCACGACTGAAAGGGCAGGGGTCAAAGCCATTGTGCCGAGAAAGAACTCTCAAATCTCTCTTCTTTATTGCTCAGCCACTTAACGAATTCTCAGAGTAAGGAACAATTTAGGCCCAGCCAATAGCCGAGCATGGCACTACGATTCATTTTCTCTCCGTCGAGCTCCATGGGGAGAACTCCAGCTGCTACCTTTTTGATTCCTATTTACCAGGCTATTATGGCACACGAATCTGTTGGTCTCTACTCAGAAGCCTTAACAAGCTCACGGGTCCCGTGCGCAGTGGTGGCTGGACCGTCATGGAGCCTCACCATGGGTGCTGGTTTGTAGTCGAGAAAGCACTTTAAAAACATTGATTACATTTTTTAAGCTGTAAGAGTAATCTCTGCTTATTTTAACTATTGAAATAATGCAAAGCAGTATAGAAAGTGTTAATCTTCTCTGCCACCTCCATTCCCATCCTTCGGAGAAGCCCGGTCTGGACCCTGGGGTAGGACCTTTTCCACATTTCTCCAGGCTCACATTGATGCATATGGAGATGTATTAACATACAGGAAATGGGTTTGTTTTACAGAAGCGGGGTCCTGCTATTCTTAGATTCCTCTGAGACCCGCATGCTGACATTTTGACCTGTGCCACAGCATACTCTCCAAGTACCAGGCTGCAGCATCCACGTGGCCCCAGCCTGGGAGAGCAGCCCCTGGGCCTCGCCCTTCTCAGCACTGTGCACATTCAGGGACTTCATATTTTGCCATTTGCCATCCACCGAATGAAACACATTGTTGCTGCTTTCACTTGCTTTTCGCTGGCTGCTCCAGAGGCTGGGCTTTGCTCATGTGTTTCTTTGATCATGTGGATTTCTCTCCTTAGATGCCCTGTTCACGTTCTCTGCCTCTTCTATAGAATTGTGTGGCTTTTTCTTATCCATTTGTAGGAGATTGTGACCTGGAGTAGGAAAAGACTGCCTACTGCAGATACATTTCCTGGTGCTGCAGATACATTTCCTGGTCTGTTATATTTCTTTTGACTTTGTTTTCATGGCTTTTGCCACATAAAATTTGTTCATTTTTCTGCAATCCAGTATATCTTCTTAGGAATGTCTATATATATAAAACATATATATACACACATACTCTCTTATTATTTTTAAAATTTAAAACATCTGGAATTCATTTGTGCATATACAATAAGATAGATCCTTGTTTTGTTTTACTTTGTTATGCCAGGACCAGTTGATTTTAAAAACCATCAATTTTTCCTTGAATTAGCATGCCACCTTTGTAATATATTTAGTTCTTTTGTAAATGCGGATCTATTTCTGAATTATCTGTTCTACTGTAAAGACTGCTGTGCTAATGCCATGCCCTTTTGTCGTAATGGCTTTAAGATATGTTTTAATACCCGATAAAGCAAGTTCTTTCTCACATTTCTTTATGGCTTTTGTAGTTATTTGTCCATTTGAACTTTAAGAACATATTATCCAGTTTAAAGTTAGCATTCTATTTGGAAATACATAAAAATGTGTATATGTGGAATATTTGTTTTTTAATGAAATAGTTCTTATAAATTTGGCCAGGTGTGGTGGCTCATGCCTGTAATCCCAGCACTTTGGGAGGCCAAGGCAGGTGGATACTTGAGGTCAGGAGTTCGAGTCCAGCCTGACCAACATGGTGGAACCCCGTCTCTACTAAAAATACAAAAAATAGCCAGGCATGGTGGTGCATGCCTGTAGTCGCAGCTACTCTGGAGGCTGAGGCAGGAGAATTGCTTGAACCCAAGAGGCAGAGGCTGCAGTAAGCCGAGATGGTGCCACCGCACTCCAGCCTGGGTGGCAAAGTAAGACTCCATCTCACAAAAATAAAAAATAAATAAATAAGATAATTTTTTTTCTCTCTCCATTTTAAGAGTTTTCTTTTCTGAAATCTGAAATTAAAAAAATGTCTTTTGGCATTTATCAGCATACTTGTAACTTCTTTTCCCTTTTCAGTGTTGTAATGGTTTTGGACGGTAGTTTTCTCTTTTTTTTTTTTTTTTTTTTTTTTGAGACAGAGTCTTACTCTGTCGCCCAGGCTGGAGTGCAGTGGCACAATCTTGGCTCACTGCAACCTCTGCCTCCCGGGGTGATTCTCCTGCCTCAGCCTCCCAAGTAGCTGGGACTATAGGCGCACGCCACCATGCCCGGCTAATTTTTTGTATTTTTAGTAGAGATGGGGTTTCACTGTGTTAGCCAGGATGGTCTTGATCTCCTGACCTCATGATCCACCCATCTCGGCTTCCCAAAGTATTGGGATTACAGATGTGAGCCACTGCGCCCGGCCTGGATGGTAGATTTCTTGGTGTGAGCTCTCCTTGGATTAATCATACTTGGTGCTGGTGGATGATTCTTTCGATGCACTGCTGGGTTTGATTTGCTAATGCTTCATTTAGAATTTTTGCCCTGTGCTCATCAGTGGAATTTATCTATAGTTGTCTCTGAAATACTACTGTCTTCCATATGCCGCCTCTGTGCACTGATGAGATTGTCCCTGTCCCAGGGGCTTCCAAGGAATGATGATAAATGCTAGAGCAGGTGGTCCCCAACCTTTTTGGCATCAGGGACTGGTTTCTTGGAAGGCCATTTTTCCATGGACAGTGGTGGGGGATGCTTTCAGGATGATTCAAGCCTGTTACATTTATCGTGCACTTTATTTCTACTATTATTACACTGTAATATATAATGAAATAATTATATAACTCACCATAATGTAGTATCAGTGGGAGCCTTGAGC
Organism: Homo sapiens; assembly: GCF_000001405.40. NCBI lineage: Eukaryota > Metazoa > Chordata > Mammalia > Primates > Hominidae > Homo > Homo sapiens. The sequence continues at coordinate 139,819,281 of NC_000008.11, read as the reverse complement.
CTGTTTTCCTGCAGCTAGACTAGATGGTCCCATCTGGGGATGATGGGAGACAGTGACAGATCATAAGGCATTAGATTCTCATAAGGAGCACGCAGCCTAGATCCATCACATGTGCAGTTCATAATAGGGTTTGTGCTTCTGTGAGAATTTAATGCCACTGCTGATCTGACAGGAGGTAGAGCTCAGGCAGGAATACAAACGATGTGGGGTGGCTGCAAATACAGATGAAGCTTCACCCGCCGCTCACCTCCTGCTCTCCAGCCTGGTTCCTAACGGGACATAGACCGGTACCAGTCTGTGGCCAGGGGGTTGGGGACCCCTGTACTAGAGAATCAATCTTGTGGTTAAGATGTGTACAAGGGACTAAGAGGTCACAGAAAAGAGTGTGACAAATTGTGTCTGAAGAGGACAAGGAAAGTTTTCCCTAGGTATTGCCATTTGACCTGGTTCTCATAGAATGGGGAAGGGCTTTGCCAGGCGACGGAGGAGCAAGACTGTTCACTCCACTTGGACAGCTCACATTGTCAGGAATTTCATAAGCCAGTTAACATCACATTGGTAACTAGAAATCAGCCAGGCAGGAAGTATTTACACCCTAGAAATTGGCAAATATTAAAAGTCAGGTTACCCCCACAATAGCCAGTTGTTAAACATATACCAGCACACCACTGACTGTGTTACTATTTTTTTCTTTCTTTTTTTTTTTGAGACAGAGCCTTGCTCTATTGCCCAGACTAGAGGGCAGTGGCGTGATCTCAGCTCACTGCAACCTCTGCCTCCTGGGTTCAAGCAATTCTCCTGCCCCAGCCTCCTGAGTAGCTGTGATTGTAGGCACACACCACCATGCCTGGCTAATTTTTGTATTTTTAGTAGAGATGGAGTTTCACCATGTTGGCCAGGCTGGTCTCAAACTCCTGACTTCAAGTGATCGGCCTGCCTTGGCCTCCCAAAGCACTGGGATTACAGGCATGAGCTACCATGCCAGGCCTGTCTTTTTCTCTTATCCTCACAGCTCCTAATCAGACTCTCCACCCCTGAGGGAGGGATCACATCATTTCATCACTGCACAGGGCCCAGCACCTAGAGACAGGGCATGCATGCAGGAAGCTGTTAAGAATACTCTTTGGAGTCAGAAAGCCCCGAGGTCAGTCACTAACTAGCCAAGGGCAAATGACCTGAAGTCTTTGAGCCTCTCTTTTCTCATCCATGAAATCAGGATAGTAAGCCCTACACTCATGTATAAACAGTGTATGCCCAATTACTTAGCATATACTGGTACACACGGTAGCTTAAGAATAAATTGTGGAACTGAAGTGGATTAATTCAGCACATTTTTGTGATCCTCCTATTTGTCTTTGGGGATCTCGGTATGGCTTTGTAAGACATGAGTAAGCAAGTCTCTCCCTGACCCAAGAGTGCAGGTCATGTTGTATATGGCTCTGTCTGTTCCCATAGCCTGGAGGTATTCCCGAAAGTCTTTACCTAAGTTGCCTCTATTTCACCATCCATCCCATAGAGGAGTGAGCAGCTCATGGCTGAGTGGTCCCCAGCAGTGGAGGAAGCAGAAATCATTAGGACCCTTGCAAAGGAAAAACCTTCTAAAGAGAAGGCTGTGCGGTGAGCAGCAGCCATGGGCCCAAGCCTCGCCCTTCTCACCAGCCACGTGGCGCCTGCTGCCGGGACGCATCCACGGGTAAGGGGTTAATGAACGAGAAGCCAGGCCTGTGGGGCAGGAGACCAGGAGGGCACGCTGCGGCTGCTCGATTGAGGGCCGTGAGGACGATCCATGGGTCTGGCTGCCTGGAGCAGCACTGAATCGCAGACTCATCCTGCTCCTTTGCCACTAGTTCATCCTCTCGGTAGTCTATCAACTTCTCAGTTTTCAAGGAAAAAGGAACTCCTGAGATGTAACTGCCATAAGTAGCATTCTAAGATTCTGTCCTCAAAAAGAGACACAGCTGTGCCCTCCACTGCTGCATGGCATGTGGAAATATATGAGATTTGCAGCCTGAACCTGCTATCCCCAGCCATGTCCACTGAACTGGTGTCTTGGCCTCTCTAACCTCATTGACTTAACTCCAGATGGGGCGCTGTGAACCTGCTCCAGCGGCCCCTGCAAGGCATGGGGCTGATGGGGCTGACCTGCACAGAGCACCAGGCCCAGCCTGCAGCACCCTGGGGGTGCTCAGAAAGCAGTGGCTGGTGTGTGTGTGTGTGTGTGTGTGTGTGTGTGTGTTTAGTTTATGTTCTTCCTTACTGAAGATAGGACTTAAATGGCTCACAAGGATTCATCAAAAATGCAAGATAATATACACTTAAATGCATATCATCTGGAGCAAAAGGAGAAAAAGAAGAAGATGGTTATTAAATGGAGACAGAAATGAAGCTGAGACTGTGCCTGCATGTGCAGTGAGGGCGGGCCGTGAGTTTGGTTCCAAGCAGCTGATGGAAGGAGGTGGGAAGTCACTGTTCCTGGCAGGAGTTGGCGGACCCAAGACAGTGTCCTTATCCACGAAGCACAGGAAGGGTCGCTTGGCATTGCAGAGGTCATGACAGATGCCCTTCCATTTTAAGATGTGAATATTATGTAAAAATGAAATGACCCTCTGTAGGAGGCTCCGTCTTATTCTTTGTAGCAAGTCCCAGACCTGCAGTTGGGTCCCAGAGAACACTCAGGAGCCGTGGGATGTTCTCTGAGGAGCAGTGGGGTGGGAGGGGACTCTCTGGGCTCCACCTCTCCTCTGTCCCCTCTGGGTCGGCCCCTGTGGCCCATCTCCATACTGAGATGGGGGCAGCCCCCTTGCGTCTCTCCCAGCCCCACAAGCCAGGGACTCAAAGCTCTCCCAGTGCTGCAACACACCCAGCATTGCTCTAAATCTGCACCTGGTGGGCTGGCAAGGAACGTTCTGGGGACAGATTGACCAGCCTTTCCTCCTTTCCCCAAAGCCTCACCAGCATCTGGCTGGCCCAGCTGCTTTCACCGGAAGGTACCCACTATCCCCTTGCCCTTGGCTTTCCTCTGAACCTTGCTCTGAAAATCCAGTTCACCCAGGCCCCGCTTTGCCTGATCACCCCCTCTCATCTATCAAGTCTGGCCTTCCAGGCCTCCACACCACCCCTTCCAGAAGCTTCCCCAGTCACCAAGGCTGCCCTCTGGTGCCCTGCGGTTCTCCCACCCACTCTGTGCTTCCCAACCATAGCATCTGCCAAACACAGCCGTTCTTGCCAGTTTCTCCAGTGGTTAAGCCAGTTTTATCCAGGCTCGGGAATCCACCCGCCCGGTCCCCAGCCTGGCTCCGTCACTCACTGCCCGTGTCCCTCATGCAGGTTCCTTAACCTCGCTGGGCCTCGGCTTCTACGTCAGGTCTCAAGGTGACTGTGAAGAGTCAGTGAGCTCCTAAGAGTCAGGTGATGAGCACAAGAGCCACCCGTGTTTGCACACGCAGCCTCCTTGCCCTCTGTGTGTGTGTTCCCCTGCTGGTGATCCCCGGAGCCACTGCTCACCCCACCTTCCCACCACGAGTCCGTAGGTAGCACAGTCCCTCCTGTCAGGAAATATCTGTGGATTGACTGTTGAATGTTAGTGAGTGCTTGCCGGGCGCTGTGGCTCACGCCTGTAATCAGCACTTTGGGAGGTTAAGCTGGGCGGATCATTTGAGGTCAGGAGTTCTAGACCAGCCTGGCCAACATGGTGAAACCCTGTCTCTGCTAAAAATACAAAAATTAGGCAGCCAGGTGTGGTGGCGCAAGTCTGTAATCCCAGCCACTTGGGAAGCTGAGGTGGGAGAATCGCTTGAACCCGGGAGGCAGAAGTTGCAGTGAGCTGAGATCACACCACTGCACTCCAGCCTGGGTGACAGAGCGAGACGGTCTCAAAAAAAAAAAAAAGTTATGAATGCTGAGTAGTTGTGGTGATTTAGAAATGGAAGGAATGTGAATTTCAGATCAGCTTTGTGACCTCGAGCAAGTTATTTGCTACCCCTGCCCCCATTCTCATCTCCAGTAAGAGAGGATGACACGCACCTTCTGCCACAGGGAAGGCGGGCAGGGAGCTGGGAGTGATGGGAGCTTCTCCGGACTGAAGGCTGTCTTGCATTTTTTCTCTTCCTTTTGCAGTCCCTTCCCCTCAATTGACTGATACAGATGTTCTAAGGCAGTCTAAAACAGACTGTCCACTGCAGGACTTTACAGGCAACCCTGGGATTGAAGCTGACCCACAACAGGACCTGGGGGAAGCTGCTAAGAGTCGGGCCCAGGTGCTGGCAGCTTTGCCGTACACATACTGGTGGCAGCAAGGAGCATGCGGGTTTCCTGTGACATCAATGGCCCTGCTGGCATCAACTCGGTGCCCGGCCATGTCTGTCCTCAAGGAGCTAGCAGCATCGTTTTCCAGACCCTGCTCTGCAAGCACGTTGGGTGATTTATAGGAACTCCTTGGGTGCAGGATTCTGAAACCACACCTTCTGTCTGTCTTTGGCACCTTCTGGGAGTTTTTTAGGATAGCAACCCTTGGAGCTCACAGCTACTGTTTTTCTTCCTTTCCTTTCCTTTTTCCTTTCCTTTCCTTTCTTTTTTTGAGGCTAACTAGCAGAGTTTAGGAGGGAAAGCTTTGAAAACAGACCTGGATTCAGGTTCTAGCCCTGCTACTTATTGGCTGTACAACTGGAAAAGTTAGTATTTCAGAGTCTCAGCTTCCTATCTACCTGGAAGGAGAGCTGTGAGATCTGAATTTAGGGAAGTAAAACTGGGCCCAGAGGAGCCTCTGAACTCTGGATTCACTGTCCTGTCCTTTAATGTCCTCCTCAGGGGCCCCGGGGTCCTTTTCCTGGGCCTGCTCTTGCCTGAGGGACTTCTTACCCTCCCTCCTGCTAGACAGTCTGCTCTCCCAAGCTGAGCAATTTCTCCCCCATTTCCTGACAGCTTGAGGGGTTCTGAGCAGCGACGGTGACTGTTTTTGGCTTCTCATCGCCGTGTCTCCACGGGGAAGGCCATTGGCATGGAAACAGGCCCAGCTCGAGGCTTCATCTCTGTTCTGCCGCCTCTCCCAGCAGACATAATTCTCCCTGTTTGACATCACAGCCTGCCCCTGGCCGCCCACCGCCTGCCTCGCGGAGCACAGGGCTGCTGGGTGGACTGAACAGCTGTGGCGGCTGCCGGAGGAACGTGATTCTTCTTGCCGGGCTTCGAGCTCAGAGGCGGGAGCTCAGAGGCAGTGAGGGAAGATGCAGGGAGAGAAAAGGGGACTTTTGAGTCAGCTGGACTGAGCTGGATTCTGGTGTCACCTTTTCCAGGAACTTTCTGGGGCACCCTCACCGACCCCTGGGCTGGGCTGTGAGGTCTGTCTTCTGTGAGCCACATTCCTGTCTGCAGCCCTCTGCCCCCACGCTGTCACCTCTGCCCCGGCACCGTCACCTCACCCCCGGTGCCGTCACCTCTGCCCTGGCGCTGTCACCATGTGGTTTTTGTCTGCTACCTGCCTGTCTTTCCCATGATTCTGTGGGCTCCTTAGGGCCTGTGACATCTGATTCATTCTGTGTCCCCAGGCAGCCCATTCTGCAGCCTTGCACACATTAGACCCCAGGAAGCCTGCCTTGCTGACCTGGGCACCAGCTTTCCGAGGCCCCTCAACTAGTGCTGAGCAGAGCTGGGCCCAGAGGCAGCTCTTCAGGCCTCATGGTGAGCTGTTTGCCTCTCCCCACCCGGTGCTGCTGCCAAGGTGCTGGGAACGGTGTTCAGGGAGGCCTGGTGCTCCCCTCCTCTCTAGGCCTGGCCCTTCTCGGCTCATAGACCAGCACCAAGTCTCATTCCTGCGGCATCTGCCATCGTTCTAGAGGACGGTTCCAGAAGGTGCCTTCTCTCCGGAGCATGATGGGAGAAGGGGGCTGGCCGTGGGCCTGGGAGGCACTGCAGCGTGTTGCTTGTGGGACAGGAGGAGTCTGAGCTGGTGCTCCCCCTCCCTTCTTGCACTGTCCCCACACCAGCCCCACAGCAGGTGCCTTGTCATGACATTTTAAGAGGAGGAAACTGAGGTGCAAGAGGGGACGTGACTTACTCTAGGTCACACAGATGTGAGACCTCATCAGAGTGGGCCTAGTTTGCCTCCTCTTTATGTTCTACCTGCTGGGGCACGCCCTGCTTGTGGGGACACAGGGAGACCGGCAGCACAGTCCTTGAGCAGCTGGCACCCGGCCTCTGCATCTCAGACCCCTTCCCTGGTAGAGCTCAGGAGAGCTGAGAAGACAGCCTGAGGAAGGGTGGAGAAGTGGGCCGGTCACACCCATTTGGAGGAAGCTGTCAGGGCCAGGCGTGGAGCTTGCAGCTCTAGAACCTTCTAGCAGCTGTCTGCAAAGCACCGTTCTGGCCCAGCCTCACACACTCGGTGTTTTTAACCTTCCCGAAACCCATGTAAAGTAGCTTATGTTTTCCCCCATTCCATAGTTGAGGAAACTGAGGTTCACCTTAGCTATAGCCCATGCCCCTGGAAGGCAAAGCTCTTCCAAGGGTTCAAATTCTAGGCCCTGATTCCAACACCTTTACTCTTGGTTTGTGTCTTTTGGGGGTGCAGAAAATACACTAATTTATATAGGAGTCTCTGGTTAAAAATATCTATTTAACTCATTAACATTTTTCTTTAATGATGAGTTTTCTGTAAAGGTTTTTTATTTTTAAGTGATATATACATGTGACTTAAAAAGCCAATTCGTTCCACAAGGCACATAACGAAGACCAGCAGTCCTTACTCCTGCCTGCCCCATCACCCAGCGCCAGTCCTCAGAGGCGCTTCTGCAAATGCTAAACTGTTTCCTTAGGTATTTACCTTGAAAATATGACTGAATTAATGCCAAATAGAGTACGCTGGTGTAGTGTGATCTTTCGGTGTTAGACATCGTCTGTGGGCTGCTCGCCTCTACCTGTCTACTACAGTTCTATCACAGTTCTTGGTTAAATCCCCACAGAGTTCTTCTGTTCATTTTTACTGTGACAATGCGATTGTTTTTCACAGCTAAGCCAAGCATGTATTATGATTATACTTCCCTTCCTTAAACAGTTTTTTTTGCTTTTTCTAGAATTATAATTGTATTTTCTGCAGTGTTTATTTTTCTGTGACGCTAATTTTTCTTGAACTTTCCATCAGAACCACAAAATTCCTCTCAATACCACCAAACCCATCAGCTACATCGTGTGTGCATGCGTGGTTCCAGGAGATATCTCTCCAGCGTTCTCATGTCCTGCTTCCATGTGGCCTGATGTCCTCCAGGTCTGCTGCAGGGCTGTGGTCCTGGCACATTCCTCCCACTGTCCCCAGCAAGCCTCTGGACTCTCATCTATGCCAGATCCTGCTTCTGCTTCTCCTGCCTTTCTCTTTATCAGTTTACTTCTTCAGTTTGCTGGAGCTCATCCTCTAGTGCTTTTCCAGGAAAGAGTGCATAGGAAAAAAATGTTTTTGAAATATTGCATGTCCAAAAAAATATATCTTAAATCTCCCTCAAATTTAATTGATCACTCAGCAGAATTTAGGATTTAGATTCTTTATCAGTCAGGTGAATTTAGGATTTAGATTCTCTTCCCTTTGGAATTGTGAAGGTGTTGCTCTCATTTCTTAGCTTCCAAAAATATATAGCTTTAAAAAACAAGCTCCCTCCACCCTATTGAGAAGTCCCCTGCCATCCAGATTCCGAGCTCCTGATCCTTTGCAGGTGACCTGCTTGCTTCTCTTGGGAAGCCTTTGATATCTTCTCTTCAGTCTCCAATGTTCTGGTTCTGTAATTTCACATAATGCCTCCTGCTGTTGTTCTTCGAAACTCATTTGTTCTAGGCCCTCAGTGGGCCATTTCAGTGAAAACAAACACAGGCATCAAAACAAGGACTCTGAAAAATGATTTTTAAACTAATTCTACCTCCCTGTTCCTGGGTTTTCTCTTCCAGAATGCCTGTTTACTGGATCTTGGACCTCCTTGGCTAGTCCTTTAATTTTCTTTTCTTTGCTGTTTCCTATCTCTTAGAATGCTTATACTGCTTCCTGGAAAATATCCACAATTTCATATCCAATCTCTGTATTAAATTTTTTTATTTAATTTTTAATTTCCAAGAGCTCTTCCTTGTTCTCAGTTCCTTTTTATAGAACCTTGTTCTTTTGTAATGGCTGGACTGCCTTTTCTTATCTCTGTGAGAATATTAATTGCCACTTTCTGTGAAGGTTTCTTTGTTCTGTGAATTGTTTCTGCCTTCCTCTTTGTCTTCCCCTTCATTTATCTTTGTCTCTTTTACTTTAAAGGTGGTCCTCAAGTGGCTGTGCCCTTTGGCCTTTGTTCCTATGAGGCCCTAAAGTAGATGGGAAGTGCTGGTCTCTGTGCTTGGGCAGGATGGCTGACTGGTGGGCTTCACGGACAGGAAGCATGGTGGGCCCCACCCAGAGTTCATTAGGGACTCCCCCACCTATCCTGAGTCTGTCCTCTGGCCTGGTCTGTCCTCTGGCCTGGCCAGAGGAGATCCTGGAGTATGCCATGGATCTCACTGCCAGCATTCAGGGAGCCACATCCAAGAAGGAGGCTGCCCCTCCCCATAATTCATGTCAGGACTTTGCCTTCATCCCTCCTTCATGGAATCTTGAGTCCAGAGGCTTCCTGGCCCAAGTCCTACCAAGAATAGAACTTCTGCACCGTCCACCGAGGTCCTGTTCATCCCTGGCCATTTGAAGGAGGAGAGCTTTACGCAGTGGTGTGCTGGTAGAAGTTTAACAGCCAGCTCTCAGGGGATGGGGGAGCCCTGGTCTGTAGCATTTGCTGGTTTCTGAGATGTAAACACTCCTGTAGTGGCCAGTTTCAAGGTCCCAACACGATGTCAGCCAACTCGTGAAATCCCTGAAACTTTGTCAGCTCCGGCTGGACCCTGGCTCGCAGGATCCGTCATGGTCGTTCAGCTGCCACTCTGCACCCATTGCTCATCCCTGCCCATGCCCCGTGGCTGCTCCTGCTTCGTGAACCCTCACCTCCCCACCTCCAGCAGTGGCCTTGTCTCCTTGGCGTCGCCTCCCAGGGTTTAGCTTCTGCTGCCCTGTTAGGTCAGTTACCCCTCACCCATCCTCTTTGCTTCTTCCAAAAATTTGTTGCCCTCTTTCCACAGCTGTCATTGCCTCCTCTTCCTGGTGGCTTCATATCATATGTATTCTGGCACTGTCTGTCTCTCTGTGGGTTTCAGGAGGGAACAGGGTGAATGTGTGTGCCAGGTCTGCCTGTCTGAGCAGAATCTCCCCCCACCTGTATGTTTCCAGTTACCCAGTGATTTAGCATCAGGCAGATGTGCAGAGATGCCAGATGTGCCTCTAGCACCTCTGCTTTCAGCGCACACAGGAGTCAGGGAAGAGGGTCTGGGGTGGCGGGAGGAAGGGGGGTCACTCAGTATCCTGCCGCTCAGGAATGTGCCTTGCCAACCTCAGGGGCTGGCATGTGGGGTATCTGGTGGCTCAGCAGGGTGGTGGCCGCCGTTTATATGGCAGGCACAGTCACAGCTACTGGGGTTGAGGTGGGGGTTGGCTCTTGTGGCTGGGAGAGGATGGTGCCGGCAGGGCTGTGCTGGCTGTCATCTGGGGACTCCTTAAGAGAGAATGGGGGCTTCTGCAGGGAGAGCAGGAAGATCAGGGCTGGGCTGTCAGGAGGCCAGGCTCTGGAGGACCCCAGATGCCAGCAGGCAAAATTAGACTTGCATCCTGAGGCCACAGAAAGGCCCTGCTGTGGGACAGAGACTGAAGTCGGAGGCGATTGCCCAGGCCCCCTGCTTCAGTGAGATTTACACCCGGCTGTCGTATCCACACTCAGTGATTTCATAGCCTGCCTCCTGTCTGGCGCAGGAAGTTGCCCGGTGGCTCTTGGGAACTTTCCTGCTATTCCTCAGTTCGCAGTCTCCTCCCTCTCCAGCACTGTCAGCCTCTAGGCATGCCTAGAAGAGGACGCTTCACTCCCATTCCCCGTGCTCACTTAGTCAGTGTTGCTGATGCACTCAGGGCAGACTGCTGCATCTGCCTTTGGACAGGACTGTACTGTGAAGTCAGTTTCAGAAATGGCTTCTGTGCAATTCAAGGTGACTTTTTCTCTCTTGTTTGGATAAATGCTAAGTGGGACAAGTTAAGTGGATTATCTGGATCTGGCATTTGTTTCCTAGTCCTTAGAAGGGTTATCAAAATAGATGTTTTTGATAATGAAATATTACAATCAGTAGACTCTGGTGTTAATCCATGTTGGAACCTTTGTCAGATGCAAGTCAGAGAACACAAAGGGGTTTGGAGTCAGGCACATCCACTCCTAGGCAAAGAGCATTGAAAACATACATCCACACAAAACTTGTACGTGCCTGTTTGTGGCAGCATTTGTCATAAAAGCAAAACGTGAAAATAGCCAGCTCAAGTGTTTTTGTTTACCTATCCATCAGCTGATGGATAAAATGTGGTATATCCATACAGTGGAATACTACTCAGCCAGAAAAAGGAACAAAGTACTAATATATGTGAAAACATAGGTGAATATTTTAAAATATTATGCTAAGTGAAAGAAGCCAGACACAAAAGGCCCCATATTATGCAAATCTGTTTATATGATACATCCAGAATTGGTAAATCTGTAGAGATAGAAAGTAGATTAGTGGTTGTCAGAGGGGGTGGGGAGGGTAGGGAATGACTGCCAGTGGGTATGGAGTTGCTTTTTAGGGGTACATGGGAATATTCTGGCATTAAATAGTGCTGAAGGGAGATAGAAATATTCTGAAATGTAATAATGCTGATGGTTGTGATATATTTTAAAAACCCTGAATTGTATACTTTATTTTTTTGAAATGGAGTCTTGCGCTGTCGCTCAGGCTTGAGTGCAGTGGCACCATCTCGGCTCACTGCAACCTTCACCTCCTGGATTCAAGCGATTCTCCTGCCTCAGCCCCTTGAGTAGCTGGGATTACAGGTGTGCACCACCACGCCCGGCTAATTTTTTGTACTTTTTAGTAGGGACAGGGTTTCTCCATGTTGGTCAGGCTGGTCTCGAACTCCTGACCTCAGGCAGTCCTCCTGCCTCGGCCTCCCAAAGTGCTGGGATTATAGGCGTGAGCCACTGTGTCCAGCCTGAATTGTATACTTCAAATGGGTAAATTGCATGGTACATGAAGTATGTCTCAAAAAAGTAATAGTTAATAATGGGTCAGGCCGCACCCACTTGCACTCCTCTGTGATCCTCAGGCTTGGTGACTTTAACGAGGATTTTCCCACCTCCTGCCCTCCTCTTAGGTCAACAAGATACACACCTGTAGGGATGCGTGTTCCATTTGTGCCTGCCCCCACACCCGAATGCCCTTCCTGTCTGTGGAGAAGTTCTCATGTTATGAGTCCAGCCCATCTAAGGCACAGCCAGAGCTCATCCCTACCTCCAGAACCCACCCAGCCGGTGCCTGTGCTTTGTTCATTCAATAGAGCTTCATTTTTCATATTTTTTTATTTATCTGATTTATATTGAGCTCCTCCTCTGGGCTCTACACTGGTTTTCCTTGAAGGCTATTAACAACCTCTGTGCTCATAGTCAAAGAAAGAATTTCTCGGGTGTTAAGCAGAGAGGAGCTGTAACACAGAACCCCTGCTTGGTACCGTTCGCCCACCTTTTGTGGAGGACCCGCTTCAATCTCCGCACACTTTCGTCCGCAGTGCCTCCGCCGGTGGTTGTGTTGAGGACGTCTCCTGTCGGCTCCTGTGCTGTTCATTGCGTTTTCCTTGCAGATTTTTGTTGGTGATTAAGCAAGAGCACATTTATGAAGCGCCCCGTGTAGGGTCCTCTGTTTTATTAATGGAAGGGAATCAGTAAAGCAAGTTCATGTTCCTCCCCACTCTTAGTTTTACCAGAACTGCCACCTCTGCTGGCCAGGGAAAGGGCTGCCAGCTGTCCGCTTTGCCCCTTGGAGTTCAGAGGCTCTTCTGAACGCATGGGTCATGAGGAATGTGATTCTGGGGTTGGGTCTCTGATCCCTGTAACTGGCTGGTGTGACCTGCACCGCTGTGGCCTTGGCAACAATGGTGTCTCTTCAAAGGACTCCTGTCCCGCTGGCTATGCTTTCTGGCCCCTACTCACCCCACAGACAGCCCCAGCTCTCTGCGCTGGAAATCCCTGGCTTCCCAAGTTTTCTGTCCCTTCCCTGGGAAGCCTCAGTCCTTCTGAGTGGGTGGAGGCTGTGCAGGGCATTATTAGGTGACAGGCTTCCTCCTGCCTCTGAGGGCCCTTGGTTGGCTGAAGGTGTCTCGAGGGCATCGGCAGGTGGCTCTCCGGAGGCCGCTAAGTGCTCGGGCCTTCCTGGCCTGTGGCCGATCAAAGCACTGGCTCTTTTCCAAAGTCAAGCTGAAAGACAACTCTCCTTAACACCCCCGCCCCTTCTATAAGCTTCTCCCCCGTGCGTGTGCACACCAGAGGAGTGAGGAAGCCTCTCTCTCCCCATCATGAGAAGCAGGATCCTAAAGGAAAGGGTGCAGCTTTGATGCAAAGGGCCTGGTGTGAATCCTGCAGCTGCTGCTTGAGAATCAGGGTTCTTAACTGCCAGCAACAGAAATGGACTCTGGTCAACTTCAGCAGAACAGCAGGTGCCTGGGAAGGCTATCAGGCAGTTCAAGGAGCCACTCAGAGTCAGGATGGGGGTTCAGGAGGCTCGGCTACTGCCGGACCCAGCTGAGGTCACACCTGGATGCCTCCCGGTTCAGGTACACCCTTGGGGAGCTGCTCTGGGACCTGAGGCTACTTCTGCTCCACTCTTAATCCTGTTGCTGCTGCTACATATTGTTTTCACGGGTCCTTGGTGTCACTGCCGCTGAGCCCCGAGTGGAAACATCCAGGTGGCCAAGATCATGTGCCTGCGTTTTAGTCCACCAAGGACAGTGACAGAGGGGACAGGGAAGCTCTCCCCACAGCCAGTAAACCAGCCGGGACCCACATACCACCACTGCTGCGCACAGGAGGGAAATCGACCCCTCCCGCCGGGCCCCCACCCATGGGAAGGGGCGGAGACTGTGTGACCACACAAAGAAACTGGCAAAGATCTGCTGCTCCCTTTGATTGCAGGTGACCATTTGATCTCCGGGAGCCCTGGCTCCCTCGCTTGGAACAGGAGCCACAGCTGCCGCGTGGGATGATGGTAAGGGTTAAGCCCTCGGAATTTATGTTTAGTGCCTGGCATGATACTTGGCAGGTAGGAAGCTCTCAATTAACGCCCCGTTCTCGAGCTACACTTTGCAGCCCTTGACTGTTCCACTGAGAGCTCGGGGCTTCCTTCTCCAGCGTGCTCCGCGCACACCCCTGCCTCTGAAGGCATCATTATGTGATTATATGGATACATTGTGATTACAGGTTAGCCTTAACCAGGCTTTTATACATTGAGACACTTACAGGCTTGCATTTTAGTTCAGTCTGGAGTGGGCTTTCTGGTACTTTAAAGTGTATCATGAGCCCTCCTTCTTCGTTCTGTGTATTTTCGTCTATACTTAATAGCTGTTCTCTGAGGCCGCATTCTCTGGGTCTGTGGTTGATCTTTTTAATACATGTCAGGAATTACCAGCCCTCCCACTCATGCTACGGGCTCCTTTTATAACTCCTCTTGTGGACTCTGCATTTTGAAAGGTTTTATATGTCAAAATATATACTACTCAGAAATCATTAATTCACTGCTCCTGGACAGTAGGGGAGCCTGGCCAGCCCCGACTCCCAGAGGAACGCACCAAGCACAGTGCCAAGCCCACACTGGATACTCAATAAACATTTTCTTGGCAAATGAGAGAACAAAGAACCTGGGGCCCCAGGATGTTCAATGTCTTAGCCTGAGTGCACAGCTGACAAATGGCAGGGCTGCCAGGTCTGCAGGTCCCCACCTGCCGAGTGTGGGGTCTTCCCACTTCCGACCCTGGTGAGGGCCCTGCACCGGGAGGAGGTTGGATTGGGTGGACTCTGGATGCCTGTGCATGGCCTGGAGTTTTCAGACTTCCAGGCAGGAGGCAGCCCAGGCACACCTCACGCCACGCTAGATTCCACAAAGCCACTGAAACTACCAAAAGGACACACTGGGGTACGCCTACTCCACATCCAGGGGGTCTCCGCAGGGTTTGGTGTGGATCCAACAGTGGAAGGAGGCCAGGAGAGAGCTATAGTCTGACCTTCACCTGCAACCCCAATGGGATGCATGATGAAGAGACACCTCCCTCGGATTCTATCATGCCCCTGGACCCCAGCATGAGGACCCCTCTCCAGGGGAGGGGGCTTAGTGAGTTCATGCATGAAACATGCTGTGAGTGTTGCCACTTGAGGACCTGGCCCTGAGCTCCAGCTTGCTGCTCCCAACCATGGTGGCTGGTGGGGAGCTTTCCTTGGTTGAATTTTATACTCCTCCCATACAGGGGTCCTCATGGGATTCAGTAATGTGTCTGAAGCACTGCATGGAAGAGGCTGTGGGGAGAGAGCTGCCTTGGTGGTGGGTGGTGGCTGCGGCGGTGGTGCTTGGTGGTGGTGGTGGGTAGTGGTGGCGGTGCTTGGTGGTGGTGGTGGTGGTGCTTGGTGCCGGTGGTGGGTGGTGGTGGTGGGTGGTGGTGGTTGTGTGTGGTGGTGGTGCTTGGTGGCGGTGGTGGGTGGTGGCGGTGGTGCTTGGTGGCGGTGGTGGGTGGTGGTGGTTGTGTGTGGTGGTGGTGCTTGGTGGCGGTGGTGGGTGGTGGCGGTGGTGCTTGGTGGCGGTGGTGGGTGGTGGTGGTTGTGTGTGGTGGCGGTGGTGGGTGGTAGTGGTTGTGTGTGTGGTGGTGGTGTTTGGTGGTGGTGGTGAGTGGTGGTGGTGGTGAGTGGTGGTGATGGTGCTTGGTGGCGGTGGTGGGTGGTGGTGGTTGTGTGTGTGGTGGTGGTGTTTGGTGGTGGTGGTGAGTGGTGGTGGTGGTGCTTGGTGGCGGTGGTGGTGGTGCTTGGTGGCGGTGGTGGGTGGTGGTGGTTGTGTGTGGTGGCGGTGGTGGGTGGTGGTGGTTGTGTGTGTGGTGGTGGTGTTTGGTGGTGGTGGTGGGTGGTGGTGATGGTGCTTGGTGGTGGGTGGTGGCGGTGGTGCTTGGTGGCGGTGGTGGGTGGTGGTGGTGGTGCTTGGTGGTGGTGGTGGGTGGTGGTGGGTGTGTGTGTGGTGGTGGTGTTTGGTGGTGGTGGTGAGTGGTGGTGGTGGTGCGTCGTGGTGGTGGCGGCGGTGCTTGATGGAGGTGGCGTGTGGTGGCGGCGATGGATAGTGGTGGTGGTGCTGTGAGAGCAGTGGTTGTTGTGTTGTTTGCAGACTTGAGGGATTCACTGGAGAAAGGTGATTGGGGACCATCTTTCTTCATCTGTGGTAAACTCCGTTGAAAGTTCAAATGACACATTTAGACGTCATTTATTTCAGACTACTGCCAAAGTGACTGAAATAAAAATCCCAGCCACAGCCCGGTCCTCTTGGGGAAGTGGTAAAGTGGAGCAGCAGATTCTGAGAAAAGAAACTAGACAGCGTGATGCATCTATCTCAAGAAATAGCCCTGCCTTCCAGTGACTCCGGGGAACAGCCACATATCGCCTTTGAGAAAAATGGGTTTGAAGTTCTCTGGAAAACCTTCTGCCAGTAAACTGGGAAGGAAGTGAACATTTGTTGATGGGCTGATATGTGCAAGTGATAGGCAGAACATGAGACATGAGGTGTTGGTATCCAGCTGTGTTTGGGGTCTGTGTGTGCACACCCTCCAACTGTGGGCTTATGGTCTGACTGCCTGCACAGAGAGCGGTGCTGGGCCTGAGGCTTCCCTGCAGTTGCACTGTCTGGAGGGTGGGCTCCCGCATGAGGTGGCTGTGTCCCCTGGCACTGTGTGTGGTTCATCAGAGGCAGGAGCACCTGTATCCCTTCTCCTAGGCAGTGGCAGAGTCAAATTTCTGCCCACGGGGCTGGAGGGCAGGGCAGGCTGCAGGACTCGCCGCTCTAGAGTTTCCAACGGACGTTGCCTTCCTGAGAGGCTGTGAGCCTGATGAGAGCCTGTGACACACACACACTCAACAGCACACAGACATACACCTTCACATACACATTCACACATGGATGCACACACAATGACATACACAACGCGCACACAGCACACTCACACGACGGCACACAGACACACCTTCACATACACATTCACGCATGGATGCACACACAATGACATACACAACAAGCACGCAGCACAGTCACACGACGGCACACAGACACCTTCACATACACACACGTTCATCTACGGATGCACACACAACATACACTGACATACATAACACGCACACAATGCACTCACACAACAGCACACATCTTCACATACACATTCACACATGGAGGCACACAACACACACCGACATACACAACATGCACACAGAGCACTCATACAACAGCACACACACACGCACCTTCAGATACGGATGCACACGTGACACATACACTTCACATTCCACACCCCGCTAATGCCTACACTGCAAAGCTTCAATTCTCAAATCAGAGCCTAGAGGCACTGACAGTCACTTTTTCCAAACAGAATGTTCCACATAGAAAGCATTCCCATCATCGTCAGCAATGAATACTAGTTGATCTCTTGCCCGTAAAAGAGAGTATTACTCAACTTTGCACTACTGGACTAACATAAGCACCTTACAGGATTTGAAAGCTTGCGATCACTATGATATTTCATCCTCACAGCGATCCTGTGAACGGTTTAGTAGCAACCTCATTTCAAAGTTGAAGGAACTGAGTCAGAGGGCCAAGGGATGCCTGAGTCCTCACTGGGTGGTGCTGGGAGCCAGGGTGGGAAGCCCACTCCTCTGACTGCACTTCTCCTCCACTGCCCCAGGGACCCCTCCCATAGCCAGGATCTCAGATCATTGAGGGACCCTTTTCTCCCAAACACAGCTCCTCTCCTTGTCTCCCCTCCACCCCTAGTGAAAAGCCAGTCCCCGTGGGGCCAGCAAAGCGGAGGTGTGAGAGCAGGAACCCATGGCCTCATTTTCTTGCTGGTCTCTCCTGCGCCATGATCAGGTGGGCAGTCTTCACTCCAAGTACATTTGTGCAGGGCCAGATTCTCCACCCTGCTTGCTCCCCGCCTGGCACAGAGGGTGTGCTCAGGTGACCCATGCCGTTCTGTACTGGGTTGCGTGGGACAACAGGGAGTGGAGAGGAGGGAAGAGGAATGGGCTAGAGGAAGAAGCCCAGAGCTAGAAAATCAAGCTCCAGCCAATTCCTGGGAGACACAGCACCTTGAGTGAGCTCTGCTAAGAGCACCTGGGTGGGGAAGATTTTCTGGAGCCCCAGGAGAGGTCCAGGAACCATGTCCACAGGCCTCAGAGACTCCCTGGCGGATTCTGCAGGCCCAGTCCTGGATTAGGAGGTTACCGAGAGGCGCAGATTGTTGACAGGCAGACCACTGCTTCAGGGTTTGCATGCTCCGCAAATCCCATTTATTAGCTAATTGGCGCTTGAGAGGTTTCAGGATAAAGAACAGATTGGAAGAAAGGAGGTAACACAGCATAACTGACGCAGAGGAGTTCGTGCGGATTCCTGGCAGGTCCCGTCTGCGACTGTGCAGTTGAAACCCAGAAC
This sequence comes from Homo sapiens, assembly GCF_000001405.40. Taxonomy (NCBI): domain Eukaryota; kingdom Metazoa; phylum Chordata; class Mammalia; order Primates; family Hominidae; genus Homo; species Homo sapiens. The sequence continues at coordinate 139,801,674 of NC_000008.11, read as the reverse complement.
TGTAAAAGCCACAGTGCCTCCTGGCTGGAACAGGAATCCCGGTTGATAACCGTACCCCACCCCCCACTTTCGCATCCCAGCACCCCATTATAGGTTACAGCTCCTGGCATTTTCACTGCCTCTGCTTCACTCACATAACAGTGGACACAGCCAAGGGAAGGGGGGCGGGGCAGGAGCTCCAGCCACCATGCCTCCTTGGGGGCCAGGTGTCCCTCTCCATAGGCATGGGCTCCCTGGGCCCCAGATTCCTGCCACACCCACGCACCACTCACTGGTAAGCCCTGATGCCTGCGGCTTTGCTCCTGGTGAGCACCCTGGCTCAGGAGGTGTCCGGGCTGGGATGCTGGGGTGTGTGGCCCAATGTGAGCAGGAGGCATGAACTATGTCACTTTCAGGAGGATGCATCTAAGCAGGGAGGCCACCAGCCAAGTCTCCCCAGGAAGAGGAAGGCATTGTGTGGTCTGTCCCCACCCTCATTCCTCTGGCACCTCACACTTGTCCCTGTGGAGATACCCATCCTATCAACGGACAGCTGCTGGTGGGAGGGAAGATACAGGAGGGAGGGAAGATACCAGAGGGAGGGAAGATACTGGAGGGAGGGAAGATACTGGAGGGAGGGAAGGTGCCGGAGGGAGGGAAGGTACCGGAGGGAGGGAAGATGCCGGAGGGAGGGAAGGTGCCAGAGCGGGGGAAGATGCCGGAGGGAGGGAAGGTACAGGTACCGGATGGAGGGAAGGTGCCGGAGGGAGGGAAGGTACCGGAGGGAGGGAAGGTACCGGAGGGCGGGAAGATACCAGAGGGAGGGAGATACCGGAGGGAGGGAAGGTACAGGTACCGGACGGAGGGAAGGTGCTGGAGGGAGGGAAGGTAAAGATACCGGACGGAGGGAAGGTGCCGGAGGGAGGGAAGATACCAGAGAGAGGGAAGATACTGGAGGGAGGGAAGAGTGTGGTTTCAGACAGCTCTCCTGGGCTCCAGTCCCTGCCCTGCCATGGACCAGCTCTGGGACCTCAAGCCAGCGACTGAATGTCTTGGAGTCCCGTCTCCATACAGATGAAAAACCTGCCTTCTGGGGCAGTGGTAGTGGCCGCCTCGGGAACAGCTGTCAGTTCCTTCCCGGGAGGGGCACTTGCTCTTTCTGGGAGCTGCACATCTCACTGCCCCTCAGCTTTGGGACAGGCGACCCAGAAAGCAGCTGGTCTTTCCGAATTGTCTTCCTGCCTCTGCACGGACCCACCAGAAACCCTGCTCTTGGCCCCTCAGTGTGGACACGTGTGTCCTCTTCCAACAGCTCAGTCTCACTGGGTCTCTGGGGCACATGCTCCCAGGATGGCAGCTCTGGTCACCCACTTCCCTGGCCCTGTTGGCTGAGTTCTTGGGCCTGACTGCTTCTCAGGCCTTGGCCAGCCACAGAATGCTGTCCTGGCATAGGTGGCTACCACATGTGTAGTCAGCATGGCACAGGTGACAGGTCTCACAGCACCACACAGCACAGCGGGCTGGGGACCTCAGCCAAAGGCGCCCCAGCGGCAGGAGCGCAGTCTGGCCCGTCCAGTACAATGCCCTCTCCGTCTTTTGGCACCTGGCCAGCTGCTAGCAAGCGTAGGTGTTTTGTGGCATCTGTTTGCTGTGCCTTCCATGCGTCTGTGGAATCTGACTGCCTCTGGAGCTAGTCCTGCCCTTTGTCCATCTCCGTGTCTGTCTCAGCTGCTGCCCTCTGGGCCCCGCATCACTTCCCTCTCGTGATTAGTTTCCTTGCCTGTCTTTCCCCATCGGCCTGAGAAGCCCTTGAGGACAGCAGTTCTGTTGTATTTGCCTCAGTGGCCCCATGCTCGGCACAGTGTGGGGCTCTGAAAAGGGGGACGAGCCCCAGCCCGTGGGACTGCAGGGCCTTTCCCAAGGCTGCCCAGCCCCGCTCCTTCCCCTGCCAGGCCGGGGTAGGACATTCTTCCTGTTACTGCTCTAAGAGCTCATGGGAGCTCTTCCGTGCTCCTTGCCCACGGACTGAGTGTGGACAGTTGGAGACAGGGCACGGAATTTTCATGGGGGGTGATGTGGAATTGGGGATACAGGGTCTGATGGAACCCTGTGAGACTGGATAGCAAATGCAGTCTGAGGAAGCCAGACCCTCGTGGGAGCCAGCAGTGGACTGATGGCTTCAGTGGGTGATTCAGAGAGGGTAAGGGCTGGCCCCTCCATGGATGTGGTTTTGGGGATGCCATGTGTCTACAGGGTTATCCTCATCTGCACAAGAAGCAGTGTGGTCAGTGGAAAAATGGCCTCCAAAAGATAGGCATGTCCTCATCTCTGGATCGTGTGCATGTTACCTGATAGTGCAAAAAAGGTTGGGGTGGATCTTTGCAGATGTGATCAAGGAATTCAGGATGGGTGGATTATCCCGGATTACATGGGTGGGCTATGTATTAGTCCATTCTCTCACTGCTATTAGAAAAAAAAAATGATAGGTTTTCTTGCTATCATGAGAACAGTACCAAAAGGGAAGATCTACCCGCAGGATCCTATTACCTCCCACCAGGCCCCACCTCCAGCATTAGGGATTACAAACTCAACATGAGATTTGAGCGGGGACACAGATCCAAACCATCCCAGGCTCTAAACACCATCATCACATGCATTTTTCTAAGAGGGAGATGGGGGATTTTACCCATGGAAGAGTAGGAGGCCACGATTGGAGTGATGTGGTTACAAACCAAGGAATTCCAGTGGCCCCGAAAAGCTTGAGAAAACAGGGAACAGAATCTCCGCCAGAAAAAGTACAGCCCCGCCGACACCTTGACTCGGCCCGGTGGTTCTGATTTCAGACTTCTGGCCTCCAGAACTGTAAGAGAATACATTTCTGTTGTTTTAAGCCCCCAAGTTTGTGGTAATTTGTTATAGCAGGAACTGATGCAAGAGTATTTCTCAGATCTGGTTATGTGTTCCCAGATAAACTCAGGGAAGTGTTGGCTAGGACCCTGAGCTTCAGAAGAGAACCACTGGCATACCAGCTCTTCCCCAGGGGACCGTATTTACGCTCTTGACAGAGCTGACCTCTTTCAAAGCACAGATCCTGAGAAAGCCACACCTTGGGCCACACCCTGTCCAGACCTCCCCAGTGCCCCTGTCTTTGAAAAAACCAAACAAGCAAGCAGTCTCTGGAGCAGTCACAGCCATTGCTCAGGTCCCCGTCTTCTCATCCTGGGTTACACATCAACCCCCTTCTGATTTCAATGTCCCCAGTATCTCCAGAATCTTCTCTTTAGGGTGCTAAAGTAGTATTTCTAAATCACAGCTCTGTTTAAAAGTCTCTATTGCCGTGCAAGATTGGTATACAAAAATCAATTGTGTTTATATACACCAGCAGTGAACAATCCAAACATGATATTAAGAAACTTCCATCTACAATAGCAGCAGAAAAGAATAAAATACTAAAGAGTACATTTAACATAAAAAGAGCATAGCATGTACACTGAAAATTACAAAACATTGTTAAAAGAAATTAAAGACATTTTAAAAAACCCAAATAAATAGACACCCTGTGTTCATGGATTGGAAGACTTAATTTTGTTAAGATGGCAACACTCCTCAAATTGATCCACAGATTCAACACAATCTCTGTCAAAATCCCAGCTGGCTTCTTGGTAGAAAGTGACAAGCTGCTGATCCTAAAATTCATATGGAAATTCAAGGAACTCAGAATAGCAAAAATAATCTTGAAAAAGAAGAACGAAGTTGGACAACTCACACTTCCCAATTTCAAAAGTTACTACAAAGCTGCAATAATCAAGACAATGTGGTGCTGGCATAAGGATGGACGTACAGATCAACAGACTGAAATCGAGTGTCTAGAAACCAACCCTTGCATTTACGGCCAAGCGATTTTCAACAAGGCTGCCAAACAGTTCAATAGAGAAAGAATCAGATTTTCAACAAATGGTGCTTGAATAACCAGAGATCCTTATGCAAAAGAATGAAGTTGATCAAATATCTAACTATGACAGCTAAAACTATAAAACTCTTAGGAGAAAACACAGAATTCTTCCATGGCCTCAATTTGGCAATGGTTTCCTAGGTAGGGCACAAGAAGTGCAAGCAGAAAATAAATAAATAAATATAGCCAGGTGCTGTGGCTCATGGCTGTAATCCCAGCACTGTGGGAGGTTTAGGTAGGCCAATCACCTGAGGTCAGGAGTTTGAGATCAGCCTGGCCAACATGGTGAAACCCTGTCTCTACTAAAAAGTCAAAAATTCCCAGGGCATGATGGCGGGTGCCTGTAATCCCAGCTCTTTGGGAGGCTGAGGCAGGAGAATTGCTTGAACCCGGGAGGCGGAAGTCGCAGTGAGCCAAGATCACGCCACTGCACTCCAGCCTGGGCGACAGACCAAGACTCCATCTCAAAAAAATAAATAAATTGGACTTCATCAAAATTAAAAACATGTGTGTTTCTAAGAACACCACCAAGAAAGTGAAAAGACAACACACCGGATGGATTAAAATATTTGCAAACCATATATCTGATAAGGGACTGGTATCCAGAATATACGAAGACCTCTTTCGACTCAACAGTAAAAAAGACAAATAACCCAATTTAAAAACGGGCAAGGACTTGAATAGAAATTTTTTCAAAGAGCAATATAAATGGCCAAGCAGCCACGAAAAGATGCCAAGCATTATTCATTAGTCATTTGGGAAATGCAAATCAAAACCACAATGAGATACTGCTTTTCACCAGCTAGGATGGCTAGAATCAAAAAGACGGATAGTAACAAGTGTTGCTGAGGATGTGGAGAAACTGGAACCCTCCCACTGCTGGTGGGAATGTAATAGTGCAGCCACTTTGGAAGACAGTCTAGCAGTTCCTCACAAAGTTAAACATAAAGTTACCGTATGACCCAGAACTTCTACTTCTGGATATATACCCAGGAGAATATATGTTCACACAAAAACTTGTACACAAACCTTCATAGCACCGTTGTTCATAATAACCAAAGAGTGAAAATAACACAAATGCTCATCAGCTGCTGAATGGATAAACAAAATGTGGCATAGCCATAACATGGAATATTATTCAGCTCTGAAAAGGAATGAAGTGCTGACACATGCTATAACATGGATGAACCATGAAAACATTATGCTAAGTGAAAAACGCCAGGCACAGAAGGCCACATAGTGTATGATTCCATTTATTTGAAATGTCCAGAATTGACAAATTCGTAGACACATGCATTCAAGGAGTGGTTGCTGGCTGGTGGGGATGGGGAGGCGTCTGATGCATCATTGGATCAGGGTCTCTGGGCGGGAACCAACTACCTACCAGGTAAAGTGAGGTCAGCTCCTCCCCCTTTGCTGGTGAGCCCAGTATCACTGAGTGACCTGCCTAGGCCCTCAGATAGGGCAGAGCAGGGCTCTGCTTAAATGGACTGAGTTATATGAATATGTTTGTGAACAGCGCCGAAGGGAAGCCTCTTAAGCAAAATCACCTCCTCCTCCTCATCCTTCTCCTCCTCCTCCTCCTCTTCCTCCTCCTCTTCCTCCTCCTTCTCCTCTTCCTCCTCCCTCCTCCTCTTCCTCCTCCTCTTCCTCCTCCTTCTCCTCTTCCTCCTCCTCTTCTTCCTCTTCCTCCTCCTTCTCCTCTTCCTCCTCCTCTTCCTCCTCCTCATCCTCCTCTTCCTCCACCAAACCCATTTCATGCTCTTACCAAGGGTGCGAGATTCTTAAAGACAGCAATTTGAGTTTGGCCGCCTTCTCCTGTGTTGTGTTTGTTCAGTGAACGTTCACCGTGGGCTAATGACCCTGTGCATTCACGCACTGGGATCCAGTTCCCTCCGTGTGCCATTTTGAGGATCCATCTCCAGGTGGTAATTGGCTTGTGCGCAGCTGATTTTCTGTCCCAGAGGTCCGCCTCCCACCCCTCACGCTCACTGGCCCAGGAGAGCATCATGACATCAGATTGTTTCCCAACACTTTAATTGCGTACTCTGGGTTTCAGGTTAGTTTGCGGATTATCTTTCAGATAATTGAAAAGGATGCTTTCAGATGCCAAATGATGACTGTAAGTACTCATCAAAGTGTCCGCTTACTGATGACTTCACTTCTCCCCGCCGCCCCCACCCCCTCCCTGCCCAGCTTTGATTACAGATCCTATCAGCTGCATTGCCTAGCAATTAAGCCATGTGTGGCTCAGGGGAAAAGCTGTGTTTGAATCACACAAACACAGGCTGCAAGTGGTGGAAGGGTCCCTGGGGATCATCTGGTCCGACTCATCTCACAGGCAGTGTTCTGAGATCTCTGTGTCCAGGAGAAGTGTGGCATCTTCCCGAAGGGCCCATGGGGAATTAACTGCAAACACGGGATGGCTGCCTGGCTCTCCTGACTTCTCGGCAGTGCGCTTCCTCTCACCGTAATTGTCTGATAAATGGGGTTGTGGGCACAATGCAAACCTTGCAGAGAAGAACAGGCTCTGTGCTGGAGCCAGGACACCTGGGCCCCCGGGCCTTCCCCAGCAGGGCCCATGGGGGACCTGGGCTGGCAGTGAAATCAGTTTTTGTGCCTGCCCGTTGTCTTTGGTCTCCCTTCAAGACCCTGATAAGTTATTTTTTCTTGGGGAGTTGAGAGGCCTAAGCAAGCTAAGGGATGAGAAATAACTGGGACGTAGTAAGTGCTTAATGAATGCTGGTTCTTGTCTTTTTATTCCCTGCGTTCTCCTCACCCCAGGTTTAGGAAAGGAGCTGGATCTGTGTTGGTCCATGGACCTGATGTCAGGTGACTCAGGATGGCACAGCCTCTGCCACGTGAATGGCCTTAAAAGTCCAATGACTTCTGGGCCATCCACTGCTACTTGTGCAGAATGGTAGGCGACTCCCACAGGCTGGCTTGTATGGTTGGATTGCTGTCTTTACTGAGCACTCGTCCTCGCCAGCCCCTCTGAGGATGGCAGGGACCAGCATAGCCTCAGGCACCAAGAACTCCCAGGCAGAAGCACTGGGTCCCCAGCAGTGCTCCTGGAGAGGGAGTGCCAGGAACGGGAGCCAAGAGGATGGCCAGGTCATGGCCCTGCCCTGGGGGAGCACACAGTTGCTGGGCAGGGTTCACACCTGGCTTTCCCTAAGTGTGTCCCTGAAGTGGGCCCAGCGTCTGTTGTGGAAATGCCAGCACCTCAGCTCAACTGAGGCTCCCAGGAGTCCCTGCCTAACGAAACCGCTCCCCTTTGGTAAGCGAGAATGCCTCCATTTGGCCTTGGAGTCCCCTTTTTCTGGCACACCTGTCTATGGACAGCGACATCTGGAAACGGCCTGAGATGGGGTGGTAATTTGAGATGTCTGCAGGCGAGTACCTGAGGTTCAGCTAGAGGACAAGTGCGGGCAGCTTCTGAGGAGGAGAGGAGGCCCTGTTTGACCCCACGGCACATCGTTAGGGGACCACCAAGGTCACAGAGCCAGGCAGGATTCTTGGTGCTGGGACCACAGTGGGAGCCAGGCCTCTGCTCTCAGGAGCTCCTGGGGCAGGTGGCACGGGGCAGGCGTGAGCCGCATGGGTGGGGTCTGCCCAGCGACGCTCAGAGCCATGAAGAACAGCAGAGCAGGGTGGGGGACAGGAGTAGTGGGGCAGGAAGGGGGTCAGCAGGGGAGGCCTCTCCCAAGAGACCTGCAGGGGTGACGGGGAGGAGCCTGTGGCTGAAGCCCCAAGCATGCAGAGGCCGTGTCGGGAGGTGCTGTGGCCAGTGGGGTGGAGCTGGGAGCTCAAGTCGTAGGGATGATGGGAGAGGAGGACATGTGGCCCTGCAGTCCTGGGAGAGACTTTCCATTTTATTTCAAATATCACTCCCTCCTTCATTCCGACTCAGGTTAGTGAGTGAACTGCCCTTTTTCCACTGTCTGGAGCTGCTCAAGTTGGATGTGGATCTGGGTCTCCATGTGGATCTGGGCTGACTTGTGTACCACCCACGGTGTACCGTACCACCTCTCTAAACAGCCACAGCCTCTGAACCCAGGCCACCCCTAGCGACTTCAGCCCTCAGGGAAGCTGTGTCTCCTTCAGCTGAGGCTCCTGAGCTCTGCACTAGGGTGCAGAGATGACTAAGTCTCTATCCAGTCTTCGGCACTCTCAGTCCATGGTGGCACAAACAGGTGACTGTCAGCAACAGTCCAGGCCCCAGGTCAGCGCAAGGCACAGTGGGCTCCCAGGGGCCAGGCGGCAGGTGGCGGGCAGGAGCCTGTGAAGGCTGGAGAAGGTTTCCTTGAAGAAATGCTGCTGGGGTGGAGCCCTGTGGGCTGAACAGGAGTCCCCTGATGAGTGACAGACCTGCAGTCTCCTGCAAAGACTGGCATCAAGTAGTGCAGGGCACACCCATGAGCTGGAGTGGGCACAGCCGGGGTGGGCACTTTGCGTGGATGGAACACACAGGGAAAGGAGTCTGGTTGGGACAGAGGGGTCCTGGAAGAGAAGGCTGCAGAGGAGGGGACAGCCGAGTCCCCTGGTTTAGTCCTGACAGCGACTCCAAGAAGAAATGTAGGCTCCGAGAGATGAAGCACCTTGCCCAGTGCATGCAGCTTAGTAAGTGGCAGAGGCTGGATGTGAGCACAGCATTCCTCCCTGGCAGCTGGGCCGCCTTGGACCCCTGGCTGGGTGCGCATCTCAGTGCAACGCCAGACCCAGCGGATCACTCTGTCCAGGTGGCAAGCTAGTCCTGTGGGCCCCAAGATGCCAGGAGCTGCTCTGTGGAACTGTCCCTGCCACCTGCCAGCTCCGTCCCTTGACAGAAGATGGCCCGTGGAGACCCTGTATTCCTCTTGCTTCCCTGTGAATGATGTTTTTTCCAACTGCTGTTGGTTCTCGTCCCTGCACGAGTAGGATGTAAAGTCTGACTAGATAGCAGCACTATTGCTCCAGGTGGGGTGCAGGCTGAGCCCATCCCTCGCCGGCCGTGGGTCCAGCTCTGCAATGCACTGTGGGGGTCCCAGGCCTGCAGCCCCGGAGCTCCTGCTTCCTTCCTTGTGCAGTGCAGACACCCAGGACTGGTCTTCAGGTGCTGGGTTGGAGTTTTCAGACACAGGGTAGCAGGGCTTCTAGGCTGGTGGCCCTGGCTCCCCAGCCTGGCCCTGGCCTACCCCATCAGCCCCACATCCAGGCGTCTGCCACCAAGTTGCTGCTTCGTTCAGTGGGAACAGTGGGGCATTTGTCTCCCAAGTGCATCTGTGTATGTAAGCGCCCCACAGCACACCATGCCAGGCCCACACGCAGCCAGGCCCACGCACACACGCGCACACGCGTGTGGCACACACAGACTGCTCTTTGGCCTCTGCTCACACTGTTCTCTCTGCCTCTAGGCCTTTCCTGCCTGCTGCCATCTGGATAATTCTTTCCACCCTCAGCATGCCACTTAGGCATGTCCTCCAGAAGCTCTCCTGAGATGGAGAGGTCCCCCTACTCCCCTGGCCACCCCCCATCTCAGGACCTCAAGGGAGACTAAACCTGCTGTCTGAGTGTCTGTCTCCCCAGCAGACAGGAATGGGGGACTGTGCTCTCTACCCCTAGAGCCTCTGTACCAGCACAGGCCTGGAGTCTAGCACAGGGCAAATGTTGACGGGGACAGAAAAAAAGAATAGGCGGCAGGCGGCGGGCAAGAGCCTGTTTTATTTGGGGGAAATCAGGGAGGGCTCCCTGTGGGAGGTGACGTGTGCTGAAAGCTGGGGTATGGACAAGTAGCTCCTGGGAGCCTGACCACGCAGTGATGGTGGAATCCTTGTCGAGGGGCTCCTTCCACACCCCCACCCCACGCGCGCTGCAGAGGGGTGATGGCAGTGCTGAGTCCTGGGTTGCGGAGCCGCATCCCATGCAGAGTGACCTGTGCACTGTCCCTGTCCCTTTGTGTTAGGCAACTGGGGTTCTAATGTGCCAGCAACCACCCAGCTGGGCGAGGACAGAGCCAGGGCTGCCCCTGAGCTGGGCTTGTGACCACCATGCTGCCCTGCCTTGACTGTAGCGCCAATCCATACAACATCCAGGCTAGAAGGGGCACCAGAGCCCAGCGCCTGGGCTTACGGGCAAAGCAGTGCAGGGGAGACGGGCGCCTGTGTGAGTGTGTGTGTGTGTCTGTGCAGGGGAGATGGGCGCCTGTGTGAGTGAGTGCAGGAGAGACGAGTGCCTGTGTGAGTGTGTGTGTGAGTCTGTGGGCAGGGGAGATGGGTGCCTGTGTGAGTCTGTGCACGGGAGACGGGTACCCGTGAGTCTGTGCACAGGAGACACACCTGTGTGAGTGTGTGTGTGAGTCTGTGCAGTGGAGACGGGTACCTGTGTGAGTGTGTGCAGGGGAGATGAGCGCCTGTGTGAGTGTGAGCGTGTGTGTGTCTGTGCAGGGGAGACGGGCGCCTGTGTGAGAGTCTGTGCAGGGGAGACGGGCGCCTGTGTGTGTGAGTCTGCGTGTTAGAGTGCGAGTGTGTCTGGGCTGCCACAGTTGCCCGAAGCTGGCCAGCTGGCAGCATGACAGGGACCGTCCCTGAGGATCTGCGACCCTGTTCTCACCAGCGTGGCTTGTGCACTCCCCTGGGAGCCCCGTGCCTTCCTTCATTGCTGTCAAGGAATACCTGAGGCTGGGTGGCTTATAAAGAAAGGAGGGTGAATTGGCTCGTGGTTCTGCAGGCTGTCCAGGAAGCATGGCAGTATCTTCTTGGCTTCTGGGGAGGCCTCAGGGAGCTTTGACTCATGGCAGAAGGTAGAGCGGGCACAATAGAGAAGGAGGAGGAAGTTGCCACACTCTCCTAAACAATCAGACCTCTCGAGAAATCACTCACTATCGCAAGGACAGCACCAAGGGCACTGGTGCTAACCATTTATGAGAAATCCACCCCTACATCGAGTCACCTTACACCAGGCCCCACCTCCAATGCTGGGGATTGGATTTCACCATGAGATTTGGTGGAGACAAACATCCAACCATAACCACTCTCCACCTGGACAGACGGACATTTGGGGCCCATCATCCTGTGCCGTGGGGCTGTCCTGTGCATTGTCAGACGTGCAGCGGCGTCCATGCTCTCTACCCACTGAATGCCGGTAGCACCCACTCCACCAGATGTGACAACCAGCAATGTCTCCAGGCTCCGCCAAGTGTCTCCCCAGGGGCAGGACCACCCCTGGTGAGAACCCCAACCCCTTGGATTGCAGTCAGTGCCCAGAGCCTGCCTCTCAGGGCAGAGATGGAGGCCTGCCTTCCCCTGTGAGCACCGGCTGTGGTCTCCGAACCCCATACCCCACGCTTGTCCGTGCCCCTACCATGGCACCTCTTGCTGAAGAACAAAGCGCTCCCCGGTCTCTTTCATTCTCAGCGCACAGTTTCTGAAACTCTAGGTGGTGGGCTCGGAACTTCTGAATGTGATTAGTGGAGCTGAGCTCTCTGCGTCAGCGGCAGCAGAGCACTTGAGTTCCTGTTCAAACAGGGCTAAACTTATCTTTCGGAAAATAGGCTGTTTTTGAGGCCTAATCATAGGCATTAAAGCCATTAATTAGTAATAAGATTCAATTTCCCAGTGTCCTTGCCCGTGTGTGTGTCCTGATGTAGAGATTGTGCTGCGAGCATGTTCCGCAGATGCATGGACAGACACCTGCTGTTCCCGCTCAGCAGCGACGCGGCGTCATGTTCCCCAGCCCGGCCAGGCCCCAAATAACCCCATTACTGAGAAGGATGATCCACACCAAATGTCCTTCCCCTGGGTCGGGAGGGACGCACCGGGACGGGAGCCCGAGAAGGCTGTGGGTAGGGCCCGCCTTCATCAGAGCACCGCCTTCAAATGCTGCACTGAGGCCGGCCTACAGAAGGGATGTACCGGTCCTGGAGTTGAGGTCTCTGCTCAGTAAGACCGCCATTTGGTCCTCCCTCGATCACATGATTCTCTCGGTTTTCCTAACCACCTCCCTCCTACCTGGCCTTCCCCTGGGACCCACACAGGCTTCCGGCGTCACAGGTGTACTTACCCTTCATCCCAGCACAGGGCACTCGGGAGCAAAGAGCCAGGAACATGTGGACGGCCGGAAGAGGGAGGTCTGGGTGTCCCCCCAGCACTGTTGACCACACAGGTTGGGTGCCAGGTTACATGAGCAGATGCCCAAAAATGCTGGGCCCATAGGAAGCTCTCAGAGAGGCACTCGCCCCTCCCTGTGTTAAAGTGTGGCTCAGGAGGTCTGAGATGTAGATATCCTGGGGGGGGATGAGGCCACATCTAAACAGGCATGTGAAGCTGGGTCAGGCGATGCTGCTGTGATAACCACACACAGCCACACACCGAGGGGCAGCGTGCACACCCTTCGACCACATCCCTGTGGCTCCCAGCAGGCCTGAGGAGTGGGCAGGGAAGACCATGGAATCCTCAGTTTCCATCTCACAACCCAACCACGCAGCTCCCCTCAAGGCAGCACCAGAGCTTGGTGCGGGCCCGGGACCCTAGACACCTGGCTGTGTGCTTCCGAGGCAGGCGTGGGTCTCCCGCCCGCCGGGCAGGCCGTGGGCTGCAGCAGATGAGTGTGAGCCAGTGCCAAAGTGAATGGAGCACTTTCCCACACAAGAGCTCCAGACTGACATTTCTGGTGCATTTTGGATAATTTATGATGTTTAGATGAGCGTGCATGCTGATTTTAGCTGTACCGTGTTCTTAGCCTCCCATAATTTGTTTGCATCTTCATGGATAGAATGTTTCTCAGAAAGAATTCAGTGTTTTGTTTTTGGCTTTTTCAAAACAAAATGCTCCCCACGTGGGCTTTTCTTTTAAAACTTTGGTCTGACCTGCAGAAGGTTGGCAACAGGGCCCCTGTGCTGGCCCTCAATATCTTGTTTTGTTTCTGAAAGCCCCCCACCACACCTCTTGTGAAGGCAGCTGGCCCAGGGTGTTGTGTGATTTGTGGGTCACAGTGAGTTGACTTTGTGTCAAGGGAGGGCTGTGGACCTTGTGCTCAGCCTGCGCCCACGAAGGCAGGCGTGATGGTAACTCGACTCTGCGTGGCCGTCAGGAGGGAGGTGGGAGAACAAAGCGTGTGCCCAGGGCCAGCATCTCACACGGGGGCGGGGGTGGGTACCGTTCTTCATGGGCTGTCGTGGAGTGGCCACGGACCTCCATGCCAGGGTCTGCTGGCACTGCCTGAGCAGCTGCCATGCCCCAGGACCATGGGCCGCCCGATGGCTGGCTGTGCCTGGAGGGTGCTGGCACCAGGAAGGGCCAGGCTGGGATCCTCCGCAGCTCCCGCTCTCCCTCCCCAGCAGCCGCCATCCTTGCCCTGCCTGATAGTTAACAGTTTTGACAGGCCAGGCTATTTTTAGAAACCTGTTCCCACTCCTTTTCCCTGTGGGAAAAAGGAAAGCAAGTTAAATTTTAAAATTAATCCACCACCCTTCCCCTCCTCCAACATACACTGACACACACATTAGCCACCCAGGACCTGAAGCTCAGCAGAGTCCTGGGCCACAGGAGGGGCTGCCCTGCCAGGCGCCAAGAGGGGCATGTGGGTTTTTGATCTGGGAGGCGGTCCTGTGGGACTTAGGGTGTTGTCATCATTGTCCCCAGCAGAAACCAGTGCAGTGGGGAAGTGGCTTCTGGGCTGAAGCCTGGTTGGAATTCGGGTTCCTAGTTCTGAGTCCATGCCCTTTGTAGTACCATGGTTGGCAGTGGTGGAGGACGCCACAGGGTCAGATGCCCGCGGTGGGGTTCCTAGTCTCACTTCCCACAACCCCGTGCCTTGCAAAGCTCTTTCATGCCCCCACCCGATTTGGTCCTGACAGTAGCCCTGGAAGACAGGCCCAATCAAGATTTTCACCCAGGACACATCTGGAGGCCTGGCGATGAAATCAAAATTGCTCAAAGCCACACCCCTGGGAGCCGTCTTCCTGTGGGGTCTGGTGAGCACCCAGTGGTCTCTAGACAGAAACACACCCAGGTGCTCATTGGCAGGTAGCACCGACCCCGGACAGGGACGTTGAAAAACAGTGGTGTTAGCTTGAACAATAAATTTAAAGTGAAAGTTAATAGTCGCCAGTTTTTAACTATTAACCTAATAACCATGTAGAAAGAAATTCTGTGTATATCAGCGTCCTTAGCTTGGTTCATTTACATTTAAGCTTTCGGTGAGGCCTTTTTCCATATTAGGCTTTGAAAGCGTCTGCAGGGTCGGGGCAGAAGGGAGGACAGAGCCAGGCAGGCCCGGTTCCCACCTTCCCTTGGCTCTGCCCCTGCCCGGCAGGGAGATTTTAGGGAAGGTGTCATCTCTTTGAACCCCAGGTCCTCATCCTTAAAGGGTGGCGACAGCAACCCCTGCTCCCAAGGCTGCAGTGAGGATGAAAGAGTCATGACTGTACAGTGGGTCCAGCCACATCTGCCCCCCACCCCTCCCCGCTCAGGCTACAAGAGTCATAAAGCAGCTCAGTTGCCTCTGAACGAGATTTTTCCTCCTCAAATTCAAATCAAGCAGTGACTGGCCATTCCCGCAGGCTGTGACTGTGCTGGGTGGCCACACTCACTCACGCCCGTCAGCTCGCTGTGTTTTCATAAGAAAGGCAAGGACTTACTGGGTGCTGGTAGTAATAGAAGTGATTGTTGGTGTGCCATGACTGACTCAGTCTCTGAATTTTTTTAACAGCTTTGTTGTAGTCTTACTGACACACAATAAATGAAACATATTTAACATGTATCATTTGGTGTGTTCTGAAGCATACACACCCGTGAAACCGTCACCACCACCAAGATTGGACGGAGTGCGTTCATCTCTCCCAAGCTCCCTCCTGCTCCTTTCTGACCCTCCCTGACACCTTCCCCTCCGATCACTGACCCGTTTTCTGTCACTGTAGGTGAGGTTGCACTTTCTAGAGTTTTAAATAAATGGATTCCCACACTGTTTTTTTAACTGGCTTTGTTCATGCAGTGTGATTCAGGTATGTTTTTGCATGTCCCGGTAGCTCTTTTGTTCTGCTGAGTAGTATTCCACTGTATGCATATACCATAACAGTTCTGATCCACTCACTTGATAGACACTTGGCTTGCTTCCAGTTTGTGGCTTATTACAAATGTAAAGCAGCTAAGACCATTTGTGTAAAAGACTTTGTGTGGACGTGTGCTTTCATTTATTTGGAGTAACTGCCTAGGAGTAGAATTGCTAGGTCAGGTGGTAGTTGTATTTTTTTTTTTTTAAGAAGCTTCCAAACTGTTCTACAAAGTGGTTGTGCCATTTTACATGCCCACTGGCAGTGCACGAGAGTTCCAGTTCCTCCGCCTCCCCACCGCACTTGATGTGGTCGGTCATTTTCACCCTAGGCCCTCTAACGGATTAGTGAATTCGCGTCTCGCTGTGGTTTTGATTTGCATCTCCCTACTGACTCACGGTGTTAAGTACCTTATATGCTTACCTGCCATCTATGTTGTCTTCCTTAGGAGGGCGTCTATCAACTCTTTTGCCTATTATTTTACTGGGTTTATTTGTTTGTTTGTTTGAGACAGAGTCTCGCTCTGTCACCCAGGCTGGAGTGCGGTGGCGCGATCTTGGCTCACTGCAACCTCTGCCTCCCAGGTTCAAGTGATTCTCCCACCTCAGCCTCCAGAGTAGCTGGAATTACAGG
This sequence comes from Homo sapiens, assembly GCF_000001405.40. NCBI lineage: Eukaryota > Metazoa > Chordata > Mammalia > Primates > Hominidae > Homo > Homo sapiens. Next base: position 139,786,081 of record NC_000008.11, on the reverse strand, counting down.
CGCCCGCCACCACACCCAGCTAATTTTTTGTATTTTTAATAGAGACGGGGTTTCACCATGTTGGCCAGGCTGGTCTCGAACTCCTGACCTCAGGTGATCCGCTGCCTCAGCCTCCGAAAGTGCTGGGATTACAGGTGTGAACCACTGCACCTGGCCTTGAGTTATTTTCTTATTAGTAACATTTGAGAGTGCTTCATATATTGTGTATATAAGTCCTTCATAAAATTGATGATTTGCAAGTACATATTCCCTATCTGTAACTTGTCTTTTCATTCTCTTAATAGTGTCTTTTGAGATCAGGAATGTTTAAGTCTAGTTGATCAAGGTTTTCCTTTTTTTTTCTTCTTTTTTTTTAGATGGAGTCTTGCTCTGTTGCCCAGGCTGGAGTGCAGTGGTATAATCTCAGCTCACTGCAACCTCCACCTCACGGGTTCAAGCGATTCATGTGCCTCAGCCTCCCGAGTAGCTGGTACTGCAGGTGCCCGCCACCACACCCAGCTAATTGTGTGTGTGTGTGTGTGTGTGTGTGTGTGTGTGTGTGTGTTTAGTAGAGATGAGGTTTCACCATGTTGGCCAGGCTAGTCTTGAACTCCTGGCCTCACGCGATCCACTCGCTTCAGCCACCCAAAGTGCTGGGATTACAGGTGTGAGCCACCCTGCCAGGCCAAGGTTTTCTTTTAAGGCATGTGCTTTTGGTGTCGTATCTAAGAAATCTTGGCCTAACTCAAAATCACAAAGAGTTTCTCCCACATGTTCTTTCAGGAGTTTTATAGTATTAGATTCTACATTTGGGCCTCTGATTCATTTTGAGTTAATTTTTTACAGAATACAACGTAGGGACTGAAGTTCATTTTAGCGAGTGTGTATTCAGTTGTTCCAGCCTCATTTGTTGAAAAGACAGTCTTTTCTTGACTGAATTGCCTTTGCATATTTGTCAAACATCATTTGTCCGTATATGTGCAGATCTATTTCTGGACTATTTATTCTGTTTTAATTATCTGCTTGTCTGTCTTGAAACTAATACCACGCAGTCTTAATTATTGCTGTTGTGCGAAAACTCCTAAAGTCAGGTAATATTTTGGCCATTCTAGGTCTTTTGTATTTCCATATGAATCTTCTCATCAGTTTGCCACTTTCTATTTTTTTTAAGGCCTGCTGGAATTTTAATTGGAATGATGTTGAATACGTAGATCAATCTGGGGAGAACTGACATCTTTGTATTGAGTTTTCCTAACCAGGATCAAGGTATATCTCTTCATTTTTTTGAGCCGTCTATAATTTCTGTAAATATTTTGTGGATTTCCACATACCAGTCTCACACGCCTTCTGTCAGATTCAGCCCTAAGTATTTCATATTCTTTATGCTATTGTAAATAGTATTTTTTAAGTTTTGATTTCCAATTGCTTATTGTTACTATATGGAAATGCAGTTGATTTATATATATATATATATATATATATATATATATATATGTCAGTCTTTTATTTATTTATTTATTTATTTATTTGACATGGAGTCTCTCTCCGTTGCCCAGGCTGGAGTGCAATGGCGCGATCTCTGCTCACTGCAACCTCAGCCTCCTGGGTTCAGGCCATTCTGCTGCCTCAGCCCCCTGAGTGGCCGGGATTACAGGTGCCCGCCACCATACCCAGCTGATTTTTGAATTTTTAGTAGAGATGGGGTTTCACCATGTTGGCCAGGCTGGTCTCGAACTCCTGACCTGAGGTGATCCACCTGCCTTGGCCTCCCAAAGTTCTGGGATTATAGGCGTGAGCCACTGCGCTGGGCCTATATGTTGATCTTATAGCCTAAAACCTTACTAAGCCTACTTATTCTAGTGGCTGTTTTTAAAGATTCCACTGGATTTCCTACAAAGTCAATCATGTCATCTGAGGATAAAGACAATTTTAATTCTTTTCCAAACTAATGCATTTTATTTTTTCTTTGCCTAGTACTTCCAGTGCAGTGTTGAATAGAAATGCTGAGAATAAGAAATTTTCTGATCTGAAGGGGAAAGCATGGGGTCTTTTACCCTTAAGTATGATGTCTGTGGATTTTCAGAGATGGCCTTGATCAAGTGGAGGCACCTCTCTCCTGTCCTGGCTTGCTGAGAGTTTTTACATTTTCAATCAGGAATGAATGTTGTGTAGTGTCACACACTTTTTCTGCAACCATTAAGATGATCATATGGTTTCTCTTTTTTTATTTGTTAATATGGTGAATTACGTTGATTGATTTTCAAATGCTAAACCAACCTTGCATTCCTAAGATGATCTTCAGTTGGTAATGATATTATGTTTTCATATATGTTGGATTCAGTATCCTAAAAAACCTTGTAAGAATGTTTTAATCTATGTTTATAAGGGATATTTGTAGTTCTTTTGTAACATTCCTGTCTTGGTTTGGCATCAGGATAATGCTGGACTCAGAAGATGAGTTGGAAAATATTCCCTCTGATTTTCTGGAAGAGTTTGTGTCTTTCTTCAATGTTTGGTAGAATCTGCTAGTAAAATAATCGGGACCTGAAGTTTCTTTGTGGATGTTGACTATGAATTCAACTTCTTTTGTAGGTATATTAAAGAATATTCTGATTAGCTGTTTCTTCTTTAGTGAACTTTGGTAGTATGTGTCTTTCAATGAAATTATCCATTTTATCTATGTTGTCAAATGAAATGAAGCTTTTCAGAATATTTCCTTATTTTCTTTTCAATATTTAGAGAACCTACAGTGATGTCATCTCTTTTATCGTGATATTGATAATTTCTGTCTTCCTTCCTTTCCTGATCAGTTTGGCTAGAGATTTATAGATTCTGTTGAGCTTCTCTAAGAACCAGCTTTTGGTTTCATTGATTTTTTTTCTATTGATTTTCTGTTTGTTATTTCATTGATTTCCATTTTGCTGTTCATCCTTTTCTTTTCTTTCTTTGCATTTAGTTTGTTCTTCTATTCCTGATTTATAAAGTGGAAGACGAAATCATAAATTTGAGTTTTTTTCTAATAGGTGATTTGTGCTATGAATTTCCTTGTAAGCATTGCTTTAGTGATGGCTCGCAGATTTTGATATGTTATACTTTCATTTTTATTCAGTTTGAAATAATTCTTAATTTCTCACTTAATTTCTTCTTTGACCTGAGGGTTATTTGGAAGTGTGTTGTTCAGTTTCTAAAGATTTGGGAATTTTCCATGTATTTTTCTGTTAGTGATTGCTAATTTAATTTCATTGTTGTCAGGGAACATCCATTGTATGACTTGAATCCTTTTAAACTTCTAGTCAAGAATATGGTCTATATTGATAAATACTCAATGTTCACTTGATATAATTTATATTCTACTATTTTCAAGCAGGATGTTCTGTAAATATTGATTAGAACAAGTTGTCTGACAATGTCATTTCAGTCTTTTATGCCCTGGCTGATTTTCTATTTGCTGGTATCGATCATTGAAACAAGATATTCAGTTGCCCACCTACCATAGCAGATTTGTCTGTTACCAATCAGCTCCATTAGATTTTACTTAACGAATTTTGGAGCTCTGTTATTACGTATGTAATTTAGGATTCTTATGTATTTTTTGAGGAATTGACCCCTTTATACTTATGAAATGGCATTTATAACTTTATAATATCAATTGCTATGATGTTAATATAGCCAATATAACCTTCTTTACATTTGTATTAACATGATATACCTTTTTCCCCCCTTTTCTGGGAGCGGGGCCCCTGTGGCCAGGCTAGAGTGCAGTGGCACGATCTCTGCTCACTGCAACCTCCACTTCCTGGGTTCAACTGATTCTCCTACTTTAGCCTCCTGAATAGCTGGGACTACAGGTGCATGCCACCACGCCTGGCTAATTTTTATATTTTTAGTAGAGTCAGGGTTTCACCATGTTGGCCAGGCTAGTCTCAAACTCCTGACCTCAAGTGATCTGCCTGCCTCGGCCTCCCAAAGTACTGGGATTTCAGGCATGAGCCACCACACCTGGCCCCTTTTTCCATACTTTAAATTTTAACCTATTTATTTTTTTACACTTAAAGTACATTTTTTGTAAGTGCTTGCTTTTCTTTATCCTGAAAATCTTTGCCTTTTATTGGGTGCGTCTGCATTTAGTTCATTTACATTTAATGTGATTATTAATATACTTAGGTTTAAGTATATCATCTTCTGTTTGTTTTCTGCCTTCCCCAACTGTTCTTTGTTCTATTTTTCTCTTTTCCTGACTTGTTTTGGATTCACTGAGTACTTTTATGATTCCATTATTTTTATACACTATTTCTAGAGCAGTTTTAGGTTCACAGCAAAATCGAGTAGAAAGTACAGAGTTCCCATATACCCCTCCCTCCCACCGCACACACAGGCACACACACAAACACACACAGCCTTTCAAACTCTCAACATCCCACACTAGAGTGGTACATTTGTTATAATCAATGAACCTACATTAACACATCAATATCAACCGAAGTTCAGTTTTCACTAAGGTTCACTCTTGGCATTGTACATTCTATGCGTTTGAATAAATGTCTAATGACATGTATCCACTATTAGAGTATCATACAGAATAGGTGTATTGCCCTAAATGTCCTCTATTCTCTGCCTGTTTATCCTTCTTTGTACCCTAACCCCTATTGTTTGGCCTTTTCTAGAATGTCATATAGTTGGAATTATACAGTGTGTAGCTTTTTCATATTGGCTTCATTTACGTAGTAATACACATTTATGTTTCCTTCATATTTTTTCATGGCTTGATAGCTCATTTCTTTTTGGTGCTACTATTTCATTGTCTATAAGTACAGTTTATCCATTCACCTACTGAAGGTTGCTTGGTTGCTACCAAGTTTTGGCAATTATGAATAAAACTTCTCTAAACATCCACATGTAGGTTTTTGTGTAGACATAAATTTTCAACTCATTTGGGTAAATACCGAGAAGTGTGACTGCTAGATTATACTAGTAAGAGTATTTCAGTTTTGTCATAAATCAACAAACTCTCTTCCAAAGTGGCTGTACCATTTTGCTTTCCCATCAGCAATGACTGAGTTCCTGTTGCTGCACAGCCTTGTCAGCATTTGGTATTGTCAGTGTTTTAGATTCTAATAAGCATATAGTGGTATCTCATCATTATTTTAATTTACAATTTCTTATTGACGTATGATGTTTAGCATCTTTTTATATGTTTATTTGCCTTTTTTTCCCTCTTTTTTGTTGAAATGTCTGTTCACCTCTTTGGCCCATTTTTAAATCAGATTGTTTGTTTTCTTATCATTGGGATTTTGGAGTTCTTCGTATATTTTGGATAACAGTCTTTTGCCAAATAAATCTTTGAATATATTTGCTACGGCTTGTCTTCTCATTCTCTTGGTGGTGTCTTTAACAGAGCAGAAGCTTTAAATTGTAATGAAGTCCAGCTTACCAGTTCTTTCTTTCACTGATTCTACCTTTGGTGTTGTATGTAAAATGGCATTGCCATACCCAAGGTTATCTAGATTTCCTCCTGTGTTATCTTCTAGGAGCTTTATAGTTTTGCATTTTGCATTTAGTTCTGCAATCCATTTTGAGCTAATTCTTTGTGAAGGGCATAAAGTCTATGTCTAGATTAATTTCTTTGTATGTGGATGTCCAGTTGTTCCAGCACCATTTGTTTAAAAGGCTATATTTTCTCTGTTTTAGTGCCTTTCTTCCTTTGTCAGAGTTTATGATACAGACATGAGTGTATTTCTGAACTCTCTGTTCTGTTCCCGTGATCTGTTTGTTTCTGTTCTGGTCCATTGATCTATTTCTTTCACCAATACCACATTGTCTTCATTACTGTAGCTTTATAGCAAGGCTTAACATAGGGTAGTGTCAGTGCTATGACTTTGTTCTTCTCCTTCAATATTGTGTTAGTTATTCTGGATCTTTTACCTCTCCATATAAACTTTAGAATCAGTTTTTCAATGTCCACGGTTGGATTATGGTTGGTATTGCATTAAATCTATAGATAATCAACTTAAGAAGAACTGACATCTTGACAATATTGAGTCTTTCTACCCATGAACATAGAATAGTTCTTCATTTATTTAGTTCTTATTTGATTTTCTCTCATCAGAGTTTTGTAGTTTTCCTCGTGTAGCTCTTGTACATGTTTTGTTAGATTTATAGCACAGTATTTCATTTTGGGGATGCTAGTGATATTATGTTTTTACTTTCAAATTTGACTTGTTCATTGCTGGTATATAGGAAAGCGATTGACTTTTGTATATTAACCTTGTGTCCTGCATCCTTCTAATTATTGCTCTTCACTCCAGGAGGGTTTTTTTTGTCAATTCTTTTAGATTTTCTAATAGACAACCATGTCATCTATGAACAAAGATAGTTGATCTCCTTCATTGGCTTATTAGCTATAACTCTTTTATTATCTTAGTGGTTGCATTTGAGGTTTAGAATATACATCTTTGACTTATAGTCTGTCATGAAGTGACATTATACATCTTCGTGTATACTGTAAGAACCTTATTATAATGTAGTTGCAATCCTCCCTATGGGCTTTAATACTATTGTCGTCATACGTTTTATTTATACATACATTATAAGCCCCACAGGACTTTATTATTATTGTAAAGAGATTTCAAGAAGAAAATCTTATGTATTTACTCATGTAGTTACCATTTCCTGTGCCTTCATTTCTTTTTATTAATCCATGTTTCCATATGGTGCTATTTTCTTTATGCTTAAAAGACTTTGTTTAAACAGTTCTGATAATGCGAGTCTGCTGCTGCTGAATGCCTTCTGCTTTTGTATTTCTGAAAAATTCTTTGTTTCACCTTAGTTTTTGAAAGAGTTGGTTTTTTGCTGGGTTCAGAATTCTAGGTTAACAGTTCTCTGCCCTGCCCACCCCGCACTTAAAGATGTTGTCCCCTGTCACTTCTCTTACATTGTTTGTGATATGAAATTGGCTGTCATTCTTATCTTCATTCCTCTGTATACAACATGTCTCTCTTTTCTGTCTAATTTTGATATTCTTGTCACTGGTTTTGAGCAGTACTTATTAGGTTGGTGCAAAAGTAGTTGCAGTTTTTGCCATTACTTTTAATGGCAAATTAAAAGTAATGGCAAAAACATTTTACAATATAGTGTGCCTTGGTGTAGTTTACATTATGTGTCTTGTGCTTTGGATTTGTGTAGCTTCTTGGATCTTTAAGTTTATAGTTTTTATGGATTTGGGGAAAATTTTGACCATTATTTTTTAAATTATTTTTCCTGTCTCCCTCCACTCTCTTCTCCTTCAGAGGTCTCCAGTTACAGCTGTGTTCAGCAACTTGAAATTGTCTCAGAGCTTACCAGTGTTTTCTTTTAATAAAATTTTTTTGTCTGTGTGTTTCATTTTGGATAGTTTGTATAGCTGTGTCTTCAAATTCACTATTTTTAATTCTGCAAGGTCTAATCTGTTAACTCCATCCTTTTTGTTTTTATCTGAGATGTTATATATTTCATTGACATAAGTTCAGTCTGGATCATTTTTGTATCTTCTATGTCATTAAATTTTTGAACAAATAGAATACAGTTATGATAACTGTTTTAATGTCCTCACTGCTAATTCTAACATTTATGTCAGTTCTGGGCCTGTTTTGATTGGTTGTTTTTACTCCTCATTGTGAGTCATATTTTTCTGTTTCTTTGCATGCCTGGTAATCTTTCATTGGGTGCCAGACATTATAAATTTTGTCTTGTTGGGTGCTGGCTATAAATATCTTTGAGATGCTAAGATACAGTTAAATTACTCAGAAACAGTTATATCCTTTTGGGTTTTGCTTTTAAGATTTTTTTTAGGCAGGAACAGAGCAGTGTTTAGTCTAGGACTAATTATTCCCCACTACTAATGCAAGAGCTAAATGTGCTACCTAATGCCTTATGAATTCTGATGGGTGTGTGTGTGTGTGTTTGACTGATGGGAACAGGCACTATTCCTCGCTCTGTGTGAGCATCAGGCACATTTTCCTGTAACTTCTCAAGTGTTTCTTGCCCTTAGCCTTGGGTACTTTCAGTGTCTTGCTGAATCCGTAAGGGAACCCCCCACCGATCTCTATAGGTTTTTTTTTCTCTCTCTCTCCCTTCCTTCCCCGTCAGCTGCAGCTCTCTTGTCTCCTTTCCAGTATTCTGTCCTGTAAACTCTAGCTGCATTCACCTTCCTAGACTCTCAGTTCCAGCTCCTCAACTCACAGTCTTTAGGGGTGCCCCTGAGGTCCCCACTCCCTGTGCTGTCACAATGAGCTGGGATGATTCTAGGGCTCACTTCATTTGTGTCTTTTCTCTCTCTGTTCTTTGTTCCCTAATGGCCAGTGTCTTGGAAACCATTGTTTCATGTATTTTGTCTGTTTTATTGTTTTATGTTGTTTGTTCCAGGCGGAGGGTAAATCTATCCTTGTTACTCCGTCTTGACTGGAAGCAGAAGCCTCATTCATTCTGAATGTTTTGATAAGATTTTGTTTCACCAACATACACGTTATGTAAGAAGTCTCATGGCCAGGATGAATACACGATCTAGAATTCTTTATTGTCAAGGAGGAAATCTTTCCTTCATTCATTTGCTCATTCAGGAAATGTTGACCTCGCCTCTACAAGGCCTCGCCTCTACAATGCCCTACAAAGCATTAGGTTGCACATTTAGCCCTTGCATTAGGAGATAACACAGTGAGTAAACAGGCACGCTCTGTTCCCTCTGGGGCTTATTTGGAGCCAGACCTAAGGAGTTTTAACAACTCTCATGGGTAAACTTTAGAAAAATGAAGCTCTCTATCCTTCATTCAGCAAACATTTACTAAGCACCCAGCATCTGTCAGACCCTGCTCAGCCCTGTCCCTAAGGAGCATGTGGTCTAACCAAGGTAGGTGGTGCAGAAGTACTTCCTGCTAAATGCTGAAATGGAAATCCATAGGAAAGGGGACTGTGTTTAATTTTGACCATGCGGTAGAGAAAACACTTCCTGGAGAAGGTGGCAGTTGAACTGACTCTTGAAAGATGATCAGAGCAGGAGGCCATGGAAGGTGAAGGACCTTGGTGGTGTGTGTGAAGAGTGGAAGGGCCTAGTGTGGCTGGAACCTCAGTGTTTGGGGCTAGTTCAAGAATGACTCTGCAGGGGTTACAGGCAAGCTGGGAACTGGCACACAGGAGCTACAGAGGGTGCAAGGCACAGCCCCCACGTCATCAATTGGTGGTTTAGGCGAAAGTAACCATGTTGTCATTTTATAGTAAGTCACAGGCGCAATGGACTTTGGCTTTTATTGCCTCAGAATCATTTTTGTTTTCCCTGAGGAACTTCTTATGCAGTCGTTTCCCAGGTAAGATTTATCATTCCTTTTGTTAGCTGGGGAGCCTGTCCTACACCAAGCTCTTGAAGCCAGCACACATGTGCCTTTCTGTGTGTGTGTGCGCACACACACACAGACACACACGTGCACACAGGCAGATGACGGGACCAAAGCTCCAGAGGCTCCGAGCCATGTGGCGGAGTCCAGGTTCAGAACACAGCTGCGAATGAGGCCTGGGTGGTCAGCTGTGCCTTCCTAATTAGGCAGTCGCTATTGCGATGAAGCTCCCGTTTGCCGAATGGGTTGAGATGCATCACCTGTGTAAACAAGCGACGCTAACCCCTGGGTGATGAGCATGTGTCTTCACCCTGGTGCCACCCCATCCTTCCCAATTCGTTGTGACCTCTCTTTGGGTCACGGAGGACAAACCGATCAATACTATGTTGTGACGAGTGAGATGACGTCACATAGCAGCTGACGTCCCCTGTTTGGGCCTGTTGGCTTTGCCTGGAGTGGCTGAGTTCATCTGTGCGCTGAGTCATCTGACTGGGAGGCTGCAGCCTGGCGTCCCTGTGCAGGAGGCCTGCAGGATGGAAGGAACCCTGTCGGGGAGCCCAGAGACTGAGGCTGGGTCCCAAGCCCCCATGACTAGCACGTGGTCCTGGCAGAGTCCAGCCTCGTCCTCTTGTCCTCAGGAAGGAGGTTGGTCAGGGTTGGTGGCTATTGCTCAAGACCTCTGAAGGTGCCTGGTGAGAGGAGGAAGACAGCTCAGAGCCAGAAGCAACAGAAGCTGGGAGGCTGGCCCAGGGGCTGCCTTGCTTGTCAGATGCATGGCCCAGAGACACTCTCTGGAGTGGACCTGCCTTGGGTGTGCCCGAAGGCGGAGTTGACTCTCATCTGTGGAAATGGACGAGGGCATTTCCAGGCACACGGCACTTTGAGGCCCAGGTACTGGGCAGGAAGGACAGATGGCCACAGAGAGCCAAGCACTTCATCTTGACCATGGCCAGGCAGGCCTCCGAAGGCTCCAGAATTTGGGCTTCACCTTGTAGGGCAACACGAAAAGAGGGAAGTGGCCAGCTAGGGGGATGTCGGGGTGGCCCCAGCCTGCCAGACTCACAGCCTGGGCTCTGGGCTCACACCTGGTGAGGCCAGGCCATATCTATGGGGGAAACCAGGCTGGCCTCAGATGTCCTCGGGACTCAGCCCTGGGCTGCCGCCGTGCCCCCAGTTAGCCCACACCCTTCCCCTGGAGATGTGGCCTCGGCCCCTTGACTTCCCAGCGCCCCAGAAAAGCGGTCAGTGATTTCTAGCTGAGAACAACACGCTCTGGGCCCAGCCCAGGCCAAAGGCCTTTTCTTAAGCATTTCTGGGAAAAGCAAATTTATCAGCCTGTGCAAAGGGAAAATGTTTACAGGAATGGAAGACACAAAGGGAATGAATAATCAGGGCTCGGCTCGGTCTCCAGAGACCAATATTCTCATCTAGTTTGCTTTTATTAGAGAAGCAAGCAAAGAGAACTCACCCTGTGACTGGGAGTCAGCCCCTCAGAGCTTCCGGACTGGCAGGCGGGAAGGGGCTGAGGTCCTCCCACCTGTTGTGGACATGGCCCTGTGAGCCCCTGGGTGGATGTGAGTCTGTGCAGAGGCCCAGGGTTCCCCAGAGTCCCGCCCAGTCAGGGCTAGGTGCCCCACAGACCCGGACAGCCCCAAGGATGCTTCCTGGGCCCACTCTGGCCCTTAGACATTCTTGGGGACCAGAGCCCCTTTGGACCCCTTAGTGGCAGCCTGTGCCCCACTATCTGGTTAAGCATTGCATGAGGCGACATGATACCATCCGGGCGTTCTGCTCAGGTTCTTGTTCCTGGGACTTGAAGACTTTGCTGTTGATGCTGTGTGTTCTCTGTCCCCCTCCGGGCACTCCCAAAAGTGTGTGACATCGACAGGGATTAGGGCTGGGCCAGAAGAGCAAGGTTGGTTCCTAGCTCTGCCCCTTACCTGTCCACTGGAGAGATTCTGCTCCCTTGCCAAGTCTTCCTATCCTCATCAGGAAATGACAATTTCAATAATTAATGATAATAAGACTCAGCTCAGCCTTGCCAGGAGAAGCCCTCGTTCCTCCGGGAAATGTTGTGGAGCACCTGCTCCTGGCCATGTGCTGCTTCTGGTCCTGGGGAGGCCGAGGAAACATCGCACTGTGCTAAGGCAGGTGAGCCAGGGAGGGAGGACGCGGCACAGCTGCTGTCGCTGGCGGTCAGCGGGAAGGGGGTCTCTCCAGGCAGTGATGCTTGTGAGTGGACAGTGAAGGTCATGGGGATGAGTTTGTGTTGGGGGAGGAGATAAAGCTGCCCCAGGGTGTGCACACATGCACTCACACACAGACACACACTTGCACGCACCCGTGCAGACACACGCACACCCAGCCCTTCCTGAGGCTGGCCAGCCCACCGCGCCCCCAGTCCCAGCCTCCATCCTCCGGTTTCTCCTGAGCCCCTTCCAGAGCCTTCCACCTGTCCCTACTCGGTGTCACCACCCACAGTCTCTTCTCACAGGGCAGCCCGAGTGGCCTGTGATCCATAAATCCATCTATGACCCTCTGCTCAGCCCATGCCGACTTCTGTCTCACTCAGGGCAGGCGTGGGAGCTTCGTGGGGCCTCCTCCTTCTTGCCGCCCCAGTGGCCTTCGCCCGCGTCCATGTGGCCTGGGGAGCTTGTCTCTCTCCCACTGCGCTCTCAGCAGCCTGCAGCTCCAGCCTTCCCCAGGCTCCTGGTCCAGCTCAGCACCGTGCTCCTCTCTCCCCTCGCAGCCGGCCTGGCTTTCCTTCGTAGGGTCGACCGCTGTCCCACGTGGGAGATGATGTTTGGATGTTTTCTGACTTCTCCACTGAACATGCGTGCCGTGAAAACAGGCACTTTGTCTTCCTATGTTATTTATTTTTAGACATTTTAATTTTCTTTCTAGAAGGGTGCCTGGCACATAGGAAGAGCTGAATTGAGAGTCGCTGGATGAATGAATGCATGGTTGATTGGTTGGTCGGTTTCAGGCAAAGGTTCCGCACACACAGAGGACTACAGAGGTGGCTGATGGGTGGTTTTGCTGCCGGCTGGAGTGAGCGGGTGGTGAGGGACTTTGAGGCAGGTGGCAGATGCCTGGGAGCCAGGGTGGGGGCTGTGGGGAAGGTGCAGGCTGGCGTGGGGCATGGGAGTGATGGTGTGGTGAGCAGGAAGCAGCTGTCACTGTCCAGCTCAGCCTAGCGACCCAGCTGTCCCAACGACCTCTGAGGTCCGTCCACCGGGGAGGACTCACCCCATCATCGCCTCCATTTCCCTTCGGGGCAGTCGCCTGTTCAGGCTGCTGATTCCCCCACCCAGTGCCGTCTGCTGCACTGCCTGCTCCCAGGGAGGCTTTCAGGACAAACTCCAGGAATGTAGCCGGGGCCTCTGGCAGCCGTTGGGAACTTTGTCTTCATTTGTGTTCATTTTAGTGATCCCACTGGTGCTAAATACTCTCTAGCATTCACTTTGGATTTTCGTTGAAACCTGTTAGAGCCATCGGCACGAGGAGGGACAGAGGCAGAGACCTGGGCGCGCCAGGCGTCCTGCTGGGTGACTAACCCCACACAGCCCTACCTGCTGGGTAGGTGCAGCCACGTGACTCCCGAGGCAGCCAGTGCTCCTTCAGAGGCGTGGTCCTGCCACGGGACCCACAGCCACTGCGAGGTGGCCCAGGGCACAAACTGTGGGCCTCCTGGAGGGGTGCCTCACTGGGGCTTTAGGCTGGAAAGGAACACAGTGACCTCAGCCTCCAGCCTCACCTGCTTCATGAAGCTGCTCTGCAGGGATTCACTTTGCATTCACTTTGCAAATGTCGGCAGCATTGGTTTCTTCTGAGGCCTCACTCCTTGGCCTGTAGACGGCTGCCTTCTTCCTGTGTCTTCCCTCTGTGTGTGTCTGTTTTAATCTCCTCTTATAATGACACCAGTCCGAGAGGATTGGGCCCATCTTGGGCCTCATTTTACTTTGTATGTCTAAGGTATTGTACTGGGCTTTAGGGCTTCAACATGGGAATTTTTGGAGTCACAATTCAGCCCCTAACACTAGGTGTCGTATATGTTAGTAGACATTTAATAGAGCTGCACAAAGATTAGAATAAAAGTGAGCTATGAGCTCTGCGTTTAGATAACCCCTGGGCTCAGCTGTGGCCCTGGGAATTTTATGTGTAGCCGACTCCAGGCAAGGCAGTGGGGGTGGCCATGTGCACCCCGAAGGCAGACGCCTGGGGAGCTCACAGGCAGAGTGTGGGACTTCTCAGGATCCCAGGAGCGTGGGCTGGGATGGTGGCCATGGCGATGGCTAGAGTGAAGGAGTTTGGGGACTGTCAGATGAGTCCCTGATGAGGCCCCAGCCCCCATCTCCTCATCTGTAAAATGGGATAATACTCTCCCCTCACTGGGTTCCCATGAGGTGATGTGAAATGACCTCTTTGTAGCACCAGGCACCAGTGGGGCACTCAGTCTGGGCCTCTCCCTCTGCCCTGCACGGGCCTGTAGGGCCACAGGCACAGACCTGTGCATCAGTGGGTTCACCTGGAGCATATTCATGCGTGTAAGCACATGTGCACACGTGTGGGCCGTTTGGCTTAATGATCACCTTCCATGTGGATCCCAGGTGATGTGAGAAGCAGGTTATCTGTAGGCCTCAGAGGTTGGCGGGCTAGATAGATAGCCCTCAGCAGCATGTGGTAGCCAGTGCCCCATCCATCCTCCACACCAGGCCGCAGCATAATTAAGTCTCCATTAAAGGGGCTGTCACTGTGAGCTCAGATATCTCCCTTCTCAACAAACCTAGCCACCCAGATCCATGCTGGGCGGAGACTTCTCCCTGTTCCCTCTCTCGGCAAGCCAGGAGGGCTGTGGGCACTGAGTCAGGCTCCTGTGTTGTGTCCTAGAGACACACCTGACCCTAAAGGCCGAGGGTGCCTGGCCTGGCCAGGAGAGCTGCAGGAGCAGGTTTGGGTCAGCCCAGCCTGGCGGCTCTGGGGTCTGCGCTGTCTGCACACACAGGCTTCAATCACTGACGCGCAGATTCTACTTCCACTTGTCACAAATATCCGTGTGGTCCTCAGCGCCTACCACTCGTGTGGGGTCTGCTGCCACTCCCCTCTGTGAAAGTCACTTCAGATGATCAGCAGTGGTCCTCCTGGCTGCACTGTCCTACGCTTCCATGACCTGGCCAGAGCTCAGCTTTCTCTCCTGCATGTTTTTTATTTCAAAACCTACCCCAAGGCCCCTATTTCAGAAGAGCTGGCCAGGGTTGCAGGCTTCAGAGGCATGGATGAGTAGTGCCTAGACACTCTGGGTTCACATGGACCCCTGGCTTCAACTGGCATACACTGTGTTTCTACACATGGGATCCGGCGTCCTGGGCAGGGCTTCATGATTGGCTAGAAATGAGTGACAGGAGGCGCCAGGACTGATGCCAGGTTTCTTCTGAGAGTGCTGGGCGGCACCGTTCTCTGAGATGGGACTTTGCAGAAGGAGCAAATGTGGCAGATAGATGATGCGTTAAGTTTCAAAAGAGATGAGTTTGGGGCCCTAGAGTTTTCTGGGAGCCAGTCTAGCACCAGGACTGGAGGTGGCTGGGAAGGAGGAGTTCCCTGCCCTGCAGGTGCACAAAGGATCTGAGCTCCCCCTTTCAGCTCCCAAGCAGGCAGAGGCATGCTCAAGGGCTGACCACACAGCAAGTTCAGTGTCTCCAGCATGTTGGCGTCCCTGGGGGTACACTTTCTAGACCAGTTCCTCTACCCAACCCTCTTCTCCACTTGTCCAGGGACTCCTGCGGGAGGGTCCCAGAAGCCCAGACGCATCAGGAGAGGCGTGGTGACTCTTCCCTACGCCCGCCAGGCCCGGGCAGGGCCAGCCTTTGTTCAAGGTCTCTGGTGGTGGGACTGTCCTCAGCTGCCTTCCTGCACTACTGTCTTCTGGAATTTTCCTCCTGCCTGCTGGGGTCCAGGTTGTTGAACTTGTTTTCCCCACCACGCTAAGGGCTCAGTCCATCTCTGTGAGGCCTCTCCTTTTCCATTTTTAAGTCATTGAATTTCTTACTGTTTCTCATTAGTGATGTCCCCCAGCTCTGTGGCCTCAGGAAAAGAGCATCTGCCATGGTTTCCTCCCTCCTAGAGCACCAGACGCTGGCTGAGCTGTCCACTGGGAGCTCTCAGTTGAGGCACTGTTTGCGCAGTTTCACGATGTCACAGAGCTGGAGAATGATGGGGCCCCGTGGGGACCCAGGCCCATCTCGCCAAAGCAGCTCCCTGTGGAACCTTTGTGAACCCGTGCCTGGAGAACTTCACTAAGATGACACTCCCATTGTGAATCCCTAAAGCCTCAGACACCAAAGCCTTCCCCGCTCTGCAAAGGAGCAAAACATGGAAAGAAATGTGAGTCTCAAAATGCGGGGAGCCACGGTGAGGACCGGCTTCCGGGAGCCAGGGCTTCTTCAGGTCGAGGTCCCAGCCCAGCATACAAGGTCGGGAGGTGGCAGCAGAACCTCTCTCCGGGGCGTCTGGGCTCCATTGTCACCACTGCCCTCTGAGCCAGGCTGCCAGGAGTAACGGGCTGGCAGCGCTGTGGGTGCCTTAGGAAATGAAGGGTCCTGAAGAGACCTGCAGTGCAGATGGGAGACCAGCACTCGGGATTGGGCTTTCGCTGGTGTCTGCCCAGGGTGGCCAGGGTCTTCCAGGCCAGCGCAGTCAGTGTGGCCCACAGGGCCTGGCCCACCACTGGCGGGTGGCAAAACCTGCCTGCCCCGTGCCCCCAGTTCCCTGCCTTCCCTGGGGAGTTGCAGGAGCTAGGGTCACAAGTGTCATATTCACTGCTGTGGCTCCAGGGTCCAGCACCCGGCAGGCACCAGATCCTAGATGCTGAGTAAATGACCACTTCCTTTATGTATTTCTTCTTCTTTTTAAGCATGTTTTAAACAATTTGTACAAATCAGTATAAAAGTAATTCATGCTCTACCTAAAATTTAGTGAATATTAGTTCTTCCACTCATTTTCTCTGACCTATGAGATCTAGGTTACTGCTTATTTTAAGCCTTTGGATCATTACTATTCAATCTTATTTTTATTCTTCACTTTATTTTTGTTTGTATTCTGTGTTTGCATTTGCTTCTTTCTAAAAGTATCTGGAAGTGCAGCAGTCCTCCCTTATCCTCGGTTTTGCTTTCCTTGGTTTCAGTGACCCTCGTTCAACCATAGATTGAAAATGTGAAATGGAAAATTCCAGAAATAAACAATTCGTAGGTTTTAAATTGTGCAGTGCTCAGAGTAGCATGGTGACATCTTGCCCGTCATGCCCTGCATCTCCCTTTGTCCAGTGAATCCACGCTGTGCACATTCCCCACCCTGAGCCACCTAGGAGGTGTCTGCCGTCAGATCAGCTGCTGTGTTGTAGTGCTGGCATTCAGTCACTCTTATTTTACTCAATTGTTCTTTTGTGTTATTAGTTAATATTGTAAGTCTCTCACTATGCCTAATACATAAGTTAAACTTTATCATAGGTATGTATGTCGAGGAAAAAACATAGTGTATATAGGGTTCAGTACTATCTGAGGTTTCAGCCGTCCACTGGGGGTCTTGGAACCTGCCCCCGAGGATAACAGGGTTACTGTAGTAGTTTTTCTAACAAAGCACTACAGACTGTGTGGCTTAGACAACAAAAAGTTATTTCTGACAGTTGTGGAGTCTCGAAATTCATAGAAATTCAAGGTCAAGATGTCGGCAGCACTGGTTTCTTCTGAGGCCTCGCTCCTTGGCCTGTAGACGACTGCCTTCTTCCTGTGTCTTCCCTCTGTGTGTGTCTGTTTTAATCTCCTCTTATAATGACACCAGTCCGAGAGGATTGGGCCCATCTTGGGCCTCATTTTACTTTGTATGTCTTTGAAGGCCCTGTCTCTAAATACATTCCCCCCCGAGGTATTGTACTGGGCTTTAGGGCTTCAACATGGGAATTTTTGGAGTCACGATTCAGCCCCTAACACTAGGTGTCACGTATGTTAGTAGACATTTAATAGAGCTGTACAAAGATTAGAATAAAAGTGAGCTATGAGCTCTGTGTTTAGATAACCCCTGTTGATGAATTAAAATGAAAACGGAAGTCATGCTCATTGTAGAAAACTAACAATTGGAGGTGAACACAAAGAAGAAATGGACTATTACCAGAAATCCCACCATCCAGAGATGGTGACCACTAACAGATAGGTATGCAGCTTTCTAGATGATTTTCCAGGTACATATTTTATTCAAAATTAGACATCACTGAAAATATGGCCAGGGTCTTCCAGGCCAGCGCAGTCGGTGTGGCCCGCAGGGCCTGGCCCACCACTGGTGGGTGGCAAAACCTGCCTGCCCCGTGCCCCCAGTTCCCTGACTGCCCAGGGAACTGCAGGAGCTAGGGTCACAGCTGTCATATTCACTGCTGTGGCTCCAGGGTCCAGCACCTGGGAGGCACCAGATCCTCAATGCTGAGTAAATGACTGCCTCCTTTATGTATTTCTTCTATGCTTTTACTTAATATGTAAAACTATGCTTTTACTTAATATGTTCCATGCCAAATCTACATGTAAATTATGATTTTTAATGGCTACATAGTATTCCTTTATGCAAATGTTCCAGAAAGTATTTAGCCCATCCCCCCATATTTTTGGACTATAGGGAGTTTTTAGTTTCTCAGTGTTACAATACTGCCCATATTATAAATCTGGCCATATTAATAATGTTGTATTATAAATCTGCCCATATTAACAATGTGAATAGACCCTGAGTCAAAGGGTCTGTATATTTTTCAAGGCTGTTTGCTACTTGTGAGGTTGCCCTCCATAAATATTACAGCTTTTAGACTCTAATCAGCCATGTATGAAAATATCCATTTCCCTTGACTCTTGCCAGCAATAGCTTTTATTTTCCTTAAAAATCTATGCCAGTCTACTAGGCCAAAAAGAATTGTGCTACAGTCTCTCAGCCTGCATTCTTTGATTACTGGAGAGGCCTGGCGCCTTGCCACGTGCTCATCAGTGGCTGGCGTTTCTTCTTTGATGAAGTGCTTGTCCTGCTTGTTATTTCCACTTCTCTGTGCAGAATCTGGGCCTGGCCAGAGGGGCTACTTGGTGCAGCTCAAGCCCAAGCCTCTACCTCTGCACCTTGGTTCATCTGTTCCCTCCATCTGGAATCTTCTCTCCCTCCCCCTTCCACCCCCACATGCACCTGCCAGCATGTTCCTCCTGGATCCGTCTCACCCAGCATTGGAGGCCTTTCACTCCCTCCCACTTTGTCTGGGACGGAGCCCTCGTGAGGACGGGATGCTGCCCTCGTGAGGATGGGATGCTCTGTGGGACAGCCATCCTGTTGGTGTCAGAAGAAACGGATCCTCCTTCTCTGGTAGCAGTTTGCATTTTCTACCCGTGTTGATGAACTTAGCTCACTTCAGAAAACACAGGCAGAGTGGGAAAAGCAAGGCTTTGGAGGCGCACAGACTTGGCTCACATCTGTGCTGTACCCTGTCTAGCTGTGTGATGTGGGCTAGTCCCTACGCCTCTCAGAGGATGCCTTATTTGTTATATAAGAAATAGTAATTCCTGCCTCGCCAGGTCTCCACTAAATCAGATGATGTGTAAAGCACCTGGAGCCATGTGGTAGCTGACACGTGGCCTTGTCATCATCAGGGTCCTCGTTGGCGTCCTCAGCAGGCATAGCAGGGGGCACAGTCCAGGGGGCATGGTCCAGCAACTGCCAGCCGGGCCCTGTGCCAGGGCCGCACTCCAGGGGCTCACAGTCATGTGGTGGGCACAGACATGCAGGTGAGGACGCAAGAGAGCATATGATAAGTGCTGTAGCCACAGGTCTGCGGGACGCACAAGACAGCAATTCCCTCAGGAGAACAGGGATGATTCCCAAAGGATGTGACATTCCGTTGGCTTGGGCCTTGAAGAAAGTGTTCTTAGGAGGAGCCAGGCGGGGAGCTCTTGTGGGCAGAGGGCTGAGCCTGAGACCGATCTGTTGTCTCCCTCCAGTGAGTGACCTCAGGAGCGGGGACCTTAATGATAGAAACTGTGTGTTGAGCACCTTGCATGGAAGGGCTGCTGAGTCCCCACGTGATGCCGGTTAGGTCGTTATCAATGAGGAGGAGCACCTGGGGCCGCGTGTGCACTCCCAGGTCCTGATCTGAACACAGGTCTGATTCCAGAGCCCCTGGTGCAGAAGTCAGTACATATTTATTGAAGGACTTAGACAGAGCCACAACTTGCATTTGGGGAATCAGTTGTGACATTTTAGAGGCAACCTGGGGAGAGAGGCTCCCAGAGCACAGCCACTGTGCCAACTGTTGAGGTAGGAGGATCATGATGGGCACAGGGAGGCCAGGCCCAGCCTGGGGGCATTACTGCAGCATGAGGGGCCACAGGGGTGTGGAGCCAACTGTGGATGGCCAGACCCCAGTACGGGAGCAGAGACACTCCCTGGCCTGCCCCCTCCTTTTACAGATGGGCTGAGCCTGAGCAGGTGGCAGACACGCCCAAGGACACGCATCCCGTCAGGGCTGGCAGAGCTGGTGAGGGAGCCTGAGGCTGTCAGAACTCCTCTTTCTTTCCATCTCTGCGCCCTAGTGTTTGGGGCCAAGGGGATTTGACAGGTTCCCTGAGGCCTTGGAATAAAGAAAGCAAAACATTTCACTGTTGGATTACTTTGCACTTTAGCTGTTGCATCTATGGAAATTACACAGTGATGATGTTTGTGCTGGTAGCCCTTTGAGAGATAAAGCTTCAGGGCCACACCTGCGCCCTTCAAGGCAGCCCCAGCAGCGTGAGGTCAGATGGGGGAGAAGCCTACCTACGTGTGCCACCAGCTCACCGCCCTGGCACAGACCCCGGCTGGGGATGAAGTGTGCCCTGTGCCAGGCTGGGTGATCCAAATTCAGTTGTGGGAAAGAGCTCTCCTGGGTTATACCTCGGAGGCAGACTGGCACAGGCTTGGCATTTCAAGAGCACACATCTGTGTGTCCACTCCTATGGTTGTTCCTGCCTCTGCCCCCAGACCCTCACCTCCGTACCCCACACAGGGTCCTCTGGCAGCCTTCTGGGAATCCCAGCCCCTGTCCTTCATCAAGGGCCTCTGGAGCCTGCCACCACTTCACCTGCCCAGCCCCTTGATGGGGGTTCTGACCTGAAACCAAGAAAAGCCCTCCCTTCCTTGCCTATTTCTAAACTGTTCTTCCCTTAACTCTAATCCTCTTGCCCTCATCTCTCCTCCCACCCACGGCCACCCTGTCCTTTAAGATATTGGCTACTAACCTTCTGGAGCCTCAGAGCATTTTGATGATTGGATGAAAGCTTTGGACTATTTGTCTAGGAAAACGCAAACCCACACATGTCCACACAATAGTGCTGTCCCTCGAGGGCGTCAGTGACCCTGTAGCTGGGGGAGCTTTAGGAATCCCATTCAGTGGGGTCTTCTTGACCTCAGCCTGGCTTTTCCTCCCTTCTCCTACCAGAACTTGGGCAGTTACCCAGGTCCTGTGGTGAGGTCCGCCTCTGAGCGATGGGATGGAGAACAAACGAACCAACTGGAGAGAGTGTGTTTGGGGGGACCAGGCAGCAGCCCCACCCTTGGGTGCATCTGTGGGTGCTCGTTCCAGCCTGAGCAGGTGTTCAGTGGATCCTCATGCAGGAACCCAAGCGTTGGCTTGGAGAGACTGGCAAGAAGGTGACGGAGTGTCTCCTTTAGAATGAATTGTCTTATGTGGCCTGAAGACCTACTGTGCCCTGGGATGATGGAGACGATGGTAGGAGAGAAGGCAGAGTGTCTAGATAAGTATTGCAGAGAGACAGGAGTGCGGTTCTGGGACGAGAACCGAGTACTTGCTGCCACGTTTCAGTGTCTTCTTCACTCCTTGTATGCTTCTTTCCCCAACACATCTGCAGACTGGATGCACCGGACCGTGGTGGGGAGTGGGCAGCTCAGGGGTAGGGGTCACCTCCTCTAGCCGGTCGCCTCACTGATCCAGATCCAGCTGTCTTCCTACACATGCCCTACGTACACACCAGGACAGGGACGCCTCCAACTTGGGGTTTCCGGTCATTAAGTGTGGAGCCTGGTGTGTCCTTGTGAACACAGGCATGCTCTGAAAAGTGAACTGAGGCCACAGTAAGACAGGCCACAGGGGGCAGAACCACCTCAGCTGAACCCGTGTCTCACTCAGTGCTGGGAAAGCCATTCTGCCGGCACTAGAGGGGAATGAATTATTGTGCCTGCATTTTAAGCATGTCCTGGATGATGGTTGATGGCCTTTCCATGGCTTCATAGGTGATCCCTCTGGGACACAGCTTTGCAGCCCTGCCCTGCTCCCTGGTCTTTCTTTCTGGACTGCTTCAGGTTCTTCAGCAAAGATGTTGTGGCATCTCCTATCACAAAATGCCACCATCTCCTGTGATCCACGTCCTCCTGCAGCCACCCCATTTCACTGCCCCTGCTACAGCCACACGGACTCCAAGGTGCCACCTCTGCTCATTCCTCCTCTCCTTCTCCCCTAGCTCTCTCGAGCACACCCACCCCAGGCTGCAGCTCCCACCACTCCATCCAGACAGTGGATGTGTCACTGTGGCCTCCATGCCAACACAGTCCCCACACCTGTGCCCTCACCGTACTTGCCATCACTGATAGCTCCCTCCTCCCAAGGCCCTTCTTCACTTGGCTTCTGAGACACCGTTCTCCCTGGGGTCACAACCCCCCATCGGCAGACCTACCGTGTATCTAATGAGCACTTCCACCTTCACAAGGCCAAGATCAAATGCTCGATACTGCTAACCTCCCGAGTCCTAGTCCTCCTCGGTGTCCCCAGTTGTCAACGGGCAGTTCTTCTGGCTGCTGAGGCCCAACACCTGACCCCTTCCACACTATGCCTGCTCCATCACTGGCCTGCTGGAACATGGCCTGACCTGACCACTTCTTAGCTTGTACAGCTTCGACCTGGTCTGAGCCACTCCTCGTCTCCCCTGACCCACGTGGCAGCCTCCAGCTCCCTTTATCCTGTCCCCGCTTACCAGCACCTGAATGATCGACGTGTGTGTGCACGCGTGCGTGCATGTGTGTGCATGTGCCTGTGTGCACATGTGTGCACGTGTGTGTGTGTGTGTGTGTTTATGTGCATGTGTGCTTGTTTGTTTTCTGGTTTCTTCTACCAGAAGGAAGAGACTGGAAGCCATGGGCGTTGTTTTGTTTGTAGAACCTGGCACAGTGCCTAGCACGTGGTGACTGCTCAGTGAATATTTGCTATGAGTGAAGGAGGGAGGGAGGGAGGGGACTAACATGTCCCCACGGGAGAGGGGCTGTAGCTTCCATCAGATTTTCAAAGTTCCCCATGACTCAATAAGGAATTAGTTTTCTAGATAAATCCATGGGTCTTTTTCATTCATTCCAAAGGCGAGGCCTTCCTGTAGTCATAGTGAAAGATCATGAGCTTTATATTCGCCAGAGCCACGTTTTAATCCCCACACTCCTCTGTGGTTTTAACCAAATGGCTTACCCTCTCAGCGCCTTGTTCTTTTTCCTCTATAAAGCCTGGCTTCCAGAGTTATTAGGAAGACAAAAATGAGTCGCTTGG
The DNA here is from genome assembly GCF_000001405.40 of Homo sapiens. Taxonomy (NCBI): domain Eukaryota; kingdom Metazoa; phylum Chordata; class Mammalia; order Primates; family Hominidae; genus Homo; species Homo sapiens. Next base: position 139,763,146 of record NC_000008.11, on the reverse strand, counting down.
AAAATGCCTATTGCTGTATCTAGCACCTGGTTAGTGCTAAATTAAGGCCCTCTGGGGGAATTATTCCTGTTCAATCACAGAATGAAGAAGGCTTCAGCCAGTCCATAGCAGAGACCCGTACCCCACTTCCAGGAAGCCAGGGTGAGCACTGGCCCTGCCCCGGCTGCAGCTGCAGCCTCATTCTCAGACCCGGTGCAGGGCATGTGCAGTGGCTGCCCTGGACTGCGCTGCTCCACCTCCCATCACCAGGCAACTGAGACTGGGAACTTGGTCCTCATGTTCCTTTCTGGGTGCGTGGTGGGCAACTCAGAGGCAGAATGAGAGGCTGAAGGTCCCGCAGCTGAGACCTGAGACAGCTGCTTGGGGCTCTCCCTTCCCAGGTGCCCTCCGCACCTTGGCCATCTGTTTCCTGGGCACATGTATACTCTAGGGGAGAAGAGGGCAGTGGAGAGGATTAAATTACAGTCGTGCACCACATGCCATTTCAGTCAGTGGTGGACCGCATGTGTGACGGTGATCCCGTGAGATTATAATTCCTTATTTTTACCATACCTTTTCTGTGTCTAGATGTTTGGGTAATACACAAATACTTACCATTGTGTTGCCGTTGTCTACAGCGTTCAGTACAGTCACACGCTGTACAGGTTTATAGCCTAGAAGCAATGGGCTCCACCACACGGCCTCGGTGTGTAGAGGCTTGACCTCCAGGCTCGTGTGAGTGCCCTCTGTGATGTTCACACTAGGACAAATCGCCTAATGACGCATTTCTCAGAACCTATCCGCAGTGTTAAGCTGTGCGTGACTGTATTTAAGAGAACAGACTGTTTTAAAGCACCGTGATTTGCATACTAGTTCTTAATATGCTAATTACACATCATTCTTTGGGTTCTCAGAAGCAGCACTTCAGGACACTTTTGCAGTGGGCCGCTCTGCTTGCGTTAGAGGTACTCCAGGGGTCTTCCTCAGCCCAAATGCAGGCTGCTGAAAGCTGGCCTTCTCCCACTCCTCCAATGAGCATGTGGCAGGCCCTCACTCGGGCTGCAGGGCTGGGTGGCTCAGAGGGCTGTCCTGGGTCCCAGGAAGGAGCAGAGCATCCTTGGGCCTGGGAGCCCAGACAGGGCCGGGTTATAGAGGGACACCTATAGATCCAGGCACGGCTTTGCCTGTACAAGTGTAAAAGAAACAATCTGTTTCTCTCTGTCAAGAATCTTCTTCTGAACTGAGCACCAGAGCATAAACAAGGGGGAGTCAGGGGAGACAAGCAGAAGAAGCAGATGCACACGTGCAGGCAGCCAGGCGTGGTGTGGGAGGGCTTGGAGTTGAGAAATACGCAGGGTGTGGCGTCAGGCCTAGAGAGTGGTCCTGCCCCGTGACAGGACAGCAGAACGGGGCGGGCCTGGGTTCAGGGCTTGGGCCACTGTCCAGTGGGCCGTCCCTGAGGGGGGTGACCCAGCACCTGGAGCCAGGAAGTGGAGGATGGGGCAAGGTCATCAAGTTTGCTGTGTTGACAGCACGCCACGAGCATGACACCTGGCGGAGCTGTGCTGAGGGGTTGGGTCCCAGGTCTGTGGTCAGAATGCGGGGTCATAGTACCAGGCAGGGTGTGGGGTTGGGAGGAGGAGGTGGGCAAGCCAGCACCAGGGCTGGGAGCAGGGAACTGGCGCACACCGCATCATCACTTTCCCGCCCAGAACTCTAAGGGGCCCGGGAAGTCTACATTTTAACTCGGCCTTCTTGGTCGCTACAAAGGTAAATTTGCCAGGAGGATTAAACAAGCTTCATGTCCGGCTGTGAGCTTGATTGGTAACTTCTGAAGATTCAGACGTCGATCTAATGTGGCAGGTGGGTCCACACCTGTGCTCTTGCCCTGCACCCTATAAATGGTGTGTCTGGGCCCAGTTGGTCTCTGTTTCTCCCCCAGCCTTTACCAACAGGTCCCCCAGCACAGGCACCTCATCCCCTGCCCAGGACGTGGTTCAGGGACCTGACATTGCCTCCCTGTGAAGTAAGTAGACAACAGAAAGGCATTCATTTCCAAGTTGCCTTCAAAAACCCTGTTCTTACCTTGGAAGCAGTGCTGTTGGCCCAGGGAGGCCTGTACTGCACCTTGGTGGATTGCAAGAGGCTAAGCAACCAAGTCAGGAAGTGCAGAGACTGTAGGAGATTCACCAAGGCAGAAAGACCCAAGCTACCCACCCCATCTGATATGGTTTGGCTCTGTGTCCCCACCCAAATCTCATTTTGTAGCTCCGGTAATTCCCATGTGTTGTGGGAGGGGCCTGGTGGGAGATGGTTGACTTATGGGGTAAGGTCTTTCCCGTGCTGTTCTCATCATAGTGAGTGGGTCTCACAAGATCTAATGGTTTTAAAAATGGGGGTTTCTCTGTACAAGTGCTCTCTTTTTGCCTGTCGCCATCCACGTAAGAAGTGACTTGCTCCTCCTTGCCTTACACTTCTGAGACAGGCTGGGGTGATCAGATGTCACCTGAGGGCTGGTGGAAGGCGAGGAGCCCTGTCAGATACGGAGGGTGATCAGACGTGGAGTCTGGATAAACCGACTTCGTAGGATTCTCACAAAAGGACAGTGCAGAAATGAATGAGGAAATGTACAAGTTAAGGCCTCATTGAGAAAGAGCTCAGGGAGTCTGAGAGTTTGGTCAAGGAGAGAACCTTCGCTACTTTGCCAAGTTGCTGGATGCCCTTTGGATGATGTTCTGAGCGTGCGGTCACTTTCTGTCCGCCTGAGACAGGCCACCCTGGGAGGGAGGGGCCAAGCAGAGCGCATCTTGGCCCCAGTTCCCACTCCCCAGGGTGGGCCCTCTCCAAGCTGTCTGTCTGCTTTCCTTCAGCAATGGGGGGAAAGCCCCCATTGCTTTCCTTCCCTGTTCTTTGCTGTCTGAATCTGGTATTCCAAGGATGGAGAGCGAAGGGTCCACGTCCACCCTCCTTCCCCTACTCACAGAGCCACACAGACCTGGCCTCGCTGCAGCCCCCAAGCCACTGGAGTAGGTCATATACACTACGCTCCACACCCACATACACTCACACACTCACAACACACAGCACACTGTGCACAAACGCACACATGCATGTGCATGCTTCATGCTGAGATGAGCACGGGGGGTCAGACATGACGGGCGTGTGCTGGTGCAGGGGCCTGGGCTTGGAGAGACAGGGCTGGGAGTTGAGTCCATCCAGCCCCCAGGGACGGCTTCATGGACAGCTGGGTGGGCACTGGTCTGGGAGTCTGTCTTGGAGACAGTGATGGTGCTGGCTGCCGGCAGGCTGCGCTGCCCTGGGCCCTCCCCACATCTGGCCTCCAGGGCTACCTTGCCTCCACACCTGGCAGGACTGACTGGGGGAGGGCAGGAGCGGGTGCCAGCCCTCCTGGGAGCACTGGGTGGCAGCTGGATCTAGAGTTTGTGTCCCCCCAGGGGAGCCCGGCCCCCGTGTCTGCAGTTCGTGTTTCCCAGAGGAGGCTGCCTTTCAGAATGCTCCTTGGCTTTGTTTAGAACAGCGCTCATCTGTCTCAGCCTCGTCTGAAAAATCGCCAGGCTCGTTCCTCTGCAGAGGAACCGCTGTAGCCCTAGATCAAGAAGCCGAGTCTGTCCTCTCCATATCTTTCCGGGCCTTTGAATTCCCAGCAGTCCTGGCATTTCAGCACCGCCCACGTGGCACAGCCCAGGACACCAGCCTTGACCTTTCAGCCTGGCCAAGGTGCCTCCTCCTCTGCCTCTCACCTTCCTCATGGCAATAGTACTCATCTCAGAGGGCAGAGGCAAGGATTCCAGGGGACCATGTATGTAAAGAGCCTAGTGCAGTGCCAGGAAGATGATAAACACTCAGTGAGCGGCAGGTATTCCTCCCCGCCCCTTCCGGCTTTGCCTTCCCTTTCCCAGGGGACTGAGTTCAGAAGCACCCCTGCTAGGTTCAGACTCCAGCTCTGCCATTCCCTATGCAGCCTGGGCAAGTTGCTAACTTCTCTGACCCTCGGTTTCCTCATCTGTGAAATGGGGACAGTCATAGCTTCTAACTCAGAGGGCTGTGGGTGGAGCTGAAGCAGCACCCGGCCCACTCACCAGTTGCCATCAACACCTCTACCACTGCGCATGCTGAGGCGGACCAGAAAGAGAACAGAGGCACCTCTCACTCATGCAGTGTCTTGGGTTCAGTGCCAGGGAGGCCAGGGCTGCCCCTGCCCTTCCACAGTCTCCACCTGGCTCCACAGGTGCTTGGCTAGGGTCCGCTGGAGGATGGGGAGGCAACACAGGCTTTGGCGTCAGAAACCCGCCTCAGCCTCACCACCTGGGACTTGGAGCGATTCCCATAACTTACTTGGCTGATTTGTAGCATAACCCGGTTTCGCTACCTGTCCAGCCTTTTCTCTGCCACTACCTCCACACACTGAAGCTAGGAAAGCTTCCTCAGCCTGCCCCAACCGCCTTCACCTTCTGACACAAGGTTTTCTTGCCCCTGCCTTCGTGGCACAGGTCCTCCTGCCCTGGGGCAACCCCTCCTTCAGGGAGCCTGGCTCAGTAAACATTTTATCAGCTGAACCCACGAGGTGCTTCCCTCGTACCCCGTTTGCCTCCCTGTGTCTGCATCCCCATCCCCTGCCCCCGGCCTCCCCACAGCAGGCAGAAGGGCACCAGGCCTCATTTCTGCATTGGCCTCACCTTCTAGCCAGGGGTATTCCTGGTCTAACTAGTATGAGAGCTAGGATGTTGACAGAGTCAATATGTGAGCCAAGTTCAGCTTTAGTTTCTTTCCTTTGCAAGATAGACAGGATAAAGCCTTCATCACCAAGTAAGAAATGTAAAGCACGCGACGTGGGCATGCTCAGTGTGAGTCCCATTCCACACAGGGCGGTCTCCTCCACAGGCACATGTCCCCACCCCACATAAGCCTGGCATTTGCTCCAGCCCCAGCCAGCAAGTCCAGCGATGGGCACCTCCAGCCATCCCGGCCCTGAGGGGTGACACTGGCTTCCCAGGCCCGAGCGCTTGGCCTCCCCGCTGTCACGGGATTCCCTTCCAAGTGGAAGAAGACAAAGATTAATTTGTTTTTAATTCATCTTCTAATTGCTTTCTTCTCTAAAGAAGGCCTCCACGAGGCCCAGGCCCAATCCCTGGGGCCATGGTTGTTTAAAATAAAAAATGAGGCCACTCGGCAGGGACACATTTTTAATCACTGGAAAAATCCTCCTGGCATCAGGGCATGCAGCCTCCTGGCATGTGACTCCCTGGAGGAAGCCCAGCAGAAAGCGTCCTTGCCGTGGGTTCAGGGATTCCCCCTTGGACAGGGAGGCGAGCCCGCCAGCAGTGCCGACTGCTTGCCTACTAAGCGTGAGAACTGTGGGCAGTGCAGGTGATGTAGAAGGTCCTCTCTGCACTCAGCCCACCAGGCCCCAAGAGACCAGGCCTCAAGAATGAGACAGGCCTGGCCAGTGGCGTCAGAAGTGAATGATGCCTGGGCTGGGGGGACTCCCTCTAGATGGCACTGACAGGCACTGCCAGAGCAGCCACTGGGCCCACTGCACAGCCCACTTCCAGGGCCCCTGCGACATGCCATCCTAATACCCACGCCCCCTGGCTCCTCCGGCGACACGCTGTCCCCATACCCAAACCCTGGCTCCTCCTGTGATCTGCTGTCCTCATCCCCAAACCCTGGCTCCTCCTGCGACCTGCTGTCCTCATCCCCAAACCCTGGCTCCTCCTGCGACCTGCTGTCCTCATCCCCAAACCCTGGCTCCTCCTGCGACCTGCTGTCCTCATCCCCCAACGCTGGCTCCTCCTGCGACCTGCTGTCCTCATCCCCAATCCCTGGCTCCTCCTGCGACCTGCTGTCCTCATCCCCAAACCCTGGCTCCTCCTGCAACCTGCTGTCCTTATACCCCATCCCTGGCTCCTCCTGCGACATGCTGTCCTCATCCCCAACCCTGGCTCCTCCTGCACCCTGCTGTCCTCATCCCTAAACCCTGGCTCCTCCTGCGACCTGCTGTCCTCATCCTCAAACCCTGGCTCCTCCTGCGACATGCTGTCCTCATCCCCAAACCCTGGCTCCTCCTGTGACCTGCTGTCCTCATCCCCAAACCCTGGCTCCTCCTGCGACCTGCTGTCCTCATCCCCAAACCCTGGCTCCTCCTGCGACATGCTGTCCTCATCCCCAAACCCTGGCTTCTCCTGCGACCTGCTGTCCTTATACCCCAACCCTGGCTCCTCCTGCGACCTGCTGTCCTCATCCCCAAACCCTGGCTCCTCCTGCGACCTGCTGTCCTCATCCCCAATCCCTGGCTCCTCCTGCGACATGCTGTCCTCATCCCCAATCCCTGGCTCCTCCTGCGACATGCTGTCCTCATCCCCAAACCCTGGCTCCTCCTGCGACCTGCTGTCCTTATACCCCAACCCTGGCTCCTCCTGCGACCTGCTGTCCTCATCCCCAAAGCCTGGCTCCTCCTGCGACACACTGTCCTCATCCCCAATCCCTGGCTCCTCCTGCGACCTGCTGTCCTCATCCCCAAACCCTGGCTTCTCCTGCGACACGCTGTCCTTATACCCCATCCCGGGCTCCTCCTGCGACCTGCTGTCCTCATCCCCAAACCCTGGCTCCTCCTGCGACCTGCTGTCCTCATCCCCAAACCCTGGCTCCTCCTGTGACCTGCTGTCCTCATCCCCAAACCCTGGCTCCTTCTGCGACCTGCTGTCCTCATCCCCAAACCCTGGCTCCTCCTGTGATCTGCTGTCCTTATACCCCAACCCTGGCTCCTCCTGCGACCTGCTGTCCCTCTACCCCCACCCTGGCTCCTCCTGCGACATGCTGTCCTCATCCCCAATCCCTGGCTCCTCCTGCCACCTGCTGTCCTCATCCCCAAACCCTGGCTCCTACTGCGACCTGCTGTCCTCATCCCCAAACCCTGGCTCCTCCTGTGACCTGCTGTCCTCATCCCTAATCCCTGGCTCCTCCTGCGACCTGCTGTCCTCATCCCCAAACCCTGGCTCCTCCTGTGACCTGCTGTCCTCATCCCTAATCCCTGGCTCCTCCTGTGACCTGCTGTCCTCATCCCCAAACCCTGGCTCCTCCTGCGACCTGCTGTCCTCATCCCTAATCCCTGGCTCCTCCTGTGACCTGCTGTCCTCATCCCCAAACCCTGGCTCCTCCTGCGACCTGCGGTCCTCATCCCCAAACCCTGGCTCCTCCTGCGACCTGCGGTCCTCATCCCCAAACCCTGGCTCCTCCTGCGACACACTGTCCTCATCCCCAAACCCTGGCTCTTCCTGCGACCTGCTGTCCTCATCCCCAAACCCTGGCTCCTCCTGCGACCTGCTGTCCTTATACCCCAACCCTGGCTCCTCCTGCGACCTGCTGTCCTCATCCCCAAACCCTGGCTCCCCCTGCGACCTGCTGTCCTCATCCCCAAACCCTGGCTCCTCCTGCGACATGCTGTCATCATCCCCAAACCCTAGCTCCTCCTGCGACCTGCTGTCCTTATACCCCAACCCTGGCTCCTCCTGCGACCTGCTGTCCTTATACCCCAACCCTGGCTCCTCCTGCGACCTGCTGTCCTTATACCCCATCCCTGGCTCCTCCTGCGACCTGCTGTCCTCATCCCCAAACCCTGGCTCCTCCTGCGACCTGCTGTCCTTATACCCCAACCCTGGCTCCTCCTGGGACCTGCTGTCCTCATCCCGAAACCCTGGCTCCTCCTGCGACATGCTGTTCTCATCCCCAAACCCTGGCTCTTCCTGCGACCTGCTGTCCTCATCCCCAACCCTGGCTCCTCCTGCGACCTGCTGTCCTTATACCCCAAATCCTGGCTCTTCCTGCGACCTGCTGTCCTCATCCCCAATCCCTGGCTCCTCCTGCGACACGCTGTCCTCATCCCCAAACCCTGGCTGGCTTCTCCACAGGTCTGTCCTGCATGCTCCTAGGTTCACTGATTCACTCAGCACAAGTTATCCGAGGACCTGGAGGGTGCCAGGTGCCACACCAGCACTGAGCCAGCAGTGGGAGCTGGGGCAGACGAGGCTCGGAGCTCATGGCTCCCCCAATTACAACGACCTCTCAGGTGACCTCAAGGCTGGCCGAGGGCCATCTCATCACCCCTGTCCTGTTGGCCCCAGGCAGCCAAGACCGATGGCTTTGGCCCGTCCTTCCCAGGGCCCCTGGCAGTGACAGCTCCGTGTGCCGCACAGCTCCTGGGGTTTCCCTGGTAGCCACACCCTGTGTTCCTAGTACGTTTTGCCCGTTTGACAGATGAGGAAGTGGAAGCTCAGAAAGTCACTCAGTAAGTGGTGGGGCCAAGGCTAAGTCTCTGATGAGTTGAATGTGGTTTTGCACCAGCAGGAGACCTGTTTTCAGCCAGGGGAGGAAGATGTGCTGTTCAGCTTGTGACACGGGGTGGGGGCGTCTCTGGAAAACAGAGGCTGGCACGCAGCACCTTCAGGTCAGCACGGTGGGAAGGAGAGGAGGAAGCAGATGGACAGAGAAAGAAGCTGGGCAGGCCCAGTGAGGATTTCAGCCGACCCATGGGAGTTGGGATGGCTTCTTGTTGTTACCCCGAGTTTGGGTGAGGTGAGGGGCCCAGCCTTGATACCCTGTGTGGATCAGTCACCGCATGTAGGTCACCCCAGGAAGGGTCTGTGATCTCGGTCACGGCAGCACCCCTGAATGGAGGCAGTCTTGGAAGGCAGCACCCAGCTGTCTGCAAGCAGCACCCAGAGTGCCTGTGGACTGTGGCTCTGGCCTTGATTGCTGAGGGGCACCTTTTCAGACCAGCTGCACTCCTGGGAGCAGATGTGGGAGCCCCAGGTGATACAAACTGACTAGTTCTTGGTGATGTCTGCTGTTAATTGTGCAGCTGAGACCAGGCAGTCAAAGGGGAAAGAGCTTTGGGGGTCACTCATTAGATGCCCTTATTTCCCAGGGAAGGAAAGCAGGGTCTGGAGAGGGCCAGGCTCCTTGGGAGGTCAGGAGCAGAGCATGGAGCAGCAGCAGGCTGGGGGGGCCTTGGCTGTTTCAATCTAATGGTGGCTGCCACATGGCTTCACCTTTCCCTGCAGAGCCAGCCTGAGCTAAGAACACACTGGATGGTCTCTCTTTTTGCACTTGTCCGTTCAAGATTGAGACGTGCCAAGATGAAGTCAGTTTGATTCAGCAAATATTTATGGAATACCTGCTCTGTGCCAAGGAGCAGGATTGGGATGCACAAACAACCATGATGGGGGTGCTTCAGCTGAGGAGACAGACATGCAGACACCTCGCTGTCCCATGGCCACAACACAGGCGAGGAGAGGGGGGTGGCATTGCCCAGCAGCATCATGTGTTGAGGTGGCAGCGCTACTCATAGAAGTCCTTTCATCCTCGCGGTCACCCTTAGTCCATGTTACAAATGAGGATTCCGGGACTTGTAGAATGGGTGGCTGGCCAGAGGGCCACAGCTAGTAATGGCAGACATAAGGCTTAATGGGACTCATCTGACTCAGGCAAACAAGGAGAGTATGATCAAGGCCTCAGGGGAGCATAGAGAAATCTGGAAGGAGTACAGAAGGCTTGCAGCAATGACTTACTGCATCCAGACCTTGAAGGATAGATGAGCATTCAGCAGCCACTGGGAGTATTTCCCCTGAGGGAAGAGCAGAACAAATCAGTAAAACGGTAAAACGCATGAACGGCTATTGGGAAATCTGATGGGAAGTGAATAAAGGGAGGGAGGAAGGAAAGGGGGATAGATGGAAAGATGAGGGATGGATAGATGGGTGGATGGATGGATGGGTAGTTGTTGATGGATGAATGGATGGATGGATGGTAGATGGGTGGATGGGTGGATGGTGGATGGATGGATGGACGGTAGATGGGTGGATGGATGGGTAGATGTTGGATGGATGGATGGTAGATGGGTGAATGGATGGATGGGTAGATGTTGGATGGATGGATGGTAGATGGGTGAATGGATGCATGGGTAGATGTTGGATGGATGGATGGATGGTGGATGGGTGGATGGTGGATGGTGGATGATGGATGGATGGTAGATGGGTGAATGGATGGGTAGATGTTGGATGGATGGATGGATGGATAGATGGGTGGGTGGGTGGATGGATGGGTAGATAGATGTTGGATGGATGGATGGTAGATGGGTGGATGGATGGGTAGAAGTTGGATGGATGGATGGATGGGTAGATTTTGGATTGATGGATGGATGGTAGATGGGTGGATGCATGGGTAGATGCTGGATGGATGGATGCTAGATGGGTGGATGGATGGATGGTTGGATGGGTAGATGTTGGATGGGTGGATGGATGGATGGATGGTAGATGGGTAGATGGTGGATGGATGGTGGATAGATGGTAGTGGATGGATGGTATATAGATAGATGGATGGATGGATATATAGATGGATGGATGGTAGATGAACAGGTGGTAGTGGATGGATGTATGAATGGATGAATGGTAGATGGATGGATGGTAGAGAGATGGATGAGTGAATGGAGGAATGGTGGATTTTGGATGGATGGATAGATGGATGGTAGATGGACAGTAGATGGATGTGTGAATGGTGGATGGGTGGATGCTGGATTGATGGTGGGTACATGGTGGATAGATGGATGGTGGATGGATGGATGGATGGGTAGATGTTGGATGGATGGTAGATGGGTGGATACATGGGTAGATGTTGGATAGATGGATGGTAGATGGGTGGATGGATGGATGGGTAGATGTTAGATGGATGGATGGATGGACGGTAGATGGGTGGATGGTTCAATTGTGGATGGTGGATGGATGGTAGATGGGTGGATGGATGGGTAGATGTTGGATGAATGGATGGGTGGTAGATGGGTGGATGGATGGATGGTAGATGGGTTGATGGATGGGTAGATGTTGGATGGATGGATGGTAGATGGGTGGATGGATGGATGGGTAGATGTTGGATGGATGGATGGATGGTAGATGGGTAGATGGTGGATGGATGGCGGATAGATGGTAGTGGATGGATGGTATATAGATGGATCGATATATAGATGGATGGATGGTAGATGAACAGGTGGTAGTGGATGGATGTAGAGTGGATGAATGGTGGATGGATGGATGGATGGTAGAGAGATGGATGGGTGAATGGATGAGTGGTGGATTTTGGATGGATGGATAGATGGATGGTAGACGGACAAAGATGGATGTGTGAATGGTGGATGGGTGGATGCTGGATGGATGGTGGGTAGATGGTGGATAGATGGATGGTGGATGGATGGTGGATTGATGGATGGATGGATGGATGGGTAGATGGTGAGTGGATGGATGAATAGTGGATAGATAGGTGGATGATAAATGAATGGTGGATGGGAGACCCAGCCAATAAAATCAAAGGGGCAGCAGCCTGAGGGCATCTCTTGTCTGCTGGAGGATGGATGGATGGATGGATGGATGCTGGATGGATGGATGGTAGATGGGTAGATGCTGGATGGATAGGTGGATGACATGTAGTCTAGAGTTTTTGAGTTTGTGGAGGCAGAAGAGGTTGTGTCCAGGTCTTTGTTCTAGGGTTGGGGCATGGGAGTCCAGATACCTAGGCAGATAGAGCTATATCCGTCACCCTAACTAAGAACCTCACCAAGCTGAGGTCAATGACTTTAGAAGTGAAACAGGGGAGTCCCACCCTGTTGCTAGTGGCCACAAGCTAGTATTGGAAGCAAGAGGGCAGTGGGAAGAATCAGAAATGAGCAAGGCTAGGGCATGGCCCTGGGACCAGCAGCAGGGATATGCAGGGGTGATCTGGTGTCTGAAAGGGCCAGGCTTACTTATATGCCATGGCGGGGGTCAATCCCAGGTGCTGTGGGCCTGGCCCCTGGGCATCCCCAGCCTCTGGACCCCTGAAAAGATGCATTCTGTCTAGTTCTGGCTGCTGATCATTGCACAGCCAAGAAATCCACTGTGATTTCCAGACTAACACCTGACAGAGTTGGGCCAGAGGTTTCAGACCTGTGGCTGGGTGGGCTGACTATGTTGACCTCCCATAACCTTTCTCCCAGGCAGGGCTGTGCTAATTTTAAATGGCGTATTGATTGGCCAGCCAGCCATTCCCTAGGATGACCCCATAGCCCTGCTGGCTTGCCCTGGCACAGCCCATGAGGAAGTCTCCTCCCCTTGTGCTTGGCTGTCTGCAGCCCTTGGGGTGGGCCAGAGACTCCATCACACTGCCTGGCAGAGGGTGGAGGCTCTTGGCTCTAGTGCTGGAGTCACACTTGGTTTCCCTGTGCTCAGCAGGGTGAAGACCCACCTGCTGATGTCACCTGCTGCTGCTCCAGGAAACAAATGGACTCCTGGAGATGGAAGCAGTTGAGAGTGTTAGTGAGCTCTGCAGGTAGAATCCCAGCATAGGCTGGGACCTGTTGAACAGGTGCAGTTTGAATGGTCCCACGGGACTCATCCCAGGCAGGCCCAGGGTGTTCCTGCCCCCTCCGTGCTGGAAAGCTCATTTAGAGAAGCCGCATGGTCTTTGGAGAGAGGCCAGAGGTCTATCCCCAGGAGCAGGGGCCACAAGCCAGCTTTGGGGGTCCCAGCAAGTCCTCTCTTCTCTAGTTCAGGCTGCCTGGAGAGCCCCTCAGCCTGTGCCCAGCACAGCTCCATGGGTCTTTTCATGCTGGGGTGCAATGCAGGGGTGCTGCCTGGCCCTAAGGTGCTCCTCTGCACACTGAGGAGACCCAGCAATAAATACAAAGGGGCGGCAGCCTGAGGGCGCCTCTTGTCTGCTGGAGGTGGCTAGGGTGGAAGAGGACAAAAAGGCACGGTAGACCTGAGCCTGCTGAGGCCTGGGGAGGCGTGGTTTGCCTCCAGGGTCTGGTAAACCAGTATTCATTCTCAGGGTGGCTGCCATAATGGAGAGCAGGAATCCTGTGCACATCTGGGACCCCGGATTAAATTAATACTTGCAGCTTTTGGGGTGCTCAAGCCCCATCAGAGAAGCCTGGGGAGCAGGGGAGGTTGGGCAACCCCTGGTGGATGCTTCAGGACTGAGGTGAGGTCTATGCCACACTGGGACAGCCAGGGCTCCTGTGGACCCTCCTGTATCCAGCCCCCACCACTCCCAGCTGAGATGGGATGGGGTGGGGGACACTCCTCACCCGGTCTTGGATTGTGTGGGCCACAGTCTCCCCTGCAGGCTGTGAGCTCCTGGTCGTCTCTGTGTTGCCAGCCCAAGCCTAGGACAGAGGGAGTGTCTGGGCCCATCTCCCTTGACCAGGTCCTCAGGAACCTCCAGGCTGCCTGTGGCCCCGCTTCTAAAAGCTCCTTGCCCAGAGTCTCAGCAGGGAGGTGCTCTCCACTGGGCAGCCCTGCCCCTCCAGTCCAGCACAGGGGCAGCAGCTAACCGCCACCCGCTCATCCAGCTGCCCGGCTCTGGCGGTTCAAGCAGATGGGCCACTAGAAGGTCCTTTTGCACCTCATGTCCTTCCCGTTTGTGCTCTAAGACTTTATAGTTCTATGTGAAGCTTTGGCTGTCACCACATCAAGAGTCTGTTTAACCTCGTAAGCACTGACCCAGCACCAGGCAGGGGTCAGCCCTGGGCTGTGTGAGGACAGTCTGGGGGTACAGGGTGAGAGGGGTTCCCGGCATGCTTCATGACAAGCATGGCACCTTTTCATGGTAGGAAGAAGTTCTGGACATGGCGCCCAGAGATGAGAACATGAAATAGTGAGCCTGTTTGAAACCATTCAGCCCATTGCTCTCATGTGACAATGGGGACGCTGAGGCTCAGATCGGTTAAATGATTTACCTGAGGTCACACTGTAAGCCATTGAAGGGCCAAGGCCATCTTATCGTCTGTCCATTCATATGGCAGAGGTCCCCCAGGAGCTCAGGAGAGACAGTCCCTCAGCAGCAGATTCCCGTGTGGGCCATGCAGGCCATGGCGGGTTGCTGGGGGCTGGATGTGCTTCAGGAAGTCTTCCTGGAGCAGGTGCTGCAGGAGCCCAGCTTTGGAAAGGCCACAGGGAGTCAGCAGGAGGGAGGGACAGATGGAGCAGGGGAAGTCGCAGGGCACTGGGGTGAGAGACCACAGGGGACGTGATCAGACAGCCTTGAACTTGGCCTTGAATACTTTGGAGGAGCAATTGAAGTCGTCATTTCTACATCCACAATCACTTTATGTCTTCTCTCTGGAAAATGTCTTCCTCCTGCTGTCTCCCTGCTGCACACACCAGGAGTCCAGAAACCTGGTTTTCAAGCCTGGACCTACTGCCAGAGTTCAAGGTCTAGAAATCCTGGTGGAGACCCCATACAGGCCCCATACACACAGGCCCTGCTGGGCACTAGGGCCTGGGGGGAGGAAGTGCCAGCCTGTTAGTGGAGGCGGCCCCCTGCCCCCAAGGTAAATGCCCTTCTAGGTGGCACACATGGGCACAAGGTGCAGAATGCCGAGGGCAGCAACAGAGGTCCCTGGGAGGGAAGGCTTCCAGGGAGGAGAGGCTGCGCTAGACACGCCAATGGCAGATGCCCAGGCAGAGCCAACAAGCAGCCTATGCAAGGCCCGGCACAGAAAACCAGCTGCAGCCCCTCAGTACTCCTGCATGCCCCCCATGCCAGCTCTGACACCTGCAAATCTCCACACACCCGCTCTGACCCCTGCACACCCTCACACCCACTCTGACCCCTGTATGCCCCCCCTACCTGCTCTGACACCTGCTGTGTGTACCCCCTGCATCTTCTCTGATCCCTGCACACCTCCCCACCTGCTCTGACCCCTGCACAGCCCCCACACCTGCTCTGACCCCTGTACGCCCCCCTACCTGCTCTGACTCCTGCTGTGTGTACCCCCTGCATCTTCTCTGATCCCTGCACACCTCCCACCTGCTCTGACCCCAGGACACCCTCACACCCACTCTGACCCCTGTATGCCCCCCCTACCTGCTCTGACACCTGCTGTGTATACCCCCTGCATCTTCTCTGATCCCTGTACACCTCCCACCTGCTCTGACCCCGGGACACCCCCACACCCACTCTGACCCCTGTACGCCCCCCCAACCTGCTGTGACACCTGCTGTGTATACCCCCTGCATCTTCTCTGATCCCTGCACACCTCCCCACCTGCTCTGACCCCGGGACACCCCCACACCCACTCTGACCCCTGTACGCCCCCCCAACCTGCTGTGACACTTGCTGTGTATACCCCCTGCATCTTCTCTGATCCCTGCACACCTCCCACCTGCTCTGACCCCGGGACACCCTCACACCCACTCTGACCCCTGTATGCCCCCCCTACCTGCTCTGACACCTGCTGTGTGTAACCCCTGCATCTTCTCTGATCCCTGCACACCTCCCCACCTGCTCTGACCCCGGGACACCCCCACACCCACTCTGACCCCTGTACGCCCCCCTACCTGCTCTGACACCTGCTGTGTATACCCCCTGCATCTTCTCTGATCCCTGCACACCTCCCACCTGCTCTGACCCCGGGACACCCCCCACACCCACTCTGACCCCTGTATGCCCCCCCAACCTGCTGTGACACCTGCTGTGTATACCCCCTGCATCTTCTCTGATCCCTGCACACCTCCCCACCTGCTCTGACCCCGGGACACCCCCACACCCACTCTGACCCCTGTACGCCCCCCCTACCTGCTCTGACTCCTGCTGTGTGTACCCCCTGCATCTTCTCTGATCCTGCACACCTCCCACCTGCTCTGACCCCTGCACAGCCCCCACACCTGCTCTGACCCCTGGACACCTCCACACCCACTCTGACACCTGCACAACCCTCACATCTGCTCTGACCCTCCTGTACTCCTTCCCTTCCAGGCCTCAGCTTCCTCCTCTAGGAAAGGGTCTCATGATTCCTCCAAACCCCCTGGGTGCTGACCGTGCCCACGTGTATGATCTGATTGGCAGATGAGAAAGTCTGAGACTGGGTTGGCATTGTGTGATGAGGACAAGGACTCAACACAGAGCCACACAGAGCGGTGGGGGCGGGGGGCCTGCCTGGGTGGCGAGAGTCTTTGCTTTATTTAGACAGGCTTGAGAGAAGATGAAAAATGAGAGATTGAAAAGGTAGAGACATTGCTTGGGGACAGAGGAGTCATTTTAAATTCTCTGCTCTTCTCAGAAAGCTGTCTTTGCATAATGCTTCCAGCCAGCAGGCATATTTTCCATTTTTTTCCCCGTTTCTTTTTCTTCTGGTTTATCTTCAGTTGTCTAAAGTGCTTGTCCAAAAAGAGAAGGTTGAAGGGGAAGCACTTAATATAGTCATTGTCTCCATGAGCCAAGGCGTTCCTGGTGCAAAACACAGCTTGCCTGTGTTGAGAGAGAAGGGACTAGAGGCCCAGTGCCTGTCTGCCATGGATGCCCAATGTGGCCGTGGGCACAGCAGCGCATGGGGGCCCTGGTGCTTCCTCCTGAAAGGGAGGGCTTGGTTAAATGAGCTCTGGTGGCCTGTAAATGTCACAGCTAAATGCTGTAACAAACAGCCCCAAATTCCAGGGACCTAACACATCAGCCTCATTATGTTTATATCTCATGGTGTTCTTGGTGCAGGCAGCTTTTTGGCGCTCACCTGGGGACCCAGGCTCCACAGTGTTCTGGCTCTGACCACCTCGTGTCTTCGTCCCCTGTATGTCCCTGCCTACCCTGAGGCTCTACCCACCTGGGGCCCCACCCCTAGGGGCTCCCCTACCCCGTGGACCTGTTGGTCCCATAGCCCGCCTATCTTGCAGCTCCTCCCTCCTCCAGCCCTCAGTTTCTTCAGTTTCTCCTCTCAGCCTGGAGATGGGGGACTATAGGATGGATGTGTTTACGGTCCAGGTTTGTCCTTTCCCTCTAAGTCCCCTTGGTCTGGACTTGATCTTGTGTTTCCAACTCACTCCCTTGGAGAGGGGCTGCAGTCTGTGCCCAGGAGGAAACGCGATGGCTTCCCAGACAGCCTCTGCAACCAGAACCTTCTCGAGGTCGAGTATTCCATGAGAGAGCAGGGAACTGCCTCACGGAGGGGGCAGATGTGCAGGGCCTTGAGACACAGAGCTGAGGTGCCACCGGCGGCGATTGCAGGAGCCCAGCACAGAGGGCAAGGGGCACTGTGGATGGCAGCAGATGCCACCCTGATCACAGAGCCGTGGAGTGAAGGTGCACACTGGCCTTGGTGCCAGGGAGACCTGGGTTGAAGTGCTGACTCTGTCTCTTTAAACCAAAACAGGCTTGTCCATCAAGTGAGCAGGACGATGCCTCTCGGAATGTCACTGAGAATGTTCAGTGAAGCAGTGCCAGCGTGCTCGCCATGGGCACGTGGAGGCGGGCTGCTGCCCACCGACTCAGTTTACCCATGTGCTATAGATTTGTACATTTGAGCTCAGAGAGGTGAAGTCTTGGCCAAAAGGCACATAGTAGCAAGGCGGCGAGCCCAGTCCCTGGTCCCCCAACTGCCCGCTCCATCCAGAGGCCCTGGCTTCCCCTTTGCCTCCCTGTCCTGCTCTGTTTGTCCCCAAGGGAGGCTCCAGCCAGGGCAGCAAATCCCAGAGCCTGCTGGGCCTGAAGGAGGACTGGTTTCCTTCAGCAGCCCATGTCCTGCCCCTGCTAGGACGACCTGGCCTGTGTTCAGGCTCAGCTCTCTGTGCACAGCCCACCCCGACTCACCCGCTGTCCTACCAATCGCTTTGAGCGTGCTGAAGGCGGAGCTGAGCTGGAGCCGCTGCAAGTGCATGGCCTGGATTAACCCACAACTCCTTTCTCAGCTCTCCTGGGTGTGGGAGCCAGGCACCAGTGATTCACACCCCTCTGTTCATTGGGCATTTCTCTCTGGCCAGGATCAGAGCTCAGCCCTCTCCTTCACTCCACGCACCACCTTTCCCTTTTTTAGACAAGGAAGCAGAAGCTCTGGCTTCCGAAGGGGCTCACCCAGGCCCCTGAGTCAGCACCTAAGCTCCAACCATCATCTCACATCCAAGCCATAAAGCCTTCGACCCGAGGATCCTGGCCTGGTATCCGTGGAGGGTGTCCATGGGCTGGGAGACCCTGGCCTCAGTGTGTTGTGTTGGTGACGGTGTTTCACCCCGTCCTCAAGGCAGCCACGGCCACCATCCCCAGCAGGTCCTGGCCATGCAGGGTGTAATCAGGAGGCCTACCTGGAAGGGAAGTCCTTCTCCTCTCCGGAGCTCACCTCCTGCACATCCCCGGGGTCTCCCCTCCACAGGGGCCCTGGCATCCCTGGATGGAGGGTGGGTGAGCTCAGGAAGCAGAGAGCCTCCGATGAGAGAACTCCAAGCTGTACAGGTCTCCTCTCCAACTTCATTTTGCCCTAATTTTAATTTAATTCCCTTTAATCTTTAATGAAAAGTTGTAAAAGTAAATTATTTACCCAAGAGAGCCCAACAGCTCCTCAGGAGCTGTTCTCGACTTGAGGGTAATTACACATGCGGGGCCAGCACCACCGCCCTCCCAGGATGCCAGGGAAGAGGCGTCCTGGTTTATGAACTAATTAGCTCCCTCAGTAACTGTTAAAAACGCATGCCATTTGGTGGATTGAGAGCGAAGCTCCAGCTTCATGAAGTGCGTGCCCTGACAGTCGCTGATGGGGGGAAAGAGCCTGTGTTCTGTGTCCATGGGGTCAGCGGGAGTGTAGCCAGCTGGAGTGTGCAGAGCTGGGCCTGCCTCGGCTCCTAGGAGAGCAGTGCTCTGGGACACGGAGACGGAGCAAGTCCTTCTTCCGTCTCTGTCACCCAGCCTCTGTCTCCCTGTCTGAGCTTTCCTTGGGCTCCAGCACCCTGAGAGAAGGCCCCTTCCCAGCAGTCAGGGTCTGGAAGCGGGGAAGGGGTGGTGGAAAGGAGCAGGGGTGGGGAGGGGTGGGGACTGTGTGATTTGACACATACCTCCCAGGCTGTGCACTGCCTCTTTGACTAGACACTCTGTCACAGCACCGTCACCCCCATTTCCTGGCCATTATCCACGCTTCTCGCTTCTTTTCCAAACTCTCTCTGGATATACAATAAAGAGTTGAAATAAAATGCAGAAGGTCTGGACCAAGGGAAACCATATTGGCATAGTTGGTCAAGACTTGGAAGAGCAGTTGTGCAGGAGAGGCTGTGAGTGCGTGTTCATGCGTACCTGTGAGTGAACGTGTGTGGCGGTGGCAGTGAGTGCACGTTCGCGTGTACCTGTGAGTGCACTTGTGTGGCAGTGGCTGTGAGTGTACGGTCACTGAAGGCCAACATGGTGCTTTAGGTGGATTCATGTTTAGTTCTGAGCTTCCTAACAGCCAAAGTGAAAAGGTCAGTTACTTGGCTGTCATCAATAAAGAGGGAAAACATGCTGGACTGGGGGGCATTGAGTAGCTAGCAACCAACCACATTAGCAGTAGAGAAAGTTCACCAGTTATGTTAGATAATTGGAAATGAGAGGGTTTTATATGGGATGTGCCTGCCTGCCCCCCACCCCACAGGACAGCTGGCCCGGTGTTGGTGAAGGGCAGGAAACCTTGGCTTTGCAGTCCTCTCTCATCTCGGGTCTTGGCTATTTTATTTCTCCATAGAACTTATTTTGCTTCATCTAAAGAGGGAGAAAACTCCTTGATTAATTCTGAAGCCAAACCTTACCTGAATCAAATTTGGCTCTAAAATTTAGGACCGCCCAAGATTTATGTCAACTAGAAAAATGTGTGTCTTCTGAAATTTAAAAGTTAAATATATTATAGCTGAGGCAGGCTGGATAGAGCCTTAAAAACTTGACTCACTTTGTTCCTTGGTCTTCAAGTCATGTATTTCCACTGCATTGTTTTTGTCTTTACATTTTTAAATCCCAAATTAGATATTTGCAACTGAAGTCTACTTAGTCCCCTGTTTCTCGCCAGCGCAAAAGGTTGGAGAGTAGAGTTGTGGGGCCAGGTCGGGGAGGCGTCGCTGGGAGTTTGAGCTCTGGAGGAAAAATAAACCTTCAGCAGCCAGCCTTGAGGGGACATGCCCTGAAGGACAAGTGAACAGATTGTTGGACGAGCCAGTTGGACAAGAAATCCACAGATCATTCCGCTGTCACTGTAATTTACACAGGACTCTGGGCCCTGCAGACATTTTACCTGTTTCCTTCAACCACCTAAGAAGCCCACGGTAGCCTCACCCCACCACCTTCCACATTTTCTCCTCCCCTGCTCCTCTCAGCCCACTCTGAGTGAGGCAGACATGGCTTGTGCATTGGGCCTGCAACCCTGGACACATGCACGGCAGAAACTCATGCTCAGCACCACCCTAGACAGAGGAAACCCGCCTCTCTAGGGTGCAGTCAGGCAGGTCTCTTGAAAAGTCCACTGTGGTTTGAAATCTCTGCTGTACACTGAACCTGAGCCCACAGGTGGCGGCTGTTCTTCTCCCACAGATGCAGCATTTCAGTGAATGTTTCCTGGGTGCCAGGAGTGTCTGCCAGCTGCCTACCCCCACCCAGCCTGCAGATCAGAGTTGAAAGCAACCGTGCATGCTGGGCCCATCTGACCTGCTGGTCCTCATGTCCTGAAGGTCTGGTCTCCATCTGGCCCCATCTCCTGGCTCCCTAACTCCTGAGTCCATCCTGCCTCTGCCCGTGGCCGTGTTCTGGGTCCATAGCTTGCCCAAAGTTTGGGTCCTGACCCTCTCTGGTGGCCCCTGACTTGCCTGGTCCCTGATTGCATGTTGTGTTGTGCTGTGCTTGAGGGAAGAGACTTCCAGCTTCAGCCCTGGCCTGCTGTCTGGCCCCAGGCTCCAAAATGTGAGAAACTCCTGAAATATGGAGGTCAAGGGCTTGGAGTTCTGGAGGGTTCTCATGGCTTATGGACGTTGCAAGCAAAGAGGACTGCACAGAAGGGCCATTCCAAACAGCTGTCCCAGGCTGGTGGGGCGAAGCTGGGCTGTCTGCACAGGGAGCAGTGAGCGCCGGCAGCATGGCCGGTTGGGGGTAGATCGGGAGAACGCACGTGAGAACCGCAGCAAGATGCTACTTCACCTCCACCAGGATGGGTGAACCAGAGCCAGGCAACCACAGTGCCATAGAAGGCGTGGAGCAGTCAGGCCTCTCCCGCACCGCCGCTGGGAATGGGGGTGCAGCCGCCTTGGAAAACAGTCTGGTGCTTCCTGAAACCATTAGACAGAGTTGCCATTTGACCCAGCAAGTCTGCTGTCAGGTGTACACCCATGAGAAATAATAACCTGTGTCCACACAAAATCTTCTCCATAAATGTGCACAGCAGCACCACTCATCACAGCCAAAGGTGGAAACAGCCCATGTGTCCCTTGGTGGATGCTATATGAACAAAATGTGCCCCATCCAGACATGGAGTATTGTCCCGCCATGAGAAAGAACGCAGCACTGACCCATGCTGCAGCACGGGTGAGCCTTAGAGACATCATGCTCTGCGAAGGAAGCCAGGCGCCGGAGCTCACTGCCCTCCGCTTCTGTTTATATGTGAGTCAGAGTAGGGAAATGTATGGTGCGGGAAAGGAGATTACTGGGTTGCCCAGGGCTGGGGGTGGAGTGGGTCTGGGGGGCAGGGCAGTGATGGCTAAAAGGGTACAGGGTTTCTTTTGAAGGTGATGGAGATGTTCGAAAACGGGCTGTGGTCGCACATATCTGAATATACTACGAACCACTGAATTGTACACTTTAAATGGGTGAATTGTGTGGTATGTGACTTTTATCTTGATAAAGCTACTGGAAAACAACAACAACAAAAACAACAAAACCAGACCAAGTCCAGAGCCCAGGAATCCAGTGGGGGCTCAGCACCTACTGCTGTTCACCTGGGACCAGCTCCTGAGCCACTCGCCACCTCAAGAGCGTCATCTGTCAAATGGAACAAGGGTCAGCCCTCCTACTGGGGCTGCTCCAAGGACTGAATTAGGGGATACCTACAGAGCGCTGAGCCCTGGGCCTGGAAGACAGCGAGTGCTCAAGAAGTCAGGCATTGTTGACAACCAGAGGAGCACCAAGGAGGAGTGCCACGCCCAGGGGAGGGGGCATCACGCCCGGGGGGAGCTTCACACCCAGGGGGAGCATCATGCCCAATGGGGAGTGTCACGCCCAAGGGGGAGTGCCCTGCTGGGGCAGGCTGGAGGAGGGGGAGGCCGTGGGTGCAGGTAGGGCAGGCCTCTTCCCCCACATCCTCCACCCTCCTCTTGGGGCTCATTGGGGTCACAGAAACCTCTGGCTGGAGTCCCAAGCTGTGGAATCAAATGGGAATGGCAGCTGCCCAGGGCTGGGCCTCTGCATCTCCCTGGATTCACCCCTCCTGGTGCTGCTCCTGACACAGCCAGACCACAGTGGAAGCAGTGTTTGGCAGAGCCCAGACTGGAAGGCCTGCACCAGCACCACATCTGCCCTCCAGGAGCCTGAGTCCTGCACGGGTCACGACAGCCGGAGGTGGAGAGGCCGAAGGACGGGTCTGCCCCAGGATGGCTCCAGTTGGGGCCCCGTCCCCATGGAGCACCTGAGCTCACCGCCCGTGTGGGCCTTATCCTGTAGAACATCACCACTGGAACTGCCTCCCCTGCCTACCACTCTCCAGGACAGGGCTCCCGGACCTGCTTCCGCAGGGCCCGCATGGGGCCCAGGCAGCTCCTGTCACCTCTCTACACCTCAGTGTGCTTCTGCAAATAAAGCTGCACCTGCTCTCTGACCTCTTAGGAGGATGTGGGCGCTGAGTGAGACACACTTTACCACCTGTGAGCCTCGACCAGCCTGCCTCCCCCTGCCCAGCATGCGCACATTGCCTCGTTCTCAGCCCCACGGTGGCCCCCTGGCCCCATGCACAGGCTGGCCAATGGCTTCCTTTCTCTGTGCCCTGCCAAGCCCCTCCCTGGCGGGCACAGCCTTTACTTATAGCCCGTGTTTCTACCAGAGCCTGGACGTGCTATAGCAGGGACTTCAGGAGGAATTCTGGGCCAGACACAATTATGTCCGTAACTCTGGCTGGTATTAAATGTGAAACAGAAGCAGGGCCAGGGACAGGAGGGAAGAGGGGGCCGGTGCCGATGTGACGCCTTGAGGAAGGAGGCTGATTGGCTCCCAGGAGATTCCTTACAACATGAGGTTCTCCTGCATAAGTCATCTGTGGGCCCAGAGCGGAGCATGGTAGCTCGGCCTAGAGTCCTCATTCAGGACGCACTTCTGGGACATGGCCCTGGTCCCTCATGTGCCAAATGGTGCACTAGGGGTTTAAATGGGGCAGGGCACAGCCAGTCGGTGGTGGGGCCAGCGTTCAAACCTGGGTACCTGACCCCAAAGCCCAGTATTCACTCACTCACTCATCCATCTATGTGTCCAGCAGATATGAAATGGAACTTGTGTCTGCCATTTGCCTGCCTGTGCTGGGTATTGGGGACACCACGGTGAATGAGACGGCCAAGTGCCAGTGTTCCTAGAGCTTCCTGACGAGGAGGAACACGGGTAGTTAACAATGAAACAAATCGATAAACAAGGTCGCTTCAGATCAGATGCCAGGGCCATGAGAAAATACATGAATGTGGCCGAGTGGCTGGCAGGGGCAGGAAGCCCTCTACTGTGTGGTCAGGGACAACCTTTCTGGCAGAGCCAAGTCCTGACCGTCAGGATGGAGCTGGTAGGGAGGCCAGGATGGCAGGTGCAGAGGCTCTGGGACAGGAAGGATGTGCTGGAGGGACAGGATGGCCAGGGAGCAGTGGCGGGGAGGACACAGCCCGGGAGACGGGCTCTGGGAGGAAACTCGTAGGGCCGAGGAGACCAGAGTTGGGGTGAGAATTTCATCAAGACTTTCTTTTATTCTGAGCATAAACAGAAGCCACGGGCCAGGCAGGCGAGGAGCATGGAAGTGACACTACCTACCAGCGTCTCACACTAGAGCTGTGGTCGTGCAGAAAGGAGAGGGAGCGGCCAGCCAGGGCGGGGCGGGTGGAGGCTGAGCAGAGGCCCAACTGCATGGGCACCGGACGTTTCCCAGGCTGGGGCTGGGTGTCCGGGAGGAGAGGACCCAGCTTGAGCTGCTGCCGGTGGTGGAGCCACTCTACTGGGGAAGGCATGGGGAAGAGGGGCAGGAGGAGAAAGTGGAGGGTGAGACCCCGTGGTGCCCGGTCGAGATGTCAGGGTTGCCCAGAGGAGCACGGGCCTGAGGCTCAGGGCCTCTCCAGTGCTTGTTAGATAAATGAATGATGTGATCTTAGCCTGGGGCGCGTTGGGTTTCAGAAGCTGGGGGCGGGCAGGAGCCGACATTCCTAGAACACCTTGTTCTGTCTGGCACCTCTCATAGAGGATCTGACACTCACTCCACATCCCTGAGAGGAAGGTGCGACCATTCCAAATGAGGAAACCGAGGCTCAGAGAGCTGTGCACCCTACCCAGTGCCGTCTGCCCCAGGACCAGCTCTGCGCCCAGGCTGGGTCTCCCCTAGTGGCCTGGGAAGTGGTGGCCCTGAGGCTGACTGGGGCCCCTTGGGGGCTCTGTGTGTGTCCTCAGACCCCTACCTGTGTTGGGCTCACCAGCTGCTCTCACAAGTGACCACAAGGTTAGTGGCTTAAACAGCACATAACCCCGCCGTGTGGTTCTGGGGTCCAGAGTCTGATCGGTGTTGCGGGCTACCTTCCTCCCTGGGCTGGCATTCTCCAGCTCCTGGGGTGCCTGCACCCTGTGCGCCTTCCCCCGTCTTCATAGCCAGCAGCGAAGTGTGCCCCTCTCCTGCCTCCCTTCTTGCCTTGTAAGGACTCTCCTGACGCCATTGGGCCTACTCCGATGGCCCAGGGTCTTCTCCCTTTCTCCAGGACCTCCGTTTCATCACATCTGCTAAGCTCCTTCTGCCATGGGAGAGGACATACAGGCTCCCGGGACTGGGACATGGGCAAGTGGAGGGGGCACATTATTTTGTCAACCACATGACCCCTTCTGTTGCGAAGGAAGTCCTGGGGATTCAGGAGGCTTTGCTAGGCATGTTTCGACCTTTAGTCATTCTGTCTCTCAGCTCATGACCCCCCTACCACGGGCTGCCGTGGGCACAGGAGCCCCTTCCCCTCCCTAGGCTGCTGCTTCCCTGGGATAGGGCATTCGAGGTCCAGGCAAAAAGGCCTAAGGGGACCCAACATCCCCAGAGGCCCTGGGTCTGCCTCCCTCGTGGTCAGAGTGGGCTGAAACTGCCTGCCTGGCACCTGGCTTGGGAGAAGCTGGAAGGACCTGCCCCTGCTGCGTCCTTCCTCTCAATTGCATCCGGCACAGAGCTTCGTCAGTGTTCACAGCCAGCCCGCGGGAGAGGAAGGGCCCTGGAGAAGCTGTCGAAATGCAAAGCATCCCCGTCCTAGTTCTCCTCCGCTGCTCCTGCAGATCCTCCCCTCCTCAGGGAAGGTTGGGAGCCATGGTGGTTAGGATCAAGCGGCCCCTAACAAAACCCCACTTGACGTGGTCTCCTTCTACCCCACCTAAAGACTGGGGCGTCAGAGAGGTGGAGATTCACAGAGAAGTAACTCAAACCCAAGACAGTCCGTTCTCCAGCCAATCAGGAGCCTGGGCCTGTGCTGCTAACAGCTCCTCGACAAGCAGCTGTGCAAATCCCGCCCCATCCCGCCTGGGAGAGGGAAGGAGGAGCCAGTCCTGCCAAGAGGCGGCTCATTTGGTGGACCAGGAAATGGAGGGTGGCAGGAAGCCCGACGGGGGCCAGCCCCAGAGAACAGTGGGAGAAAACTGGACCCTACACACCCAGACACCAGACTCAGGGTTTTCCGTGGGGGGGGGGGGAGGGCTGATGACCCCCGCCTGAAGGCTGTGGGAAGGTGCTCTGCGGGGTGGTGAGGAGCGGCCGAGGGAGGGGACACATGCGCTGGCATCCCTGCCCACCTCCTGGGGACCAGCCGGCCGGGCTGCTGCGGTCACAGAACTGGGTCCCGGTTCTAGGGCTCACCTTGTGATTGAGCAGCGGGTCCCCCAGGAGGCACCCACTCTTCTCAGCTGAAGCTGACAGGCAGGCTGCGTGGCCCCTGGGCTGCCCGCTCTGTCCCTCAGGGCCTGCCTGGGGAGCGCCGATAGAAGCCGAATGCTGGGGGAGCCAGGAGTAGAGCCAGCCCCTGCGCGGGCCACAGACGGGGTGAGCTCCCAGCAGCACCCGCGCTTTCACGTGTGGTTCCTTCCTGTCCCCCAGCGGCAGTTTAGAAACTGCTCCAAAGCAGCTTGTCTTTGAGAAATTTTTCCCATTATTTATCCCAGGTCCGTCCTGGTTGGAGTCGGGGAAGCCATCTTGTAATGGACGGTGGCCCTGGCTTCTCTTCTCTCCTCTTATATGCTCCTTGCAGCCCTGCTCAGCAGGGTGGCTGTGGAGAGTGGGGCCCTGCAGAAATGAGCCCATTTCCTCTGATCCCCCAGGACTGGACACCGCTTGTTCGGGCCCAGAGTCAGAGAAGCGAATTGGCAACAATGGATGTGGCCGGTGTTGCTGCTGACGGGGTCACGAATCCTACCCGGGCACAGCCCTGCCATGCGGTCACATGTTCTCATTGCAAGGCAGCTGCGAGCATCGCCGCCATCATCATCACGGTCATTAGACCCGTTTCCACCACATTTCCTCAGCTGTACCCTGGGGGTCCCAGGGGAGACCAGGACATCCTTTTGAATTCAGGAAGCTTAATGCTCTCGGACAAAAACAGACCTCTGCTCTGCCCCGTCATAGGAAGGTTTGCTTTTCCTCTGTGTCATGGGGAAGAGTCAGCGTCAGGGGATTTGGTGCCTGTATGCCTGGATCTGAGCTGCCGGAGCTGTAGGGGCTGCCCCAGCTGTGGAGCAAGGAAGGAAACGGCTGCTTGCTGAGCACAGAAATGCATTAATTTGGTCGGCAGTCATTGTGGATGCCAGGCCTCGGGGTAATGTGACCCACCGTCCCAGTTTGCCTGGCACTGAGGGTTTCCTGCAATGCAGGCTAAAAGCCAAACTAGCCCTGGGCAAACTGGGATAGTTGGTCACCCTGGGAGCAGGGACAGAGCAGAGAGCAAGACAGGTGCTGCCTGCCATTCCAGAGCACTGCCCTCCTTCTGCAATGCTGGCCACACAGGAGAGCCTGTGGCAGGAGTGCTCGCTCTGGCTGGGTCCTCTCTGCTCTTCACCCCTGCCCCCAGTCTGGGAGGTCAAGATCATCATCCCAGTTTCATAGATGAGATGGAGGGGGCACCAGTTGTCAAACGGCCTTTCCCAGGGTGAAGGGAAGTCAGAGGCAAAGTTGGGACTGCAGCCTGGCCTCCTGCTCCGACAGGGTGTGGCTCTGCCCACAACCCCTGCCAACCCCTACCACCCTGGCCTCACACCTAAGTGCCACACATTCCTTCCCCTCTTCTTAGAAAGTAGCAAAGAAAGGTTCCACCAGCAGTGTTCACAGGGACAGCTGGCTCCAAGCCTTCATCAGCTTTCTCTTCCCAAGGGGTTGTACAGAGCTGGGGCTAGGAAGGGTTAAACAGGCAGGCCAGCGTGGCTCTGCCCAGGAGCCCACAGACCAGTCCTCTGCTGCCCCAGCAGCCCACACAGTTCTCTGCAAAAAAACAAAACAAAACAAAAAAAAAAAACAGGGCAGGGTGGTACTGAGCCAACTACCCTTCACTGATTTGCACATAATCGTATCTTTCCCTTAATGGAACCAGCAACCAGGCTGCCCCATCTGCTCTCTCCATCTCCCCACCTTTTATTCAAGAGGCTCAGACCGCGCCTGGTTCGGTTCACTGTTCAAGAAACATTTACTGAGGCCTGGCTTGGGTGGCACAGAGGTAGAGGAGGGAGAAGGGCTGGTGATGGATTGGAGCCTCCCTGTGCTGGGTTGCACAGCACAGACAGGTAACCAAGGCTGGAGACGAAAGCCGCTGCCCCAACAGCACTGGGCCTCAAGACAAAGTCCCTCAAATGCTCATGGGTACTGGGACGTGCTGTGACTGAGCTCCTCACAGCAAGAATATGAACTTGTCACAACTGTTAGCATTAGAATTGGCTCCATGTTACAGAAGAGGAAACGGAGGCCCAGGAGGTGTAGTGACATACCCTGGGGTCCCATAGATAGAAGCGCTCAAGCTCAGGTCCTTCTGGTCCTACCTTCTGGACTCAGCAGGACAGACCAGCTGGGAGAACAAAGAGCCCGTCTTGATGCTGTCTGCTGCACATCAGGCACTGCTGGAAGTACTCAGGGGCACTATACATAGCCCAGTGAGCAGGGCCTCAGGACCCCCAGGTTTATCCCAGCCTGGTCAGACTCAGTGCAGGTGGCCCTGCACATCCAGAAGTGTAGGATGCAGCAAAAGCTGGGATTTGAGGGCAAATCATAGCCTTGAAAAACACTAGAATAGAGAAAGGTGTCCTTTCCTCCAGGAAGCCTTCCCTGATGCCATCCCCACAGTGGCACAGAGTGAAGGGCTACTTCCCTGGGCCCTATAGTGGGCACCTGTTGAGTGCTGTGTCATGCAGAGGCTTGGCATGCCCCAGCTCTTGGCTGAGCGTTCCTTCTCCCACTGGATTGTGAGCTTGCTCAACAGTGGGTCATGCTCATCACACTGGCTGCAAGGGCCAGCAGCCAGCTAATAAATCTTGGAATGAATGAATGGGACCAAATGGTTTCTGCAGCCCCTTTCAGCTCCAGCCCTGAGGATGGGGAATGGGCACAGGCCTCCAGCCTTCCTGGAGGGCAGTCTGACCTATCAGCCTCTCTTAGAAATGTTTATTTCTCTTGTGCCACCCATTTCATCTGCCTCACTGTTCCAGGAACATAAACTCAGAATTCAGACAGAGCTCAATATAAAAAGGTGTGCATCAGTCACTTACACTGGAAAACAGTGGACACGAGCCACATTCAGGTGGCTCCCTAATAGCACAGGCCATGTCCTCATCTCCTTATCATAAGCCACGCACTGACTTCTCTCAAATGAGAAAATAAGGACGCACTGGACATGAATGTTTCAGAATTGCGTACCCTTAAACCTCTCTGGCACACGGGCTATGGAGAGCACTGATGTCCCAGGAGTCCTTCTTCTTGTGCCTTGGCCACGAGATCCTCTGCTGCCTGCCAGGCCCCCACAGCCTCCCTGTGAACCCAGGACCCTGGATGGCAGAGGAGACAGGCCTAGAGGCTCTGAGCCAGGACTCGCTGGGAATTGGGTGTGGGGACTTTCAATATCCTGTCCCCTCTGCCCCCATCCTCTTCAGGGGTCGAAAGAGTGGCTTGGGGTCTTAGAAGGTGCTTTCCTCCTCACCTGCGTGTGAGGGCAGTGGAACCCAGGCAGGACAGCAGGAGGCCCAACCACACCTGAAGTTGCCTGCTCTGGCCTGACCGTGTGAGCCAGGCAGGCCAGTCCTTAGAGGACCTTCCTCTCCAGGCTGCAGTGAGGACACCCCACAGGGCCCTCCTTGCAGCCACAGAACAGAGGTCAAGGGCAGAGGGCTGTGGGTCAGGGTGTTTCCAGGATCCTCCGCTGCAGGGTGCTGGCACCAGGCCCGGCCCAGGATGCCCGTGACTGTGTTAAGGGGCAGAAGGGGTGGGAGTGCTCTTGTGGCCCACCTGCTCTCCCTATGCGTGTCACCATCATGTCATCCTTATTCCACCTGCCTGCCTTGATAGCCCACAGCACAGGATCAGCCACGGCAGACCATGGGGCTCAGGCTGGCTCCCAGGGCCACGCAGTTTGTACTTGGATGACATGAAGTCAAATTGCAGGCTGCGGGACCTCCCACTTCCAGGACCTCCACAACAGGGCCACAGCAGGTGGCCTTTGCCCAGCAGGAAGGGCCCCCCACCCCACATCTTAGCCTGCTAGGGCTGCCACAGCGAACGACCACAAACTGGGTACTTGAACAACAGATGTGTGTTCTCAGTTCTGGAGGCAGGAAGGCTGAGACCAAGGTGCTGCAGGACCATGGGAGGTTCTGGGGGCTTATTCTTCCCTCCTTCAGTTCCTAGGGGCTCCAGCCACCCAGGGCTCCTTGGCTCCTGCCCGTATCCTCTAGTCTCAGCCTCTGTCTCTGTCTGTGCTTCCTCCTCTTCTGCCCCATATAAGGACATTGTCACTCACTACAGGGCTCACTCTAATCCAGAATGAGCTCCTATCGGGACCTTTCACTTAATTACATCTTCAAAGACTCCCCTTCCCCAATACGGTCACATTCTCACGTATCTTTTGGGGATCACCATGAAACCTGCCACCCTGATCATCAGCTCGCTTCCCTGAGAGAGGGCACACTCTCTCCGCCCCCACCCCACCCTGACCTCAGCCTCCTTCCTTGCTGCTGCCCAGTTAGGAGGCGTCCTCCTTGTCTGCAAGCTCTTGGGGCATGTAAGCAAGGAAGGGAAGAGGAGATGAATCCATGCTCCTTCGCCCAGGACCAGCTCCCTGCCTGGCAGGGTCCACGGGTCCCAGAACCGTGCCACTTCCCTGAGCACCTGTTCTGTGCTGAGCTGTGTGTCAGGCACCCTGGACAGGCTGACAGAATGAAGAAAACACAGTGCAGCCACTTTATAGGGAGTGCTGGAGCCCACTGTGCATTCCTCCTGGGGAACGAGATCAAGACACCACCTCCTGGGGTGTGTGGTCTTGCAGCCACTGGAGGAGAGGGACCTCGGGCCTGCCTGTGCCCCAAAGCTCACCTGACCCCTGACCTGCGGCACTTTAGGGCCTGTAGGGCCCCTTCCACGCCCTCGCCTCTACGGTGTCAGACTCTCACCTGGACAGGAGTCCCTGACTCACTAGAGAGCTCCTCCCCTTCTAGGTGGGCTGTGGCAGGAGGCCCTCCCAGAGGCCCCTCCATTGGGGTGCAGACCCCTTGAGTCATAGCTCTAGCCACCACACCCGTCTTTGCCAGGTTCCTCTTCCGGAGACCAGGAACTGGTCACACATCTGTGTCCCCAGTGTCCAGCCTGGCAGGGAGTGGGTGGCAGCCTTGAAGAGTGAAGGAGGGAAGAAATGAATGAATCAGCGAGTGGGTGGGGTAGGCCGGCTGGGCCGTGCAGGCCAGCCCAGCCCCCGACAGTCTCGTGTCCCTTACAGATGTGCTGGTGGACGGACAGCCATGTGACCGCGAGGCTGTGGCGGCCTGCCAGGTGGGCGACCCCGTGCGCCTGGAGGTGCGGCTGACCAACCGGAGCCCGCGCAGCGTAGGGCCCTTCGCCCTCACTGTGGTCCCCTTCCAGGACCACCAGAACGGCGTGCACAACTACGACCTGCACGACACCGTCTCCTTCGTGGGCTCCAGCACCTTCTACCTCGACGCGGTGCGTGGTGGTGTGCAAGGCGGTCTGGGAGCCTCTGGCCATGTGGTCATCATCCCCCCTTCCCTGGGTGGTGGGCTTTGGGGTCAGCATATGTCCAGCAGACGATAGCAGCAGGGGTTCTGTGGTCACGTGTGCACACTGAGTCTGAGTCTGCCCCATTCACTGCAGGAACTTAGACAAGCTCACCTGTCTCTCAGTCCTGGACAGTGAGGCCCTCAGGGTTGGTGAAGCAGGAAAATGTGCAGGGAATGGGAGCTGTGCCCAGGACAGGGGGCTGCTCCATGATTGGACCCTGCTGTGGCATCACTGTGATGTCACTGTCACCCATCCCGTGCCTGCCGCTCCTTCCACGGAAAGGCTCCAGCCCTACGCCCTCAGCCCCCACCTCCCACCTCCTACCTCTCAAGCTGCCTCTCAGCACCTCACTGTCAGGCCCCAGCACAGGCTAACATTCCATTCCCCTCTGCCCCAACCTCTCCCTCACTCCCTCCCACACTCCTGACCCTCCCACACTCCTGACCCCCTGAGCCCCCAAACAATTCAGGAATGGGAATATTGGCAGCTCCTTTCCAAGATGAAAACTGGCTCGGAGAGGCGCAGTGACCTGCTGGAGGGGGCACTGGAGCCAGGCCTGGGCGGCCCTCGCTTCCCCCATAACACCTATGTCCAGGCAGATTCCCAGGATTCCTGGTGGCTTTGGGTGGCCCCTGCTGCTGACCAGACTGATGTGTCTTTCTCCTCCCTGCTCAGGTGCAGCCGTCCGGCCAGTCGGCCTGCCTCGGGGCCCTCCTCTTCCTCTACACGGGAGACTTCTTCCTCCACATCCGGTTCCACGAGGACAGCACCAGCAAGGAGCTGCCACCCTCTTGGTTCTGCCTGCCCAGTGTGCACGTGTGTGCCCTGGAGGCGCAGGCCTGAGCCCGCCTACTTCCGTCCCTCTTTCTGCAGGGCCAGAGGTGACCCTGCCTGGCCTCCCACACCCCCTGCAATGAGCAAGGCCTTCACTGCAGCCCCATCTCCTCCTCCTCCCCCAGACCCCTCCCAGCCCTCTCCTCCTGTTCCTCCTGTAGCATCTTTGCTGGGCTACGCAGAAGCCCCGGACATGGCAGCCCCACCCCATGCCACGCCCCTTCCTACACTGTTCCCTGGACCATACACAGGCTGAAGCAGAGGAAATCCCAAAGCGGGTGCCCATCCAGCCCAGGTCCCAGGATCCCTGCACCCATTTCTGTGACCTGGGGCCCCAGCCGTGCTGTGCTGCTCATCCCAGCAGAGGGACCTCCCTCGTCCAGCGACTTCCCTTTGGCCATAGAAAGAAATGGTGAGCATGAGACTGGGCACAGCCTGAGGGCGTGGGCAGCTTCCCACCCTCCCTGGGCCTTGGAATCCCCCAAGGCTGGTTTTCTTCCTGGAGACCCCCATGGGCAACTTGGCAGGAGAGATGGTGCCGTAGGAGGTCGTGGATGGTTGATGCCAAGAGAGGCCCTCCACCCGTGGTGGGCAAATGTCCAGGCCTGGGCTGGCAGCCCAGGGCTGTTTCTGGGTGCTCCCTGGCCCCAGGGTGGCGTCTGGTTACCATGGCTGTGTGTGTCCATGTCTGCAAGCAGTTCTTCAATAAATGGCCTGCCTCCCCCTCCCTGCCTCCCTGCATCTGCTAGCCCAGTGCAGTCCGGGGCCCCCACCCAGCCCGTCAGCCCCCACCTCAGGTGGCTGGCTTCCCAGCAGAAGCCGGACCCAGGAAGGGACGGGTTCTGAGTTAGAGATCTCACATAAGCAAACGCTGAGACAGGAATCTGGTCACCAGCAGCTTGTCTGGGAGGTGGAAGGAGGCCTGCAGGGGAGGGAGATCACCAGTGAAGGAGTGTGACTGGGCCCGAGCTGCCGCCACAGTGGGCAGCTGGCCCTGCGTTCCTCAGGGAGGACCGGAGAGAGAAAGCACACGGCTCACATCTCCCTTGAGGGCCAGAGCTGGGGTGTGTCTACACTACCCACAAGAGTCCTGTTCTGGGGGCAGGCTTCTGGCTGTGTTGACCCTTAGCTCCCCAGGTCCCAGGGAGGATAAACAGCCCTTGGTCCCCAGCAGATACCAGGCTCGTCAGGTGCCCGTTGGGCACTGAAACTCCCATGGAGTATTGGGGGACAGAGAGCGGGGCTTCCTAAAGGCCAGTTGGCCAAACAGGCAGAGCCAGGAAGTGGCTGCCCTGGCCTCCCATGGGGCAGAGTCATGTTGGCATCAGGAGGCCTGCGGGGCTGAGGGAACTTCCTGAGGACCTGAAGTCCCAGGCCCAAACCTCCCTCGCTGGGAGCAAGGTCACCCTGTGGCCTCCGGCCTAAGGAACAAATTTTTTGTTCCATCTGTGGCCTCCTGTTGTCGCTCAGTGAATGATGGGAGCACACTGTGATGTGGTGTGGGCTGGGGGCATGTGGGGGCGGGTGTCCAGTGGCCCTCAGTTCCTGGAGCTCATTCAGCATCTGCTCGAGGCTCCCCAGGGAAGGCAGCCCCAGAAGGTCTGGCTGCAGTAGGGGGTGGAGACCCCAGGGCGGTCTCTTCAGCCCTTCCGTTCAGGATGCCTCAGCGTAGTTGAGGGCCTGGCCACCTGGGCTGTTTCTGAATGGAACAAACAGCATCCATGTGTGTCAACCTCAACAGAGCCCAAAAATACGCCATTGAATGAAACAACACATTGCAGGATGATGGGCTCAGCCCAACCTCACTTGTGTAGACAATGTCCCCCCAAATTATAAATTTTCTATGCCTCAGAACGTGTCTATAACAACATGTTTAAAAGGTAGAAAGGATACACATCCCCTGTAGAAGAGTGACCTGAACTGGAGTTGCATTTGACATCTGATGTCAGCATGAGGGTGCTGGTCACCGGGGACTTGAGTACGTACTTTCCTTTCAAAAGCACAATAGATCAAGATACAGGTACACACATAGCTACAGATATAGATCCAGCCACAGATCCAGATTAGATATAGATGCATATAGAAGCCTAGAAAAGCCAATATGGAAAACTCTGGCAGTGTTTGATTCTGAGTGGCAAGCATATTGGTGACTGTAATTATTTCTTGCAGTTTTCTATATTTTTTAGTTTCCCAAACTGCAAAAAATACCCACAACAGTTACCAGAGAAAATGCTGGATGCCACAAGAAGGAAGAACCTCAAGGGGCAGGAGGCAAAGTTGTCTTCTTGGAGGAGGGGGTGTTAGAAATAACCCAGGCCTCCTGGAAAATGACCCAAATACAGCCTGGCTCTGCCAGCCCCAGGCCCTTCCCCACCCCCAGGGCACCCTTTCTGTCCCAGTAGAGAAGGTGACCTGGAGTCAGGCCTTGTGTGTGCTCCAAGCGTTTGGAGCTTTACCGTGGGATGTGGGGAGCCAGGGGTGTTGTTTGCTGGCATTTCTGTGGCTGGGTCTTTCTGGCTGTGGAGCTGTGTTTGTGGGCAGTGGCTGAGATGGAGGACCTGGGGCAGGTGTCTCAGTGACAGCGCAGTATCCTCCAGCCTCTTCCAGGGCCCCACGCTACTGGCTACCTGGCAATACAGTCCAGCAGTTGCTGCTTCTCTAGGCCCCTGGTGCATTCAGAAACCTCCTGAAGGCCAGCGGAGGGTAAGCCAGGAACAGATCATGTCCATTGCACTTCACTAGCTGAGCGAGTTGGTTCTGCCCTTCTGATCCTTGGTCCCTCAGGGCCAGGACAGGCCCGGTGACCCCATAATCATGCAGCCGTCATGCTCCGTCATCTGAAATTCACAAGGAAGGCAAGGATTCAAAGGAAGATGTCTGAGATGCTGAACTCCAGCTCAGCCACTTGTCAACTCCTTGACCTTGGACAAGTTACTTAAATTAAGCCTTGATTTTTTTTCATCTGAATAAATAGAGATAAAAATACTTATTTCATGGACACTTTCATATCAGTTTATTTGATTTAACCTCCTAGATTTTTTTTTAGCACATGATAGCAACTTCTTAATAAATACTGGGTCCCTTCTCCTAGCCTTCCCATTGCTGTTCTTTTTAATTCCATCCACATGTCCTGTGCCTGAAATATCCTGTGCCATGTGCCTGAAATTCCATTCTTCTCCTGGAACCCTTAACAGGCCACATTGCTATGCTCCGTTAGTCCCCTGCATGGCTTAATGTATTAGGTAACATGAAGCATGTAAGGAAGAACTTTCTAACACAGGT
Organism: Homo sapiens; assembly: GCF_000001405.40. NCBI lineage: Eukaryota > Metazoa > Chordata > Mammalia > Primates > Hominidae > Homo > Homo sapiens. The sequence goes on along the minus strand of NC_000008.11, from coordinate 139,727,787 downwards.
GCTGAAATGGGACAGGAAATGCTGATGGAGTGAGCTCTTTGTCAATAGAAGTATTCAAGCAAAGTCCGGACCTGTAGATGGTTTCAAAACATGTAAGCATCATTTGGGGCTTCTGAGCCTACCAGCCAAGAAATTGTCAATGATGACTTGTTAAGAGGTATTTCTGATCCCAGTAAGCAGGGAAGAGAGAGAGATGTATGTGACCACATGGCTCTTGGGGCCTCAAGCAATGTCTTAAGACACAATAAATTTTGATCAAAAAAGGCTTTCAACATGAAGGGCTAGAGATCTAGACTAAGGGTCTAGGCTAAGCCTCTTACTGAAAACACATTTGTAAGTGCATCCATGACCCGGCAGGAGAGTCAGAAATATTCACCCCAGTACCTGTGTGTAGGCAAAGTCCTGGGAGGTGAGCTGTGCACTGATGCCAACTTCCACTTTGAGGGGTTTTGCCAAAGCTGGAGTATCAATGTCTTCAGCCTTCCAAAACTGGAGGAAAGATGACAAAGCTCAGGGCCCACTGGCTGGGGAATCGAATAGATGACTGCTCCGCATCAATTTGAGAGCCTAAAGATTACACCTTTAGTAAAGGATGAACTAAAAATAATCCTCTTCCCACCCTACTAGGAGAGTAGATATAACACTTCCCTGTCTTGACCCTTTGATTCCATCTTGACCCTTTGATTCCATATTGACCCTCCCATGAATTTGCAGTCCCAAATTACACTCCCTAACTGCCTCTTCCAAACCTTAAGTTGTTAATTAATTTCAAAGACAGACAGCACTCCATAATACAGGTACCAGACAAAGAAATAAACACATCCTTTCTGGAGGAATTCATTTTTATCCAAAAACCTGCAAGAGTTTCTATGAGGAAAATGATTATTTCAGAGTTTAAAAACAAAGAAAATCATGAAATACACAAGGAAGCAATGCATCATGAGTGAGAGCTAGGAGAGACAAAATCAGCAAATGCAGGGTTGAAAAGGAATCATACTGGACTTATCAGACATAGACTGTGCTTAACATGTTATAAGAAATGAAAAAGATAAAAATGGGTAAAGAGCTAGAATATCATAAAAGAATCAAGCAGAACTTCTGCAACTGGAAAACAGAATTGATGTGAAATATTTAATGAATAGCTGAAAGAGCAGATTAAACTCCGTTCAAGACAGAACTAGTGAATGAAAGGTAGAATTGAAGATGTTATTAAAAACAGAAACCAGAAAGACCAGAAAATATGAAAGAAATGTAAGGAAACATGGAGGACAAAGTGAGAAACTCTCAAATATATCTAATTGGAGTTCCTGGAGGAAAAGATAAAAAAATGGAGAAAATGCAGTATTGAAGAAACAATGACTGAGAACTCCTTAAAACTCATAAGGATAAAAATCCACAGATTCAAGAAGTCAAAGAAATTCCTAGTAGGATAACATTTAAAATACACAGTTGACACATCATAATACAATTTCAGGAGACCAGATGCAAAGCAAAGGGATGATTTTTAAAAGAGAAAGACAAGAAAAATTACTTCCCTAAGAGTGGCAATTAATTGACAGCTGACTTCTCACCAAGAACAGTGGGGTCCAGGAGTTAGTGAAATAATATCGAGAATGTGCTGAGCAACAAAAATACTTTTCAATGAGTAAAATAATGACATTTTATTATAAACAAAAGCAGAGTTTTCCACCACCAAAACTTCTTTAAAGGGAATTTGAAATACAAGTAGAAGGAAATTGATAGCAGATGGAATGTCAGAGATGCAAGAAGGAAGGAAGAACAAATTCAGTGATACATATGTCGGTAAATCTAAACAAACATTTACAGTACATGTAATAATAATTGTGAATTGTTGAGTTACAGCATAATAGAATTAACATATATAGCAAAATAGCACATAAATGTTGGTGAGGGGATGATTGGAATTAAACTGTGATAAGGTCCTTTCATTTCAATTTCAAAGGTTTAGGAGGAGGGTAAGGATATTGATTGACTTAGACTTGGGCTTTGGTGCTTTATTTATGAAAGTTTCAGCCAGGCATGATGTTTCACGCCTGCAATTCCAGCACTTTGGGAGGCTCAGGTGGGAAGATCACTTGAGCCCAGGAGTTCAAGACCAGCCTGGACAACATAGCAAGACCCCATCTCTACAAAAAATTTAAAAATTAGGGGTGGTGGCTCATGCCTGTAGTCCCAGTTACTCATAGGGCTAAGATTGGAGGGTCACTTGAATCTGGAAGGTTGAAGCTGCAGTGAGCCATGATTGTACCACTGCACTCCAGCCTGGGGGACAGACAGAACAAGAATCTGTCTCAAAAAAAATGTGTCCAGGTTTCCATTTCTGGAGTAACTATCAAGAAGATGAAAAATAGCATGAACAACTTCTAAATTTGTGAACCCCAAAACTGGAATAAGGAAAACTAATCAGTCTAAAAGAAGTCAAGAAAGGAAAGAAGAAAAACTACAGAAAGAAATAGAAATGGCAGAACAAATAAAACCACAACCCTAATGGTATTAATAATACTAATAGTGATGCTTACACTTAATATAGCCATATGTGTTAAGCATTCTTCTAAGATTATATATATAAAACCTTCATATGTATGCTATAAAATATAAAACAAGTATGCTTATAAGGAACTCTCTATTCCTTCCTTAGGAGATATATAGATATAGATAAGCTTACTTACAAAGTCTTTTTTTTTTTTTTTTTTTTTTTTTTTTTTGAGATGGAGTCTCACTCTGTTGCCCAGACTGGAGTGCAGTGGCACAATCTCAGCTCACTGCAACTTCTGCCTGCCAGGTCCAAGTGGTTCTTCTGCCTCATCCTCCCGAGTAGCTGAGATTACAGGTGCCCGCCACCATGCCCAGCTAATTTTTTTGTATTTTTTTAGTAGAGATGGGATTTCACCATGTTGTCCAGGCTGGTCTTGAACTCCTGACCTCAGGTGATCCATCCACCTTGGCCTCCCAAAATGCTGGGATTATAGGCATGAGCCACTGGTCCCAGCCAAAAGTCTTTAAAGTAGATGTTGCTATTATCCCTGTATTACAGTGGAGAAAAATGAGGCACAGAGAAGTTATGTAACAGCTAAAAAGTGATTATAAGTTATGGAAATAAGTACCTACAATAAATGAAAATATACTAAATCTGTTAGCTGAAAGATGACAAAACCCACAAAATCAGGTTTATGATGTTTACAATATAGATTAAAACATAAGGATACAGAAGGTTGAAATAAAATGGCAAGAAAATATGTAACAGAAAAGTCCTAATGAAAAGAAATTATAAGGCACAAAAACCAAAATTACTCTAGAAATAAAGACAATAATATGATGATAAGAGTAGTAATTCACCAGGAAGCTATAATAACTCCAAATTTGTATGCAACTAATAATACAGTGTCAAATACATAAAGCAAAACCTGACAGAACTATAAGGAGAAATAGACAAACCAATAATTACAGTGGAAGATTTTAACACAGCTCTCTCAGAAAATGAAAGATTAAGAAGACAAAAATTTTAAGGGTAGAGAAGATTTGAAAAGTCTAATAAATTTGACCTAATGGACATATATAAAGTATTTCAACTGCTGTACAGAGACATTTTCATCAAGCAAATATGTTATTGTTTGTTTTATGGCCCAATATGTAGTGGAAGGACTGTATTATAGATCACATTATCTGAACCCAATATGATTCAGTTAGAACTTGATCACTTTTTTGTGGTTTAATTATCATTTTAATTTTTTATAATTATAAAAGTCATGTATTTGGAAATTAGGTAACACTTCTAGATAACTCATAGCTGAAATAAGAAACCACCATGGAAAGTAGGAAATATTGAAAATGGACAATAATAAAAGTATATGTCAAAACATGTATGCTTCAGATAAGTCAGTATTTAGAGGGAGAATTTATAAACTCAAATGCTTGTAATCAAAAGAGGAAAGTGTGAAAGTTAATGAGCTAAGCACCATCCCCAGGAACTGAAAATGATGGCAGTAGAGATCAAAGAAAAGAGTAGGATATAATAAAGATAAGATCATAAATTAATAAAATAGAAAAGAAACACACAATAGGAAAAAGCCAATGGTTATTTATTGAAAAAGCTGATAAAATGGAGAAAACTCTGACTAGATTAATAAGGACAAAGAAAAGGCACAAGTAACCGCATTACAAATAAAGGGGACATCCGATATTGCAGACAATGATACAAGGATATTATAAATGTAAGAGGAAATTATGAAGAATTTTATGTCAATAAACTTGAAAACTTAAATGTAAATTGTCTAGAAAAATGTAATAAAATTTATGATAATAGACTACATAATCCTAAAGCCAGTAAAGAAATCAAATCAAGGTAAAAATCTTTCCAAGAAGAAAACTGTAGGCCCAGATGGTTTTTAATCTAATAAATATTTAAGGAACAAAAAAATTGTAATGATATACAAAATGTTTACAAATGTGGAAAAAGAGTAAACACTCAAATATTGTTATAAGGTTAGTATAATCTTAATACCAAAATCTGACGAAGCAACATGAGAAAGGAAATTTCAGGCTAAATCAAGTATCATTTAAAATGCAAAACTTCTAAATGGTAACAGATTCAATGATGTGTGAAAAAGTTAGTGTATCATGATCAAGGTGTCTTCATTCAGAGAATGCAAGGTTGGTTTCACATTAAAAAAGCATTAGTGAATTCACCCCACTAACAAATTGGAAAAAATCATATGATCATCCTTTGATGATCATATCAAAAGCTTTTGATAAAAATCAACATTCTTTCATGATTAAAAACTCCCCAAACCCAAAAAGAACTCTTAGCAAGCTAGGTCTAGAAGATAATTCCCTTAACCTGATAAAAGACTATCTGTAAAAACTGTATACAGCAAGCCTTATTCTCATTATTGAGGTAGGAATAAGACAAGGATGCTCATTATCTTCACTTTAGTCAACATTGTATAAGGGGTCCATACTAGCACAGAAAAGCAAAGAGAATCACACATAAAGGCATAAAGTCTAGAAAGCAAGAAACAAAACTCATGTACATTATATCATCAATAACAAAAACTAAAGAATCTTTAGATTTACTAGAATTGTATTCAGCAAGGTTGTATACAAAATTGATATACAAAAATCTACAACATTACTGCACCATAGCAACAAACATCTAGAAAATAAAATTATAAACTTTATTCTTAGAACTTCAAAAAATATAAAGAACCCATGGTAGGAAGAATAACAGCATCTGAAAGATGTGTACATCCTAATTCCCAGAACCTATGATAATACCGAGTTACATGACAAAGAAGAAGAATGAGTACAGATAAAATTAAGGTTGCTAATCATCTGGTCTTAAGATAGGGAGATTATCAAGGTAGATGTAATGTAATCATGAGAATTCTTAAAAGGGAAAGAAGGAGGCAAAGGAGAGCCGGAGAGATGGCAGCAAGAGAACTTAGCTCAATGTCGTTGGCTTTGAGGATGGAGGAAGGGGTCAAAAGCTAAGGAATGCCTCAAACTTCAGAAGCTGGAAAAGGTAAGGAAACATGTTCTCCTGTAGGAACTCCATAAGGAATGCAGCCCTACTGACACCTTTATTTCTGCCCAGTGAGAAGACTCATTTCAGACTTCATCCTTCCCGGACTGTAAGATAAGGAATTTGTGTTGTTTTAAGCCACTAAGTTTGTGGCAATTTGTTCCTCAATAGGAAACTAATACAGAAACCAAGAATAAATCTTTCCTTTAATATCCAAGACCTTTATGGAGAAAGTTATAAAAATTTATTGTAGGACATTAAAGAAGATCTAAATAAATAGGTTGGAAGACTCCTTCTCATAAAGTTGTAAATTCTTGCTAAATTGATCTACAGATTCAATGCAACGCCAATAAAAATCTTGACTTTTTTTGGTGGAATTTGGCAAGCTGATTCTAAAATTTATGTAGAAATGCAAAGGTCCAACAACAGCTAACATACTCTTGAAGAATAAATCAAAATGTATTGTTATGCTAAAGCAATTAGTGTGGAATAGACAAATGGACCAGTGGAGAGCCCAGAAATGGACATATCCCTATGTGAAGACTTGATGCATGACATATCACTATCACATACCAGTGGAGAAAGGATGGACAGTTCCTTACACAGTGCTGGGAAAATGAGTAACCATAGGGAAAAAGATGTTGGACCCTACTACACACCATATAAAAAATGCTTTCTAGGTAAATATGTAAACATGAAAGGCAAAGTTATCAAGCATCTAGAAGACATTATAGATATCTTTATTATCTTGGCATAGTGAATGGATGTTCTAAATAAGACACAAAAAGCACAAGCCATACAAATGATAAATACAGCTATGTGAAAGTTAAGAACATTTGTTCATCAAAATTTACCACAAAGAGAGTGGAAAGACAAGTCACAAATGGAGTAATATGAAGAGGGTCTGACACTGTACTGAGAATATTCAACCTGGCAAGGATATGTGACTTATCTTCAGAATCCATGGGGCAGAGCAAGATTCATGACTCCAACTGACTGCAAATGGGTCATATCTCCCATAGGAGGAGGAGAGAATGGGATATAGTGAACACCATAAGTCTCTGCCACTTCTAGTAAAGTTGAACTAGTCATAGGCTATAACCCAACAATTCCACTACCAGCTACATACCCTTAATGAAACCTAAAGTCTCATGCAACATAATATATGTTCCAGAATGTTTATAGTATAATTACTAATAATAGGAAAAATGACAAAATTCATATGTCATATTAAGACTGGAATGGATACACTATGGCATACTCTATAGAATAATACTACACAATCATGAATATGCAACAACATGAATGCATCTCAAACACAATGTTGAAGGAACAAAGCAAGGGATAGAAGAATACATGCAGTATGACTCCAATTAAGTGCAGTTCTAAAAGCAAATCAATGTATTTACTAAGGATATATACACAAGTTGAAACACACACAAGCAAATGATAAAGACCAAAAAGTAATTAACACGAAATTTAGCATACTGATTCCCTCTGGGGGAAAGAATAATGGGATTTGTGAGGAGCAAACAAAGAGCTTTAGAAATTAGGAAATGTTCCATTTCTTCACCTGCACAGTGGAAACTTAATTAATCTAGGTCTCTGTCCAAAAAGTGAGATATTCAATTCAGATGATGAGAATTGTCAAAGACGTGGCTTTTGGTTAAGAAAAAAAGAGAAAGAATTTTAAGATCCTTTGGCACTGACCCAGCAAACCAATAAAGAATTCTTCCTTCCTTCCACCTTTAGAATTTAGTTTGCCATTTCAAACCTGCTGATTAATCACAGTGTTCTCCTGGCAGCCGCCCAAGCCTGCTCCTCTGTGAGTGAAGCTGGAGCCCTCAGGCAGGAACGCCTTTAGCACCACGGACAGCGACCTACAGCTACCACTCCGGAGACAAGCCTTATAAGGAACTCAGTTGCAGAAGGGCAGAAGTCTTAAAAGTCTTGGCCCAGGCCCCCAAAAAGCTGGTGGCAGAGCATGAAATAGAATCCAGGTCTCCTGATGCCTAATTCAGTGCTTGTTGTATTCCGCCTGGCCTTGAATAAATGGACTGGAACTTTTCGACGAACCAGGAAGTCACCAGAGGACATGTGAGGCTTCCATGTCTGCCAGTGAAAGCTTGGGCTTCACATCCAGTCTCATTTGGGTTTAGATCCGGACTATGCCCGTTAGATCTGGACTCTGCCCTTGCCATTTGAATGTCCTGGGAAGTCACTGCACCTCTCCAAGCCTCAGTGCTGATAGTATCACCTCCCTACAGAGAATTCAGTGACATTAGGTATATCTCATGCTCAGGATAGCGATGTGCACACTGCTGCTTATTTCAAAAAGAGGAAAATTCCCTTAGCCTTTCCCATAGTGTGTTTCAAATCAGAAGGGAAAGGAATTGGTTTTCTGGAATGTGTAAAAGATGCTGAAACCATATTATTGTTTAGAGCCTGCTTTGGACATAAACCCAGTAAAATTTCCGTATAAAATCTTGGCATTTCCTAAAAGATATTAAGTCTCCATTGGATGTCTTAGATCTCTCCAGTCTTGTTAATTTGAGCTCATCAATGCACTAGTAACCCTTGCCTAACATCTACTTGCTTCTGTCATGCCAAAAGATGCTGGGAGAAGAGGGGTGACAATATCCTACAAAGTGTCCTCAGGGCCAAGGGTCCTCAACCACACAGTGCATTCCCAGAATAAACCTAATAGGGTAATGTATTATCTTTTTGAGATGTACTGGATTCTATTAATGTTTGGTATTATTTTATTTAGAAACTTTTAACTTATAAGTGCCATTCATGTGTAGTTTCTATTATCTCGTACTACCTGTACTAAAGTTATTCTAGATGCATGGGATGAATAAGGCAGTTTTGCTACTTTTTTATGGCTCAAAATAGTTTAAACAACATTGAAATGATTAGTTCTTTAGAAATTAGGTACAACTCAGCTGTAAGCCTGTCTGATTCTGCTGCCTTTCACTGACAGGTCTCCAATCACCTTCTCCAAATGGTAATTGGTCTGTTACAATTTTCCATTTTTTTCTTGAATTGATTTTGGTAATTCTACTAGAAAATCATCCATTTCCTTGAGGTTTCAATTTGTTATCACAGAGTTGCATATAACGTTCTCTCATAATTATTTTTTATCTCCCCTGTATCTGTAGTTATATTGGTTATGTCTGCCTTCTCATTCCTAATCTTGTCTAATTTCAGTCTCTTTCTTCATTCTCTGTAACTGGACTCACGAGAGTTTTTTTTTTTCTATTTTATCAGCCATTTCAAAGAACCAGCTTTTGCATTTACTTATTCCTTACACTATTTTTTAATTTTCTGTTTCATCAATTTCAGTTCTTATCTTTGTGAATTCCCTCTTTGTTTCTTTTATTGTTCCTTTTCCTTTCTTGAGACAAGCAGTAAAATAATGTTATGTTTAGTCTTTTTCCCCTTCTGATAAAGACATTTAAGGCTGGATGTTTCTAAACAGTCTTAACTTCCCTCCCTATCTTTTAATAGGAAACACTCTCTTTTTCTTTGTTTTCCAAATAGTATTTAATTTCTTCTTTGATTTTCTCTCTCATCCAAGGATTATGTAGGGATATTTTAAATTTTTAAGTAAAGCATTTTTCTTGGTTTGCTCCCTTTTAATTATTTATTTCTACTCATATGGGATATGGCCAGAAGCACATGGCCTGTGCAAAACTTTGTTCTTGTGTACTTGAATTTGGTAAAATGTTCTTAGTTTCTATTATAAACTGATTTTTAGCCAGGTATAGTGTGGCATGCACCTGTAGTCCCAGCTATACAGGAGGCTGAGGTAGGAGAATCACTGGAGCTGTTTGAGGAGTTTGAGACCAGCCCACGCACCGTAGTGAGACCCCATCTCTAAAAAACAAACAAATAAAAGTATTCGTCCATTGTATATCATATGGATGGTCACATCTATTTGTTGCATTTTTCAATTCTGATGTCATTCTTTGAAGTTGGTTGTTTTGAAAAATTTTAAATGTACAGAAAAGCAGAGAAACAAGTATCATGAACACCATACACATTGCAAAGATCCAATAACTGTGCATATATTGCTCTATTTTTTTTCACTGGGGTATTAAAAGTAAATGATAGGCTTCATGGACTTTCACTCCTAGATGGTTACGTATCCACCTTTAATAACAAAGGGTGCTTCCCCACATAACCATGATACCATTATTGCACATGAGAAAAGAACAATAATGTCCTATGGCCTTCTAAAACTCTACTCATGTTCACATTTCCCTAATTGTTCCTAAAATGGCCTCTTAAATCTGATTTGTTCAAACTAGGATTCAATCAGCCGGCATACAATACATCACACTGCTGCTTCCCTGTCTAGTATTTTTTTGTCCATGTCTGATAGAAGTGTGCAGTTATCTCTCATTATAATTTTCTTTATCAAATTCTCTTTTCTTTCCTAATACTTTTTTGCTTTATATATTTAGTTCCTCTTTTTTTCCCCATACAGGCTTATGGCTACATATTGTTTCATTATATAATTTTTTTTTTTTTTTTTGAGACGGAGTCTCTCAGTGTTGCCCCAGGCTGTAGTGCAGTGGCCTGATCTCGGCTCACTGCAACCTCCACCTCCCTGGTTCAAGCAATTCCCCTGCCTCAGTCTCTGGAGTAGCTGGGATTACAGGCGCATGCCACCACGCCTAGCTACTAATTTTTTTGTATTTTTAGTAGAGATGGGGTTTCACCATGTTGACCAGACTGGTCTCAAACTCTTGACCTCAGGCAATCCACCTACCTCGGCCTCCCAAAGTGCTGAGATTACAGGCATGAGCCACTGCGCCCAGCCGTTTTCTGTGTATTTCTAATACATGGCTTATTATTATCTTTTTTCTGTTCATTTTGCTTGTTGAACCCAATATGACAGTATTTGTCTTCTAATGGGAGAATTCACTTCATTTAGAGTATTAACTTTAGTTAATTAACGTAATTCCTACAATATTCTTTTGTTGATTTTTGCCATTTTTTGTCCTTTCTCTTTCTCTCATTTTTGATGGTCTGATTAAGTTGTTCTTCCTTCCATTTCTTCCCCTTTGTTAATTAGGAAGTCCCTACCATATCCTCCCATTGCTTTCAAAGCCACCTCCTTTTCTGGCTTGTATAACCAGGCACAGATTTCTCTACTATTGGCTGAAAACAACCTGCCAACTATTTCACCCAACAAGATGTTCTATTTCTTTCATAATTATTCTTCTTTGGTCTAAAAAGGTGACACTTCTAGAGTTCTTTTATTTTCTTCCTCTCCCCTCCCCTTCAAGGATGAGACTCTGGAAAATGTCTAACTTCCCCTCCCCTCAGCTCCTAGAGGCTGCTGAGCTATAGCTTTTATGAAGAGCCTATCATTAGAATTTTCCCTTCCAGTCTGGACCTCCTATTTCAGGAGCCCTTACTCAGCACTTCCGCTGTGCAGTCTGAGACAGGTCTATCCTTATTCATTTTGATTTAATTTATCCACATATCAAGGTCTGCTGCTCACCACTGTGTCTTTCCCTTTTCATCTCTCTTCATTTTGTGGCCTCTATTCTGTCTCATTTGTTTTTGGGTTTGAGTCTTCTCCCGAGTCTTTTCCTCAGCTGGGAGATGTGGGTGATTCAGGCAGCATGCTCTCAAACTTCTCTCGTTTGCCTTCCCACATGAGGGGGAGCTTGCCTGGGGACAGGATTCTTGGGTCAAGGTCTTTGCTGAGTGGGAAGCCAAACTGCACTCCCCAGGCATGACCATGTGACATGCTGCAGTCAGGAAACAAGATTGGAAGTGATGTGGGACATTTCTGGGCAGAAGATTTCAAACCCATTGCAGCATTTGTCACATTCCCTTTCCCTGCCAGGGATCATGAAGCTCTTATCAGAAGAGCCTGGCCTGTCTGGGAGGGACCCCAGGGAACAGAGCTACCTGCAAAGCTACCCATTGACTCACACGAGCAGGAAATAAGCCTTTGCTGTTTTAAGCCATTGATTTTTAATTTTTTGAAATCTTTTTTTACTGCTGCATAACCTATCCCATCCCGATTGATTCAGAAACCTATAGGATATGGGTGCTCTTTCTCTAGGTGTAACTGTTCTTCTCCTGTCTGGCTGGCGGCCCCTTACATGTTATAAGTTTTCTTTATCAGCTCTTGAGGGCTCAGGTCTGAATGTCAAATGCCCCTGGGTAAAGATGCGGAGATGCAGTTGAACCCAGTAGAGAGAAATTGATTAGGGAGGAGGCCTTCAAGAGAAAACCGGAAGGGTCTGAGAGAGGCTGGAGAACTATCACACCAGCATGTAGGCCTGGCCCCAGGTGAAGACAGAGGGAAAGATGAAGGAAGCTGTGGTCCCCAGGGCCTGGCCTTGAATCTTTTTCCTGCATACTTTCCATGATGCCAGAAAAGATGGCAAAAGTCATAGTAGAGATGAGTGCTGGGTTGGCCGGAAGTCAGGTTGGCCAAGGACACAAGGAGTGGGGGAAGGGGACGTGTTTGAGCTGACCTGGGGGGCCTTGTTGCTGATGATGAACCATGGCCATGGTGATGGCCACATGAACATATGCTGTCAGCAACATGAGCTCCCGGGGGCAGGGATGGTGCCCACCTCACCTTTGTATCATCAGTACCTGGACCAGGAATTGGCCAAGCAGATGCTTAACAGATGTTTGTGTCAAGAAAGAATGAACATGTGTTTCTCTCCTCTGGTCCTGAGGCTGTTGGACTCTAAGGTCTAGTTTGGGAGAGGGAGGACTCTGGAGTGGAAGCACCAAGGAGGTGTCCACCTGGACCAGAATCACAGAACCTCACTCTGGGTTAAGCCTTACCTGCCATTTCTCCCATCTGTCTGACCACCTGCTCACTTCCCCTTCTACTGGGGGAGTTCCCCTGCTTCTCCCCACATCCCCCTCTTCCTCCCTGATGCCCTGATCCTCCTGCTACCACCTCTACCCGGCTGGGTTTGGAGTCCCCAGGACTGCTGGTGTGTGGGTGTCACTGGTGCCCCTGTGTGAGGAGAAGCAAGAGTAGCTTGCTACAGAGTGAGGTTCAAGGCTAAGGACAGAGGCAAACATGACCAGCTCACATCCAATCAGTGCTTCCCTGTGCCAGGAACTCTGCCAAGAGGAAAACATGCACCCATCCCCACTTCAAGACAGGAAAACCAAGACTCAGACTGGCAAAGTGACCAGCCCACAGCCAAACAGCAGGTACACAGTGGAGTCAGGATTCCAAACCAGGACCATCTGACTCAAGGCCCACTCTTTTGTGCTCTCCTGAGTCAAGGTCAGAGACTGAGCTAGTGCAGCACATGGCTCACATTATAGATTTTCATCCACCCCCGTCCCACCTGATTAGCAAGGAGGCTTCATTACATCCATTCTGCAAGGGAAAAGCTTGAAGCTCTGAGTCCAGGGCCCTCACCCAGGACATCTTGGTGCTTGGGCCAAGATCTGAACCAGGTCTGCCCAAGAACACAGCCTGAGTTCTTGACCAATATCGCCTCCCTCCTTGCAAAAGGTGTTCTTTCCAGCCACCTCCTCCCTCAAGCATGGCGGTCCTGAAGTGCCCATACTCAAGTTGGCTTTGATTTTGGGGATATTCGCCAGTGCTCCAGACTGCAGAGTTGTCACTACCCAGGGGAGACCAGCCTGATGCCTCCTGACGTCCCAGGAGGTGGCACCGTCTCTGACCTTATGCTCAGGAAGTTCTCCTAACCCGCTCTGGGTACCTCCAGAGCTGTGTCAGAGCCAGTCGGGATCAGGTAGAATGTGGCTTGCCCAGGGAGGCTGACCATGCTGGGGACAAGTGGGGCCTGGACTGGCTGCATGGGCTTCTGCTCTCGACACATCCCAAACCAGCTCTGTGGCCGCGGGCCGAGCCCTGTGTTCAATGGAGACAGGAATCTCTGCCTGGTCCCATCCTGGGCTGTACTGTGGGAACGTGGGAAGTGCCCAAAAAACCGGAGCGCCACTTGAGATGTGCTTGCTGGGGAGGATGGTGGTTCTGGGCCCAGACAGAGCCTCTCAGCAGGGCCGGTCGGGGCATCAGTGTTTCTCGTTCCTCTCTGGGGCCTCCTCTGACCTCCTCCCCTGAATGCTCCATTGCCTTTGCATTGCCATGACTCCCTTGAACTCAACTCTTGACTTGGGGGTGTGAAGTCAGTGTTTCCTGAAGCCGGCTCCCCACCAACCTGCTAAAATGGTGCAGCTAGACTTCCCCAGAGGCAAAATCCTTAGGATTCAGAGTCGTTTTTAAATGTATTACTTTACTTTCTCAATTTTTGTGTAAAAAGGTATTGATTTTGTGATCAAAAATAGAAAGGGTAGGGCCAGGTGTGGTGGCTCATGCCTGTAATCCCAGCACTTTGGGAGGCCGAGGTGGGTGGATCACCTGAGGTCAGGAGTTTGAGACCAGCCTTGCCAACATGGTGAAACTGTGTCCCTAATAAAAATACAAAAATTAGCTGGGGGTGGTGGTGTGTGCCTATAATCCCAGCTACTCGGGAGGCTGAGGCAGGAGAATCGCTTGAACTGGGGAGGAGGAGGTTGCAGTGAGCCGAGATCATGCCATTGCACTCCAGCCTGGGCGACAAGAGTGAAACTCCGTCTGAAAAAGAAAAAAAGGAACATTATTTTTTTAAAAAGGGTCCATGACTCAGCCTGCCACCATTAAAGAGATTTCAGGCATTGGAGTGGCAATGGGAGAGATCTGGAGAAACGGGGACACTTCCTGGTGCTATAAGATCACATTGTGTCTGCCAGGCCTGTTCCAAGGCACTGGGAGCCAGTTGGTGTTAGAAGAAGCTGTGGGAACTTTACCAAACTCACCCCAGCAGCCCCTGGTCCCTGTGAGTGGACTTTGACACTGTGGAGGTGGTCAGGGTGGCAATGGAGGCTCAGCTGCAGCCCAGCTGAACCTGAGCCATGCACACCATAACCTGCACATGTTTACAGTCATCAGTGATGGTGTCATGGTGGCTTGAACTGGCCACCCATTTCTTGGGGGTCTTTTTCCCTCCAGAATCAGAAATACTATCAGAGATCTCCCTAGGTCCCAGGTCCCTGTCCCTCAGAGGCCAGCAGGAATGTGGATGCTGAGATCCCACACCCATCCAACAAGGTGTTCCATACCTCAGCTCTCTCCTCTACACAAAGCACAGAGTGCATTTCTGTGAATGCGCAAGGGAAGTCCAGACCTGCCTGTGCCTTCAGGAACCATTGCACTCTAGACCTGCCTCCTGTCCTCTTTGGGGCCAAGGAGAGCTGACCTCTGATCTTGTCTTGTGCCACTTTTCCCGGCTGCCCACACCCTAGCCACATCAGCCACCTTGCTCTTCCTTGAACATGCCAAGCTCTTCCACCCTCAGGGCCTTTCCATCCGCTGTTCCCTCTGTCTGGATGCCTTCCCTCTGGGTCCACAAATGTCATTCAGGCCTCAGCTCAAATACTGTCTCCATGGGGACTCTTCCCTGACCAGTGCATCCCAAAGGTCTCCCCCTACACCACACACTGCCTCCTAATCATTGCCTTCTGTTTGATCATCTCCCTGCAATCATCCTTGCAGCTTATCCTGCTGGTTAACTGGTTCGTTGCCCATCTGTGCCATTAGCATATCCACTCCATGCAAAAAGGGACCTTGCAGGTTTTGCTGCCTGGTCCCCAGTACCCCTTGTAGATACCAGTGGGAAGAACTGGGTTGCTGAGCTGCATCAGACTCCCTGGGGAACTCAGGATGGCCTGGGCCTGGGTTCTGGGGACCCAGAAGGTACGTGGTGTCTCCTTATACAGACAGTTATTTCCATGACCTTGGGCAAGTTCCTAGACTTCTCTGTGCCAGAGTCTCATTTGTCAAATGAGGAAGATGCCTAATCGACAACCTGCCTTCTTGCCCTATGGGAAGGGACTTAAACCTGGATGAGCCCCTGCTGTGAGCCAGGCACATCCTAGAGGCATCACCTGTGTTGGCTCAGTGCTCACAGCAACTGTGTGAGCCGGGAATTCACCCATTTCCCTGCCTAGGGACAAATGCCAGACTGAAGTACCCTCTACTGGGAAGCCTGCTGGGACCCCCCAGCCTGAGCTGATTGGGGCTCCTGCGGCCCCCACATGATCCCATGGGCCTCTATTTCCCAAACCTGCCATCTCCCATCAACCTCATATTGCCAGCAAGTGAAGGGAGCAGAGAGCAGCTCAGAGGCAGAGAAGCCTCTCTGAAGCCGGTGTACTTCCAGAGGCCACCAGGAGGTAATTCAGTTTAGTAAATGTTATCTGGCCCTGTGCTGGGTGCTGTGCTGGATGCCGGGGACATAGATGGATTGGACACAGGCCCTGTCCTTAGGAAGCTCCAGGGGACAGTGGGAAGTGCTAAGGGCAGATGCTTTTGCAGTGGAGAGCTCTTAAGGCCATGGCTCAGAACAGCTTAGGGTCCAGGAAGGCCTCCTGGGGCAGCGCCAGTGCCTGAGGGGGTCTTTGGGGGCCTCTGGAAGCACCCAATCCTCTCTTCCCTTTCTCTGGGAGTTGACAGCGCCTGGAATGATACAAATGATACACCTGTGCATCCCCGAAATAGCAGCGGCGTGTGCAGGGACGCCGCATCACACTGCGAAGTTGCTGCCACCTCTGCTGCGTTTGCAAAAATACCTTCTGCCACACAAAGGTGAAAATGGCAGAGGCGAGAAATAGGCTTCTGAAAAGGAAAAATATTTAAACACCTTCCACAGGGATCTGTAAACTCTCGGCACAGGCACAACTAATGCTCCATGTGACTGGGCTAAAGTTAGCTCCCACAGGGAGGGAGCTGGCTGTGTAGTAGCGTCTCCACCGTCAGCGTGTGGCGGCTGGCACCGCTCCCTTGCTGGCGGGCAGTTAGGTGGAGAGAGGAGGGCAGCATGCCCTCTACACTCGGAAGAGAATCAACATTGGCTGAGTGCACAGTGGGCACCCAGGCCTCTGCCAGAGCCGTGCAACCTCGTATCATGACTTACCCCGGAGGGGACCGGCTCTTTCTCCTTGTTTCACCAACAAGGAAAGAGGCACAGAAAGGGTCCCTCACTTGCCCAAGGTCACACAGGGCACAAGCAACCACATCGAGTTTGGAACTGGGCCTGACTGGGAAGCCACGTTCATCCCGCAGACCAAGGGGGCTTTAGAGATCGTCTGGGGAAAGCCAGGGATTCCGGTGATGGAGAAGCTGGGGATGCTGGGCGTGTGCTTCAGGCACAGGCTCATGCGATGGAGGGAGAGTCCTCAGACCCGGGGTCCAGGCTTCGCTTTGGCTCTTCACCTGTGCTGACACTTTACAGGTGTTCTGGCTCAACTTCAGCAGCGCTGCAGGCGAATCCCATCTTATCTCCAAGTGCAAGACAAGGAGGCCTGACAGGGTGGCTTTCCTGGTCTTACAGCTAGTGAGTTCTCAACAAGCTGTGATCTTTGTTTTTAAGAGCGCATTTTTATTTTTATCTTTATTTTTAAGAAGACAGGAGAGCTGGGTCCAACAAATGTCCCCTTACTACGCATGTCTGATTATTCTGGGCATTGGGTGGGGGTAGGTGACTGAGGGAACGGTGACCAATGCCATTTCCTGGCCACCAGTCACTATGCTGTCACCACATCCATTTTATTAATCAGAGCAACAAATGCCTGGCAGCCTCTGCTTTGTGCCCAGGGCATCCAGAGAGGGAGCTGGGGACAGAGATGTGTTCCCTGCTGCCCTAGAGGCCCAGCTCCTTAGCCCAGCCCTGGATCGCAGTGAGAGCCTGTGGGCAGAGACACACACTGTCCTCCCACAGCCGCTCACCCCTCTTGCTTTGGAACAGCAGGGTATCCCTGGAGTATCAACCCTGCCTCACCTCGGTTAATAAGATCCTCATGGCGGACATAGGTTTCATACCTGCTGCAGCCCCTCTTGGGATGTGTTGGCCAGAGGAGCCTCTGCAGATTGTCCGATTGATCCTGGCAGCCACTTGTGCAGTGCAGCTATTTATGGGTCAGGCGTGGAGATGGGCAGTGGTTCAGGCCGCATTAAGAAGCCTGATATCCACTAATCAGATTTCCTCTAATAAAGCAAGGGCAAGTGCATGTGTGCAGCTTGGTGTGGGGGGGGCGTCCTTGGCTTAAGCAGAGAGGGCCTTGAAGGAGGGGGGCTTGGCCTGGCTTTTCCCTCCTTTGCTATGTGATCTTGAGTCTAAGAATGATCTGCTCATCTATTAAAATGAAATTCCTGCTCTTAAAAGCCCCTAGCTCTGGGGCAGATCCGCCCCACTCTGGGCCCGATTCCACCTCCCATCCTGTTCCTGCACAGTGTGGGTGTTAGCCATGCCAGCGCCTTTGCCCACGTGGCCACAAGGACACCCCATGGCACACCAAGAAGCTTCGAGCTTGAAAATGCCCAGGAAGACCACCAGGGCTTGGCATCTAAGGGAGAGACCCCATCCAGTTTGGGCTCAATTCACCCACTCACTTCCTTGGCAGCTGGAGGTCTAATAACTCAAAGGTCACCTGAGCTCAGCCAGCCTGGCCTCGGTTCCCCTCTTCCACCACTGGCTCTGCCCCTTGTCTCTCAGAAATTCCGAGCCAGGTTCCTGCCTCCCTTCCTCCTGGCACTCACCTTATCACTAACTGAGTCCTGGGGACTCCTCTTGCCATTTTTGGATTCATCAGGGAGCCAATGAAACAAGTTCTGAGCACCTACTGTGTGCCGGGGCCTGGGTCACCTCTCTGTCTTCCATCTCAATCTTCTGGCTGCCACAGTGGCCCAAACCCTTATCGCCTGTGCCTGTTGAAGAAGGACACCACTTTCCCCAACTCCTGGCCCTGCAGAGGCAGTGCCTTTCAAAGGACTCCTCCCATAGCAACTGTCGTAAGCCCAGAGAGCCTTGGCTTTGTCACTGGCCAGTGGGAATGATAGCAACAGTCTCACAGAGTTATCCTGAGGACTCAAGCTAGAGCAGGGAACGTGCCAGCCCAGGCTCCACATCCAGCAGGTGATTGAGACATGTGCACTCACTGGAATCAGCACACAGGGGCCTCCTTTCTCTGTGCCACATACACCATCACTGCCACTCTCTCCTGGCTCCTCTCTTGTCTCACACTGGGTTTAAAATCTTCTTTGCCTTCTCAGCTGGGGTCTTGAAAGGAAACAGGTCAGTGCTGAGTCCAGGAATGGCCTTATGTGTACCCCTGCGTTCAAGATTCTCAGGCTGTAATAGACCCCAGCCGGAGACAGTGCTGGGATCGATTAGCAATGTCTGCTCTGGACAGAGGTGGAGGGAAGGGCAGGCTGTATGCCAGGATCAGTGAGCCCACCCATGGCCCCACTCCTCTCTATAGCCTCATTCCCCTCTCTTTCCACCACTTGAGCCTCTTTCTCTGCTTTATTATTTCTCTTCCACCTCTGTCTGTCTTGTTCCTTTTCCTCCCTCCTCGCTATATTGGACATCCACAGACATTAGAGCCAAGGCCTAAACCTTGGGGGCACTCTCTCAGTCATGGCCTGGGCCATCTCTGCCATATGCACAGCCTTGTGTTCCCTGACTCTCCTGCATCTACTTCTTCTGCCTTCCTGTGAGAGGTCTCACAAGGAGTGATGACTGGTGATTGAACCAAACTCTGTTCTTTCATTCTCATCAAACATTCATTGTGCACCTACTGTGTGGCAGGCCCTTTGTGGCCAGGTTGGGTCAGATGTGGCCCCTGCCTTCAAGGAGCTGAAAGTCTGGGGGGGGGAGAGTGGCAGTCCCCCAAATGAGTCATTGTGGTAGAAGCATTCTGCCAGGAGTACATGCAGGGACACAGGGGTCTAGTCCAGTCTGCAGGGGCAGGGAAACTTCTGGAGGAGACACTGCCAGAGCTGAATCCTAAAAGATGAGGAGGAGGGGCTGGGCGAGAGAGGTCATGGAGGCCAGCTATCAGGATGGGAATGCCAGGCTGAGCTTAGACTTGACCCACAGGCTCATGGACAGTTTTCACCATGGATGTGCAAGAGTCAGCCTGTTAAGAAGGTGGCCCTGGTGGCAGGTGGAGAAGAGAAGGGGAGGTTCAGTTGCAGGCAGCAGGGACAGTGAGGTGGCTGAAGGATCAGAACTGGTGCAGGGCTTGTCTATGCAGAGCGAGAAGCGGAACCAAGACCTCCTGCCTCCCAGTAAAGGTATCTGGGCTGGCCAGCAATTCCCCAAAGCACAGTCCTCAGGACCCGATGCTGCAGCTGAATGAGTTTGGGAAACACTGCTCACAGCACTCCCATCTAGGGGTCACCATGTCTGTTAGCAGAACAAAGGCTCTGAGAAGTCTTGCACTTGCCCCCGTTTAACCCAATGTTTCTCAAACTGTGTAACCACACAACACACTTGTTCACATCCTGAAGAGGAGGCTGGGAACCCCTGGATGAGCATGGCTGCCTGTCTTGGGAGTGCTTTTCTCCGGAATCTGACACTGCTGGAGGTCTAAAGTTATCAGCTGTGCCATCAACTGTGCAAATGTCACTGGCCTTGAGAAATCAGCTAAGAGCAGAGTGAGGAATATCTACTTTGGGCAGGGAGGCCACTGAGGAAGAGGAGACTCATCACAGACTCTCTCTGTGATTTGGGGCCACTGGACTCCTTGGTGCCTTACCTTCCTTGAAAGGACATAGGTCAGTGTTAAGTCCAGGAATGGCCTTATGTGTACCCCTGTGTTCAAGATTCTCTGGCTGTACTAGATCCCAGCCAAAGACAGTGCTGAGATCAATGAGCGATGTCTGCCCCGGGCAGAGGTGGAGGGAAGGGCAGGCTGTACGCCAGGATCAGTGAGCCCACCCATGGCCCCACTCCCCTCTTTAGCCTTCCCCATCTGTAAAATGGGTATGATGAGTGTGCACCCCTGCCTATTTTCAAAGATGTGGGCATTAATGTGACAAAGCGTTGAACATACCAAGGAATCAGGATGTCGTGGAGCAGCAGACAGCCCACCCTGGCCCAGACACACTGCGGTGATGTGGAAGAAGTACTGGCCTGGGAATTGGGTCCTCCCTTACTCACTGTGGGACCAGGATAAACTGCTGGGCCTCTCTGGGTAAGAACAGGGGCTGCAGGCACACCCACTGTGTGTAAAGAATGAAGCAAACAAGTAGGCAGCAAGCAGATAGAGTTATAAAACCATGATGTTCTTTATTAGCTAATAAGGTACATCTGTTTTTACAGAAACTGAGGTCCAAGGGAGGCCCATGTTGGGGCTGCTGGAGGGCGCAGACAGGCTGTAAACACAGCGCATGGGCACCAGGAGCACCGGACAGGCTTGGGACCAACTGACTGTGGCTTAAGCCCACAAGAGAATGCACTTGCTCACCCCAGTTGGGTGGCTCGCGTGTGCGCCACGTGCCTGCATTGGGGTTCTCAAAGAGTCGGGAAGGACCCGCCTCCCTCCTCAGGTCACCTATCTGCTGACAGCCCTACCCAGAGGAGGGCTCTGATTGGTTGAGGTGGGCCTTCACACGTCCAAATCCAGCCAATCACCGTGGCTCTGGGGAATTCTGGACTCTGATTGGCCACACCTCAGTTCCACACGCTTCTCGAGGTGGGGCTAGAGTTGGGACACCCAGACCCACCCGGGCTGCCAGGGAGGCAGGCACGCAGAGGCGCTGCCCCCAGCCAGACTCTCTGGGCTGCTGTGTGGCACACACCATCCGGGATGGATGCTGGGGATGTAGGGAGGATGCTTGATTGAGCCCCAGGCTTTGCTCCCAGGAGCTCCCATTCCACCCGCAGGTCCAGCGCCTTGGAAAGTGGCACATGTGGGGTGTGGACGGGCGGACGAGGAACCCTCTGCTTCCACGGCTCAGACACTGCCTGGGAGGTCCTGAGTCCACGGGTCTATTCCCACGGGTGGAAGAGAGGAAGAACCAGGGTCTGGGGGCTGGTAGGTGGCCACTCAAGGCACTCTAAGCTTGGGGCCAGAAAGCAGCGGGGGTCCTTAAGCCACGGAGAGGCTTCCAGGGCTGGCTCCACATCGGAATCACTGTGGGATCCTGGGCACGTGATCCTGTCTTGCTGGAAGTTTTCCCATCTGTAAAACAAGGGGTTTGGAGTAATTCATCTCAGAGGTCCTTCCAGTACTCATACAGCGGTTGCGCTTTCCTGAAAGGCTGTATGCAAATGGAGTTCCGTAAACCAAATCGAAGTGGCTCTGCAGAGCGCGGCGTCTGCCGGCGCGCCCCTCCCCCGCCCGCGCTGCCGCGGGGACAGCCTGGACTTCCCCGCAGCGAGGCCGGCTGCGCGGCCGCCGCGTGGGTCGGAGTCCAGTGCCCCCTGGTGGCGCCGAGGCGGGCAGGCGGCTTCCGGACCGCGCGGAGGCCCGACGGCTGTGACTCAGGGGTGGCGCCGCTGCCAGGGCGGCGGGAGGCCTGACTGGGGTTCCGTCGTGGGCTGAGCCACGGCGCAATTAATTACCAGCTGCTGGGAATCCTTGTCGCCCGCTCGCGGTGACTCACCCGGCAGCCAGGCTCACTTGCCGAGCGCGGGGGCCTTGGTTTCCAAAATGAATCTGGGGAGAGTGCCTGCTCGGGGTAGGGCTCCCCGCTCCCTCGCCCCAGGGCGCCCGCAGACCCAGCGAGGACCTGACGGCTCAGACGTAGCCCACAGCGCGGGCTCCCCTTCCCTGGTGGGCACCCGTGATCCCTGAAAGTGGGGTGCAGAGCGTCCCAGCTGGGAGGCCTCGGTGAATCACTGGGGTCCCAGACCCTCTGGGCCCGGGGTCCCTGAGGCCAGGGAGCCCGAGCACCGCTCCAGGGGGCGACCCACAGAAGGGACTGGTCTCCTGGAGCCCGCGAGCTGCCCGAGGGTTAGGTCTGATTCCCCAGCCACCCCTTGGCCAGCTGCTAGCCTGCCGCCAGGCAACTCTTTCCCATCTCCATCCCTTCCTTGGCTGGGGTCAGGAGAGGAAGAGGAGCCCAGGGGTCTCTGAGGCTTGGGTCTGTCCTTTTGGAGCTCCAGGGCTCCAGGCGGGATTCAGGAAGCCGAAGGTCAAGGAAAAGCCCCTCGATAGCCTAAAGGGAGAGGGCGGGGAGGGGGAGGAGGTAAAGGAGGCCAAAATGGGAAGGAGATAAAGCCTGGAGAGGGCTCATCTGGAAGCAGGGAATAGGTGCGCCCCAGCCCGAGCCTCGTGTTCCTACCCCAGGTGGTCTCGAGGGGGCTATCGCGTGGCTCAGGGCTGCATCCACGGCGCACCTTGCGCCCAGCTGTGGGGAACCAAAGAGTGATTATATATATCAAAGAGTGATTATATATATATATATATATATATATATGTGTGTGTGTGTGTGTGTGTGTGTGTGTGTGTGTGTGTGTGTGTATTTTTTTTTTTTCCTTCAGTAAAGCAACAGAGAGGTTACTGGGTCGGGGGATTGCGATGTCTTTCCCCGCTGTCCTGACTCCAAAAGTGGCGGCCCATGCTGTCCTTAGCGCTCTCCAGGGAAACGACTCGGGTCTGCAGGTGCTGGCCCAAGCGGGCTGTGCCGCTGGGAGGCGAGGGGGCCGAGGCAGCCCTCGGGACCCCACCACTCCACGAGGCCATGTCCCTGGCCAATGACACGCTCCCGCGCCGGGTGGCTAGGTGGGGGGTGGGGGGTGGGGAAGACTTCGTGAACCGCTGCTGCCGCTCTCCTGTGTGCCCATGGCCCCCTCCCCTTCTGCTCCCCACTCTCTGCCCAATCTGCCTGAAGCTGTCAGCCTGCCATCTCTGGCTGAATCCCGTTTTCCTCCTCCAACCCCGAGTCCCTCAAACTCTCCACCCGCCAGGGCTGCTTGCGCTCTTGGGGAGCGGGGCTAGAAGGACCCAAGAAGCCGCGTTTATCCTCCCATCCCCCGCCAAAACCCGCCGGCGGCTCCGCCCCCGCCCCCTCCCTGGCGGCTCAGGCCGCCCCTCCCGGGCTCCCTCCGCGTGCGCCCTGCGCCGCGCTGGGTCTGCAGCGGGAGCTGCCACAGCAGCCTCGCCAGCTGGCTGGGGACCAGGCGGGAGGTGGCGCGCCCTGGAGGCTGCGGGAGGGAGGGAGGGAGGGAGGCCCGGCCTCGGCGTAGCCCGGCCCCCGCTCCCCGAGGCCCTCCCGCCGGAGCGGGGCTGCCAAGCGCACACACACACACACACACACACGCACATACACACGCGCACACACACATTCGGGCTCCCAACGGCGCGCACGCACGTAGCGCCCGGGGCAGACCAGCGCGGCGGCCGCCTCCCGGGACGCCCGGACGCCGGAGGGCCCCGACCCCCGCGCGGCTCATGCGCCCGCGTCCGCCCCGCTGCTCCGCGAGGCCCGCGGGACCCCTCCCGCCGCCGCCGCCGCGCCCGCCGCCCCCGGAGGAGCGGGCTGGCCGACCGCCACCGCGCCGTCCCCCGGCCGCCCCCGAAGCCGCTCCATCGCGGTCCCTGCCGTCCTGGGGCCGCGCCCCGCTCCCGCGCCTTGGGGGTTGAGCCGAGCAAACTTCGCGCACCGGCCGACGCCCGGCGGGGACCCCGCTGCGCACCCGCGCGCCCGGGTGGGCGCTGGGCGCGCGGACCTTTGGGGAGCGGGCTGCCCCTCCCGCTGCACCTGCTCGGCCCCCTCCCCGCTTGCAGGGGACTCCAGAGACACCGCCACTTCGCAAACTTTTCCTCCCCACCACCGAGAGGGGGCGAGGAGGGGTAAAAGGGGAAGCAGGTTCCGCTGGGCGCGCGGACCTGCAGGCTCCTTGCTGGGCACCGCCACCCGCGAGCTGGACCCACAGGGGTACCGGGCCCCGCGGCCGCCCTCCGGCCGCTTTCTGGCTCCGGTTCCCGTCCCTGCGTTTCCCGCGGGAGCGGGGGGCGGGGTGCGGAGGGCAGCAAGGCCCGCGCGGTACCCAGCGGGGCCGCCCTGCATGGCCCTGCGCAGTGGGGCGGGCTGCTTCGGCCGGGTCTGGCGCAGGGTGTCGGGGTTCCCGGACGCCTGGCCCCGGCGCTCGAGCAGCCTCCTGTGCCTGTCCGCCTTCTCGGCTGAGCCCGGGCCCGCGCCGCCCCTGCCCCGCCAGCCGCCTCGCGGTGGCGGTGGCTGTGGCGGCCCCAGCGGAGGGGGCCCCCCCCAGCCTCCCCGCCCCCCGCCTCCCCGCTGCTGCTGCTGCTGCTGCCGCCGCCGCTTACAACTTGGAGGCGGCGGCGGCGGCGGCGGAGGAGGAGGCGGCGGCGGCCGCCGGGCGCTGCAGTGGGACGCGCGCGGCTGTGAGCCTGCGGGACATGCCCCCCGCGCCGGCTCCTTGCTGGCGGCCATGAAGAGGCAGAACGTGCGGACTCTGTCCCTCATCGTCTGCACCTTCACCTACCTGCTGGTGGGCGCCGCCGTGTTCGACGCCCTCGAGTCGGACCACGAGATGCGCGAGGAGGAGAAACTCAAAGCCGAGGAGATCCGGATCAAGGGGAAGTACAACATCAGCAGCGAGGACTACCGGCAGCTGGAGCTGGTGATCCTGCAGTCGGAACCGCACCGCGCCGGCGTCCAGTGGAAATTCGCCGGCTCCTTCTACTTTGCGATCACGGTCATCACCACCATAGGTAAGGGCTGGGCGCGCCGCTGGGCTCCCGCGCCCCGGGAGGAGTCCGGGGAGGCGGCTGAGCGCGCCGCGCCGGGCTGGGTGCAGGGCGTCGAGGGTTAAACGCAGCCTCCCTTGGGGGCCTTCCCGCAGCGCCCCCTCCTCTCTAGGGAGCCCCCCCTCCGCGGCGCCTCCGAGCCTCACCCTTCGGGGACCCCACCCGGTGCTCTCCACCGCGCTGGTGTCTGGGCCGGGCGTGCGAGCCCCGAGCGAGTGTGCCTGAGCCGGGAGGGCGGAGGCGCCACTTTTGCGAAGAGAGTGGAGCGCTAAGAATAATCCCATAGCAGACACCCACCCACCCACCGCCCCGGCGCGGGCTGGGCTGCGCGGGGCTCTGAGCCTTACACTTACTACCTCTCTGGGAGTTGGAGAGGGCTGGCCTGGCACCCATGGCTCCTAGAGGGACTCAGGTGGCAGGGGAGTGCGCCTGGGGCGTGAGAGGCACTGACCCTCCGTAGCCCCTGGGCCCCGCTCCAGGCTTCTCTGAGCTCAGATTTCATCTCTCTTCCCCCCGCCCGGCTCCTTTTTTCCCCTGAGTTCCAGTTCTGGAGCTTGGACTTCCCAGGCCCCTGGGAGGAGAGAGTTTGCTCTCTGGTGCTTGCGTTGGGGGTGGCAGCCCCTCAATTGCTCTCAGTAGAGGTGGAGAGTGGGGGCAGGGCAGAACCTGCCCACTCCCTAGGCTGTGACACTGGGAAAGGCCAGTCTAGACATTGCCCAGAAACCAGGGAACTTGAGCCCCAGTCACGAGAGGGGGTCCAGCTGGTAAACTGCAGGGATGCCCGCCAGCCCCACTGCCAAGGGCGCTATTCACAGAGCAGGGTCTCTGGTCGGTCCCGAGGGCAGTGTCCCCTCTAAGGCTGGGGGCTGGGAGGACTCCCGGACGTTATACTTGGAGACCTGTGGGAGCTGGGGCAGGTACCTTCATTCGGGTGGACGTGGTGGATACCCTGCATGGCAGGAGGCAGGGTGGTGTCTCTGTGGTTCACTTGCCCCAGTGAGGCAGGCTGCCTCTCTAGGGCCATCTCCTTGGACTTGCCAAGGCCAGTGTGTTAGTGGGGGTGGTCTGTTTCCTGCACCCCTCAGGGCTTCACACCCCTGTGCCCTGGGCAGGGACCTCCTCCTTCCCCCCTCCCTTCTTCCCAGCTCCTCCTGTCTCGCTTCTCTGGACCTCCTCCTCTAATTTCCCTCTTGATATTTTTCTTTGTCTGGAAATCTCTGCATACTGAAAAAAAAAGGATTTCTCAGTGCCATATGCAACAGGAAGCGCCAGCACAGGACGGCCTGTCTTTCCTTCTTGGTTGAAAATACTTTTTAGAGAGTCATCTTGTTTTAAATGTTTAATTCATTGGTGCAGGTTTTTCTGTTTGTGAAGGAAATTGTCCTTCTGTTATCTACATAATCAGCTTGGCTCTTGCTTGCCCCACGCCCTTTGCCCAGCACCCCAAACACAGATGACTCCTTCCCTTCCCACACTGTGTTTCCAGCTTCTGAGAGGGCCAGTCATTGCCATTTTCTCTGGCTTTAAACTGTGGCAGTGGCACGCAGATGCACAGGGCAGTGATTCTGGGAGACAGGGGCCTGTTTGCTGGAGAGCTGGAGAGTAAGAAATATGCCTCTGAAACTGGCCACCCCTGGGGAAAGGAGAAAGCCCCAAGGCCCTTAAACATGCCTTTAGGGTTGAAGATGGAAGACAGGTGAATTTGGCTAGCATGCTGGCTTCCAGTAGTAAAACAGGCACATAAAATGCTTGGCTGATCCCGAGAGTTGAGCGACAACATCGAGGAGAGGATTGGTGTTAAAAGCAAACTCTGAAATGTGCCAGTTTTCCTTAAGAAATGCATTGTGGAGACTGATGAAGTTCTTACTGAGGTGTGTTTCCATGGTTGATTCTGATTGGTAGCTCTGGGTGTATGCCTGTAACGGTTAAAACTCCAAAGAGAAGCTGTCAAGGGAAGTGTAGCTAAATGGAGGGTGTCGGCTTCGCCTCAGGGGCTGTGGGACTTGTATGAATAAGGGACCAGAGGCCATCTGAGGAATTCGCTGATTTTCCTCGCTTCCTTCTTTGGGCTTTCCACTGATTTTCTGGAAAGAAAGGTTGGGAAAAAAATGTGTGTGTGTGTGTGTGTGCGCGCGTGTGTGTGTGTGTGTGTGCGCGCGCGCGCGTGTGTGTGTGTGTGTGTGTGTGTATGTGTATGTGAATAAAAGACAGCTCTAACACTAACACAGCTGTCCTGTTGTGGAAAGATGTTCAACTTGGAACCCACAGACCTGGCTTGGAATCTGAATTCGGCCATAGTGTAAAGACCAGAGAGAGGTCATTTCCCAACTCCTGACCTCAGTTTCCCCACCTGCAGAAGAGATGTCTCACAATAACTACCTGACAGGCTGACTTTTAAGGTCCAGCTGAGATCCCGCGGGCTGCAGCTGCCAGGCACAGTGTGGCCGGCACTTAGTAGGAACGGAATCCACGCTCTTGGACGAAGCCTGATCGAGCCTCCGCTCTCTGCCCTAAGAAGCTGTTTAGCACAAGAGTTCAAATTTACAGGAAACAAAGCACCTTTCCAGTTAATTCTGTTTGTTTTTTTTTCTTTTTTTAATATAAATGCAAATTAAGATGCTCCTAGGCCTAGAACAAAACCCGGCCCCAAGCCTCGCCCTCCAAGGATTTGTCTCCTATTGGGCAGTGATATTAATGAGTCAGGTTAATCTTCATTGGCGTTTTGATTTTTAATCTAACCTTGAGCTATTTCTTGAGCATGCTTTAACTTTTTGCCCAAATCTCCAAGGCTGGGACAGGAGCCGCTGGTGCTGGGCGGCCACGAATGAAGGCTTCTTCTCAGATGCAGCTATTAGCTTGCCCTGTGAAATGGATTTTTAAAACGTATGTAATTACCACTTTGCGTTGAATCTGTGGCCGAGCCTTCCTAAAAGGCTTTGGAGGGATATTACCCTGAGTCTCACCCCAGCTCTCTGGGGATCCCGGGGCACAGTGACCATTGTCATAACCAGGGAAGAACGGGAGTCCAGCTGGGCCCCGCAAAGGGCAAATTCAGTTACATCATTTATCAGGCTCTGTTTCCATTCCTCCCCATTTGCTTCCTTTGATGTCTGTGCCACTTGTAGCTATTTCTGCGGAGATTATGTTTAGTTCTAAACTTGTGAAGTGCTAGACCTTTGCATGGGAGACCCTCGTAGGTACCCTGTAGTTTCCTTTTGATTAGGGGTTCAGTCTGAGTTTCCCCCCAACCCCCGCCCCACCACCTGTTGGTGGAAGTGGTGAAAGTCAGGAGTGCTGGGCCAGGGTCTGGACAGGGGTGGAGGAGTTTTATTTGGATTTGGCCTGCTTGGGGCCAAATGGTGTGTAAGGGACCCCTGGAACACACATGTGACCTTCCTTCAGCAGGCGCTTTAGCCTCTCCCCACGATCCAACAGAGTTAGAGTCTCCATGACACTTCTTTCTCCAATCTAACATCTGTGACCTGAGCTGTTATCACCTTCAGGATCATTAAAAAAGAAGAAACCATCAGATCTTAGAAATCAGATCTCATCTGCAGAGTGTAGAGGACAATTTGAAATCGGGCTTAGGTAGGGAAGGAGAGGTGGGTTTTTCCTTTTCTTGCTACAGTTTGCAGGAGCGGAAGCCGTACATCAGGGGCAGTATTTCCCCAGAACCTCGGGGCCCAGCTGAAGCTAGGAGTGGTTGCTGTGGGGATTGAGCTGACTGGCTGGGGGCAGGGTACACTCTGAGAAACAGCTTTGGGGTCCCTGGAGGTGCCTTGCTCCCAGGCCTGTACCTGCTGGAAAACAGAGTGCCTTGAGATAGCTTCCTTTTCTCATTCATAAACGGCACCTTAAACAGACTTTTCGTGAAACAGACAGCATTTTCCATTTTTTTTCCTGGCACTCTTGGTGCAGTTTTTGGTACGTGGTTCACACTCTGGGCGAGCACCTGGCCCTGCCAGGTCTGTGCTGCTCCAAGGCTCTGAGGCTCTGGGGACAGTCTAGATGACAAGATAAGGCCTGGCCTTGAGTGAGGAGGAGGGAGCTGGAAACCCAAACAGTTGGTTGCAGTCCAGGGTGCAGTCTAGGGGCAGCTAAGCCCAGTGGCTGCTTCAACCCCTTCCCTGCCACCCTGCTTAGCACATGCAGGGGGTATGTTCCTTGGTTGGCTCTTTTAACCTGTCTTACAGGGGCTTGTCCTCCAAGAAGTCTTCCCAGCCTTTCCTCTCACTGCCTGCCTCAGTCCCAGCCTTTTTCTTTAATAAATACTATGTTTTCTGCTCCAGGCCCTACCTGTGTGTGTTTTCCCGTGCACCTGCAGGGCCAGCACAATTCCTGGGCCAGAGTGGGCCTCTTGGAAGGGCTGCAGAATACAGCACCAAGCAGACCCCACAGGCTGGTGCCAGAGGAGCACGGAGCCTCCACACGCATGCACTCACCTCCCCCACTTTACAGATGAGGAACCTGACGCAGATAAGGCCACACACACCAAGGCAGAGGGCCTTGAACTCTGTCATGCAGTTGGGATCTCCTTACTGAAGGCTCCAACTGTGGTGTTTTCCCTGGGACCAGGGCTGGGCTCCTGGAGTAGTCCATCGCGTTTTTCCTTCTCCCTTTAGCTCCACCCTTCAGTAGAACTGCCCAGCAGACCCAGATGAAGGGCCTACTAGGGCGCCATGGGGTGGGCCCAGAGGAGTGGGGCCTCCTTGGTAATGTCCAGCAGGGTAGCTGGCCATGCTGGGGAGCCAGGAGATGCCTGTGGGCAGCTCCTCTTCCCCACACCCTTCTCGGACCTGGGCTCGCTCTGCTCTGGGCCCTCTAGGAAGCACTGCCTCTTTGTAGATGTCATGGACACAGCCAAGAAATGGGGCAGAAGTGGGGTTTCTTCTGATTCTGGGGTACATCAAAGAGACACCTCGGAATGCGGAGACACCCAGCATGGTGCTCTGAGGAGGGGTGGGAATCAGGTGAGACCCAGGAGTTGGAGATACCCATTGCCCTCACCTACTCTTTCCTGGGTCACTTTCATCAGTGGAGTCTAATGAGGTCAGAGCAGTAGGTGAAACAGGCCCCAGTATACACCTCTTCCTCCATGCAGCGGTTATTCACACCTCCATCTCTCCATTCACAATGTACTCACTTAGTCCTCCATGCACCTGCTTATTCACACATCCATCCACCCACCCACCCAGCTATCCACCGTGCATCTGCCACCCATCAATCCACCCATCTACACATCCATCCATCTGTCTATCCCCATCCATCCTCCCATCCACCCACTTATCCATCCATCCATCCATCCATCCATCCATCCATCCATCCAACCATCCACTCACCCATTCACCATTCATCCACCCACCATCTATCCATCCACCCACCCATCCACCACTCATCTACCTATCCATCCATCCACCATTCACCCATCTACCCACCTACCCACTCACCCATCCATACACCCATCTACCCACTCATCCACCCATCCACCATCCATCTGTCCACCCACCCATCTACCCATACATTCATTCACCATTCATCCACTATTTATCCATCCACCTACCCAACCATCCACCATCCATCTGTTCACCCACCCGTCCACCCGTCCATCAATCCATTCATTCACCATGCATCCCTTCACCCATCTACCCATCCACCATCCATCCGTCCACCCATCCACCCATTCATCCACCTACCCACCCACCCATCCATCCATCTATTCATCCACCCACCCACTCCTTCATCCATCTATCCATCCACCCACTCACCCATCCATCTATTCATCCACCCATCCATCCACCTACCCATCTACCTACCCACCCACCCACTCATCCATCTATCCATCCACCCATCCACCCACCAACCCACTTACCCATTTATATCCATTTACCCACTCATCCATCCATCCATCCATCCATCCATCCATCCATCCACCCACTCATCTATTCACCCACCCACTCATCCATCCATCCATCCATCCATTTATCCACCCATCCATCCTTCTGTGTACTCCCTCCCTTCTTCCCTCCCTCCTTCCCTCCCTCCTCTGTGTACTCAGTGGGTCCTCAACTCACTTGCTTATTGGACGGATTTCTGCCTCTGCCTTTCCATGTGCTGGGTGGGAGCCCTGTGCTGGTGGGAGGCACACGGTGGTGAGCAGGCACAGTACCCTCATTAGAGCCTCAGTGTTAATGCCTCAATGGCCTCCATGAAGGATCTCCAAGATGTTCTAGACCCATCTCCTTCCTGCAAATGGTGAGCCAATCCCAATCACTTCTGATTTTTAAGCATTTTTATTTAAGTATAACGTTCTTATAGAAAAGTGTACATTTCACAAATGTATTGCTCAGTGAATTCTCATAAGGAAATCATGTCCATGTAACCAGCACTCTTAACAAGAGACAGAACATTACTAGCACCCCAGAACCCCCGAAGCTAGTCATCTCTTGAATGCCTCCAGTGGTAAAGAGCTCATTATGTAACACATAATGAAGTGGTAGTGGATGTGTTTAGACGAATGTTGAGATTATCTCTTGTGGGGTTCTGATCTGGTGAGGAGTGGTGTGTGCATGGGGGTTGGGATGGCTTCTCTTCAAGGGGCTGCTTGTCTCTATAGTAGTCACCTGAGGAGGACCCAGCAGATGTACATTTAGAAACTGGAACGTGGGGGGCTTAGACCTGGAAGATGAGAGGGATTTCAGCTCACAGATGCGAAGTTGAGCCTGGAGTGGGGACAGTATGCTACAGTGGCCCAGGGAGCTGGCCCCAGAGGGTTGGCCCCTCTGACTCAGACTGTAGCAAGCAGCTCTGGGCTGTGTATACACCAGCCTCCTAGAGGATGAGGGAAACATGGAGAAAGAGATGCAATGCTTGTTCTCAGTAGAGCCCCAGGAACTAGGAGGCAACCAGCCCAGGTAGGCTGGCTGATAAAGGAAAGGCAGTGGGCATTCTTGAGAGAGTCCCATGGGCAGAGAAATTCTGGGGCCTGAGAATTGGAGGAGGGTCCTTCCCACCTCCAGGTGGAGCACCCTGCTATGGCCAGCCTGAAGGAGCCTGGAGTCTGAGGTCCCTTTCCTCAAGGGATTTTTGTTTTGAGGGTCTCTTTTCCTGCCCATCCCCACCTGGGGACCTCCACCTGTAGAAAGCTCTCCCTTTTTAGGTCAGTGCACTCACCGTGTAGCTTATGATCCTCCAAAGGGAGGGCTGAGTGGAGCTTGGCCTCCCTCCTGTTCTGTAACAGCCTGTAGGGATTTGGGGATAGCCCTGGGCTCCTGAGTTTCTCCCAATAATGCCCTTTGTAGCCAGTTCCTCTCCTCTGAGAAATTTTAGCCTGTATGTGCTTTCCCAGTCCAGTCTGAGCATTCAGGGAGAGCTGACCATCACCTCCCCTTGTCTACACAATATACTTCTGTTAATGTCCTCAGTTGGTGCACTAGCTTTTCTGGGTAGCCCCTTCCTGCATTAACTTGTTTTGAGCACATGTACTTCCATTTTGTGCTACTAAGCAAAAGTGTCCCTGTCTTGCATTGGTATGGTCCCAAATACAAACCCTGGCATTGATACCTGAGCACAAAGTAGAATTATGTGCTAGGGACCAAGAAAGGAAGGGGTGGTTGATGGAAAAATTCATGGCAGGGAAGATGAGAAAATTCAGGTGCATCTGTGAGTGTGTTGGCCTGGCTTGTCGGGACACTGTGGGCAGATGTCAGCCACTGGGCCTGAAAGTCCCTCCAGCTCACAGTTTGCTGGCCTCAGCCCAACCATGCCCTTGCCTGGGGTCTTGGGGTCAACCAGCCCTGAGTGATGGAAGAGCCTGGCCAGGGAGTGGCTGCTCGAAGGTGGTGCTAGGTGAGTGGGGTGGACCTGCCCTGAGCCATCCTCATCCTTATCAGAACTTGAGCCCTGGGAGGAACCAGTAGGTGGCAATGGGGTGGAGGGAGGGGGCTGGAGTAGAGGAGGGTGGGCTGAAGTTTGGGGTGGCAGGTGATGGGTGGAATGTTGGTGTGACAAGAGGGATGCTGGGCCAGGCATCTGGAGAGTGGGGGGCAGGTCCCTACCCTACGCATGGCCAGCCATCCAATGAATGGGCCATGATGCCACCTGTCACCTGGGCAGGATTTCAGGGGCTCCTCCGTGGCCTCTCTTATGAAGGCACACAGCTGGGAAGCAGGCAGACCTGGGATGCCAGTGCCCTGCAGGGCGGCTCACGTCTGGCTCATGCCCCATCCCAGAGGCCCAATCCCAGGCACACCCCTTAAGCCTGGGCTCCCTCATCTATGAAACGGAGACTTAGAGCTCAGAATTTGTGTCCTTGTAAGGATGGGAGGAAATGTGTGTGAAAGGTTTCCTCGCCTCCTCCACCCAGGAGGCAGCTGGTGAGTGGCAGCTTTGTTGTGATGGTGGTCATTTGGGCGTGCTCATTAGGGGACAGTCACCTGGGTCTGGTTGTGCTCTGTCCACTCTTGGCAAATTCACTTTCAGCTTCCCCTTGCCACTTCCCCACCACCCCCTTTCTGCTGCCGCCGAACCCCTGATCTAATCTCATGGCCCCAATCTTAGCAAGGGGGCACCTGAGGCCGCCCTGACTGAGAAATGCTCCTCAGAGATGGAAAAGCTCCTACCATCCAATGGATGGGGGTTGGGATGGTGTCAAGCCGGGGGCTTTGGGGGCCACAGGCTGCATTCAAGGTGTCTCTGTGTTGGATTGCTATGGACTGGAATACAAGCCCTGGCTCATTCAAGGAGTAAGATTTCCCCAACTCAGTTCTGTTGGGATACTATGGCTTCCTGGGACACCACCTTCCACTCCACCACTGCAGTGACCTTTAAAAGCCCATGGCTGCCATCTTCGCCCTGCCCCAGACCCCAGCAGCTCCCCATCCCCTGCAGAATCAGACCCAGGTCCTCAGCTTGCAGCCCTTTTCATCCTCCAGCCCCGCTCAGGCCCTGTTCCCACACCTTCTGCCCTGAGTCCGGCTCTGCCTTCCTCTTTTCCCCAATTGTCCTTTATCCTCTTGAGCAAAGGACTTGTTTCTTTGCTCCCCAGCCCACTGTGCTACTCAGTTTTCTGAGTAGACATCAGTATTCCCTAGGGGCTGCTGGTCTCAGGCTCCCTTGCACCTGGCCAGGCCCATAGCAGGTGCTCAGGGAAGGCTGGCTGGACACTGGCTGGTACTCCTGGCTCCCCGAGAGCAGGAGCAGCTGAGAGCTGAGCAGTTTGGGGTGACATCTTTCTGCTTGGTTGTGCCTTGGGACCACTGGGTAGGTGCAGGACAGGCTGCAGCCTTTTGAACTCAAGCTGTTGCTTTTAATGGAAGACAACAGGTTAGGGATCTGTCCTGCTGAGTGGGGAGCTTCTCACTCCTGAGGCTTAGATGTGTGATCTTGGTCCCCAAGGCCAGCTGCTGGCGCCAGGCCTCTGTGAGTCTGCAGGGCATCTGGCAGGAAGAGATGCCTACTTGTGAAATGGACTTTGGCTGTCACTGGCCCTGTCAGACATGTGAGGTGCAGCCCACTCAGGAAGGTGAGAGGCCTTTACCTGCAGCTGACAGGCACGCAGCGCACATGTGGTGTTTGTCAGAGGTGTGGAAGGTGGGCATACATCTGGGATGAGCTTGTCAGGTGGGGCTGGGGTGAAAACTCAGGTGAGGTTGGGGTGAATCTCTCAGGTGGGCCTGAGGTGAGCCTCTCAGGTGAGCAGGGTGAGCTGCTCAGGTGGGCAGGGTGAGCTGGGTGGTATTGAGAACTGTGGGGTGGACACTTGGTTCCCACATTTGAAGCAGAAGCTCTAGGCAGCATTTTGTGTCAGGGCAGCTTGGGTGCATGGTCCCATGTGGTCTGGAAACAGGCAGTGCCAGGCCACTCATGGGTGCCAGGGCATGGGCATTCAGTTGGACGTGGGGGGGAGCTGATTGCCACTGATGCCAGGTGGACCTAGGCTGAGCTTATCCGGGCTGCAGGGAAGGGCCCAGCCCAGGGATGCCACGGGGTGTGGGAGAACGTTCCCCAGTGAGTCTGGTCATGATGAGAGGCTCTCCCTGTGCGGTTTCCCAGAGAGAACTTCTTTGACAGCACCCAAGTGCTGAGGAGCTCTGGCAGTTGGGGAAATTGGTCTGGTGTCTGTCTGGGACAATGTTCAGGCCATAGGTATTCAAACACTAGTGAGGGGGAAGCCAGTGTGTGTTGAATCCCCAAATAGCTCTCATACTATGGGAAAGGGAAAGTTGGCAAGCAACGGCAGAGTGTTTCGTGAAAGGGAGGAAATTCCCTACGACTCTCCTGAGACCCCATGATCACATCCAAGAATGGCTTCAGCATTCCATGTTCACCTTCTTGTCATTGCCCAAATGTGCTTGCTGACTTTATCATTTCATCAGAGTGGATTATTTAGGGATCGTGTTCAGGAGCCTCTAGCAGAAAAGCCAGGTAACAAGGACTTGAGCAAACAGCCGTTTTGTCTTTCTTGGTTGCGAAGCGTGGGGCAGGCAGACGGGCTGACAGGTGGCTCCACAATGCCTTGAGAGAGCAGGTTCTTTCCAGCTTTCTGCTCAGTCATCTTAGCTTGGCATTTGTCCTCTGGCTGGTGTCTCATGGTTCCATGGTGGCTGCTCCACCTCCAACATCCTCTCCAGCATCCCTCCCAGCAGGAAGAAGAGGAAGAACACAAGTCAAAGGCGTGTGCCAGCTGAGCCTGCTTCTTTCTAAAGAACCTTCCTGGATGACCCGCCCAACAGCTTCTACTTATATCTCATCAGCCAGGACTATGTCTTATGACCAACTCTAGCTGCAAGGGAACCTGGAAAATGGGGCATGCTGCTTCTCAAAGCAAGCTGGGGTGTGGCTGGTGAGGAGTGGGTGGAGTCAGGTATTGGGAGGTGCCCACGGGGTCTGTGGTGATATGCATAGCATTTCAGAGCCCCTTTTCTCTTTAAGTTTACATCACACATTACCTTGAGTTTCCACAGACTGAAGGGAAATGATTTTAATGGCTATATATCCACTGAATGAATGGACACTTAATTATTGAACCATGCCTCTATTTATAATGATTTAATGTATTTTTTCTTTCTTTAGGCTAACTATAGATAATGGTTTGTTGGACATCTCTGTGTGTGTGGATTCTGTGAGATCCTCCTTTAAGGGTTTGCTGGCTGTAGTGGGATCAGCAGGTCAGGGGGCACAGCACTCAGTTGTGTTACTATGTTGTTCCCATCAACAACTGTACAAGCAGGGGTGGGTCTTCTGGCTTCACTGCAACTTCAGCAGCCCTCGGCAATGTTGAAAAAGTTTTTGATGTTCTTACTATTTCAGGATGTTTTCCTAGTGGTCTTCAGGTGGCCTTGGAAAGGCAGCTGGGACAAGCTCATGTGGAGTTGGAAAGCTGGTATCCACGGTGAAATCCTTGCTCACCCCAGACACAGCCAGTGCAGGGGGATCTGCAGGACACTTGTGGACGCATGAAATGAGGAGGGGGAGGGGAAGGGAGCCTGTAGACCCATTTCAGCTCCAGGGATGGGGACAGTTTGCCTTGTCAGTCTGACCCAGCCGACTGGCTCTGGTCACTGGAGCATTGTACCACGAAGCAGTCTCAGTGGGGAAGGGTGCCGTGTGTGATTGATTAGTCATGTCTGACATGGGTGTGGGTCAGGCAGTGGTAGCATGCTTGCCACATAAGCCCACCCTGGGCTGGTGGAAGACAGAATTTCAGAGGTAGATGCCTTTTCATCAGTGTGCCAGGAATGATGTCACTATGGATAATTGCTTGACCTGGGTGCAATCTAGTTTACAAGACAGGTTCCCATCCACAACCATCTTTCATCCATTAACAAGACTATGAAATAGGGCCAATGGTTACCTGGTTATGCTGATGAGGCTCTGAGAGATCTGGTGACTTGCCCAAGGTCATGAAGTGGAGCTTAGGACTTGAACCCAAATCTCTCCTCAAGCTTGATGTGGTCTCCATTACACCCACAGCCTGTCCAGGGTGCAGTCCCAGACACTGTCCCTCTGCCTGGAATTAAGAGCTTGGATACAGGAAGGATTAGCCTCAGTGATTATCACCTGACAATATCAAGAGAACTCAGAAGCATCTGGTCCCACCCTCTCAGGATGGCAGCATCACTGAACCTTCCAGTGACAGGGAGTTAACTGCCTCACTCATAGAGAAAGGTAGAAATAGCATCAGTTTTAAAATAAAAGGCCAAAATGACCCTCATTGGTTTGTCTTAGTTCTCCTGACCAGAGCTCCCCAGGATAAGTGTGACCTCAATTCTCTTACCACAACCAAAGAGCTATTGTTTATGGCATGCCCATGGGATTCTGTTTTTTTACAGTCACTATCTCAATTAATTCCATCCTCTCGACAATCCTATGAGATAGATATTTTCATGTATCCCCGTTTTACAGATGAGGATCTAGAAGATCAGAGAGACTAAGCAACTTGCCCAGGGTCATGTAGCTAATAAGTGGCAGAAAGGAGTTATGCCCGGGAAGTCTGACTTCAGAGTCTGTGCTAACTATGTTGTTACATACAGTGTCTTTTCACCTTTATCAGTTAGCTAGTGATGTGTATGTAACAAATCATCCACAAACACAGAGGCTGAAAACAACCACCATCTATTACTGTTCACAGTCTGAGGCTCAGCTGGGCAGCTTTTACCCATTACTGGTCTGCAGGCTGATGGGGGAAGCTCTGCTTCAAGTCATTGCATGTTTTTCGCTCAATGATGGCAAAGGTGGCCGGGCGTGGTGGCTCACACCTGTAATCCCAGCACTTTGGGAGCTGAGACGGGCAGATCACGAGGTCAGGAGATCGAGACCATCCTGGCTAACATGGTGAAACCCCATCTCTATTAAAAATACAAAAAATTAGCCAGGCATGGTGGCGGGCGCCTGTAGTCCCAGCTATTCGGGAGGCTGAGGCAGGAGAATGGCGTGAACCTGGGAGGCAGAGCTTGCAGTGAGTCGAGATCACGCCACTGCGCTCCAGCTTGGGCAGCAGAGTGAGACTCCGTCTCAAAAAAAAAAAAAAAAATGATGGCAAAGGCACAGGAGAGCAGCAAATGCAAGTGACGACTCTTTTGCCATGACACTGCCATGATGCTGTCACTTCTCCCACATACCATTGGCCAAAGCAAGTCATGTGACCAAGGCCAAAGTCAAAAGGTGGGAAATACATCCTGCCCACAATGAGCCCAAAGCAATGGTACAGCATCTCAGCCTGCCATCTGACCATGCCTCTTGCCAAGTCCCTCCTGCCACCTACTCCTCACCATGATTTCCTTCCTGGTATAGTGGAGAGCATAGCTTTGGTTTCCAAGTGGGTTCAAATCCTGCCCATTGCATAGCTCTCAGATGATTTGCTGTTTTCTCATCTGTAAAACAGATAGTCCACAGTCTACCTTTGGATTCGTTTCAGTTTGCTGGGGCTGCCATTACAGAGTAAGACAGGGTGACTTAAGCAGCAGAAAATACTTTTTTTCTCACAGTTCTTCATGCCTGAAGTCCAAGATCAAGGTGTCAGCAGGTTGATTTCTTCGGAAGCCTTTCTTTTTGGCTTGTGGATGATCATCTCCCTGGGTCTTCATACAGCCATCCCTCTGTGCATGTCTGTGGTCCTAATCTCCTCTCCTTATAAGGACACCAGTTAGATTGGATTAGGGCTCACACGAGGGGCCTCATTTTACCTTATTTTTTTCCAAAAACAGTTACATCCAGAGGTCCTGGGGGTTAGGATATCAACATATGAATTTGGGGTGAGGGGACATGATTCAGCCCACAGTAACCTGCTAGGACTGCTGTGAGGATTAAGCGAGATCAGGGAGATGAAAGCACCTAGTTCTGGGCCCATCACATAGAAGTCACTCAGCTCATGTTGCTTTTCTGCCATATCAAATGTATGAATCTGAGTTTATCTTACTATGGTCAAGAAGACTTTGTTGTCCAAACATGTTAATTAATCTATTGTTACCTATCAAAATCTGACCATCTGCTAGGCTGGAAGCCTGCCATGGTCAAGTGGACCCAACCCAGGATCGGTCATTGATATGGTTTGGCTCTGTGTCCCCACCCAAATTTCATCTCAAGTTGTAATCCCCACGTGTTGAGGGAGAGACCTGTAATCCCCATGTGTCAAGGGAGGGAAGTGATCGGATCATGTGGGCAGTCCCATGCTGTTCTTGTGATAGTGAATGAATTCTCTCTAGAGCTGATGGTTTTAAAGTGTGGCACTTCCTCGTTCTTGCACTCACTCTTTTCTGCCACCTTGTGAAGAAGTTGCCTGCTTCCCTTTCCACCACGATTGTAAGTTTTCTGAGGCCTCTCCAGCCATGTGGGAACTGTGAGTAAATTTAACCTGTTTTCTTTAAATTACCCTGTCTCGGGTATTTCTTTATAGCAGTGTGAGAACGGATTAAGACAGTCATGAAGGGACCTGAGCTCAACCCCTCATCTACCTTTTATTAGCTGGGGTACAGCAAGTAAACCATTATTTTGCTCTCATCATCAGCATCCTTATTTGTAGGGTATGGGTGATCCTATCTCCTTTAGCATGTTTTGAGTTATACAAAGTCTACTGTGCTTTTAAACTTTTTCTTAATTGGATTTAAAAACTGGTAACATGTAAAACCTCTGTAATTTAAACACACACACACACATTAATGTTAGGTATTTGGTGTGATTATTATTATGACTATATATAATGAATGAGTACTTATCTTTAAGAGATAATGATGCATGTATAAATGAAATTATTATTATGACTATATATAATAAATGAACACTTATCTTTAAGAGGTAATGATGCATGTGTAAATGAAATGTCTGGGATTTTCTTTAAAATAACCTGAATCACATGGAGAAGTGGATGGGGGTTTAGATAAAACAAGATTGGCCTTGAGTTGTTAATTGCTGAAGCTTGAGTATTCATATCTGGGGGTTAATTATATTTTTCTCTACCTTGGTATGTGTGTCTATATATATATGTATACATATGAATATATATGTATACATATGTATACATATGAATATATATGTATACATATGTATACATATGAATATATATGTATACATATGTATACATATGAATATATATGTATACATATATATGAATATATGTATACATATATATGAATATATGTGTATACATATATATGAATATATGTGTATACATATATATGTATATATGTGTATATATGTATACATATATATGAATATATGAATATATATGTGTATACATATATATGAATATATATGTATACACATATATGAATATATATGTATACACATATATATTCATATATATGTATACACATATATATGTATACATATATATATATGTATGAAAATCTACATAGTGAAAACTTAAGAAAAACCAAACAAAATGTAGCATAGAAGTAGAAGCCTCCTGTCATGGTCCAGCCCCTTAGCCCCATGTCTAAGAGGTGACAGCTAGCAGCAGGTTGTTGCATAGAAGAGGATGAAATGTTTGGCTCTGTTGCAGGCTCTGGCATGCACATGTGTTTTCTTTGGCTCTTACATTCTTTGAAAATATTTGGAATTAGTTGTCAACATTTATTAATCTTTTAAAAGAACCATCTCTTGGTGTTCTTATAGGAGGTTATCAATTTTATTGATTTTTTGCTTTTATTGTTATTAAACACTTACTTTGCATTCTTTAGGTTTATTTATTTTTTTCCTCCCTTCATGCACTGACAGTTACTAGGCTTTCTCTTTTTACAAATAAATTCACTAAAGGCTATATGTTTTCCTCTGTGTGCCCCTTTGGCTGCATCCCATAGGTGTCTCATTATCATTTGTTTGTAAATAATTTGCAAGTGAGTTTATTTTTTTCTTTAATCCAAGGGTTATTTGAAGCGTGTGTTTTAAAGTTATACACAAAACACACATGCATATACACACACTTTTGTCAGCAAAATGATTAGGTAGGAGAATGAGTTTTGGAGCCAGACTGCTTGTGTGTTATTCTGTCTTGGTCATTTACTAATTGTAATGTAATTACATGGACATGCATTTCAGCTTCTCTGTGCCTTGGCTTTTGCAATCTATGAAATGAGGATGATAACAACAACAATAATCGACCTCAAGGTTGTTGAGAAGATTAAGTTAGTTCTTGCATTTTGCACATTTAAAATTGCTAATGTGCATTTTTTCATATGTCTGTTGGCTGCATAAATGTCTTCTTTCGAGAAGTGTCTGTTCATATCCTTTGCCCACTTTTTGATGGGTTTGTTTGTTTTTTTCTTGTAAATTTGTTTAAGTTCTTTGTAGATTCTGGATATTAGCCCTTTGTCAGATGGATAGATTGCAAAAATTTTCTCCCATTCTGTAGGTTGCCTGTTCGATCTGATGATAGTTTCTTTTACTGTGCAGAAGCTCTTTAGTTTAGTTAGATGCCATTTGTCTATTCTGGCTTTTGTTTTCATTGCTTTTGGTGTTTTAGTCATGAAATCTTTGCCCATGACTATGTCCTGAATGGTATTGCCTAGGTTTTCTTCTAGGGTTTTTATGGTGTTAGGTCTTACATTTAAGTCTTTAATCCATCTTGAGTTAATTTTTGTATAAGGTGTAAGGAAGGGATCCAGTTTCAGCTTTCTACATATGGCTAGCCAGTTTTCTCATCAATACTGGTCATCAGAGAAATGCAAATCAAAACCATGATGAGATACCATCTCACACCAGTTAGAATGGTGATCATTAAAAAGTCAGGAAACAACAGATGCTGGAGAGGATGTGGAGAAATAGGAACACTTTCATACTGTTGGTGGGAGTGTAAATTAGTTCAACCATTGTAGAAGACAGTATGGCGATCCCTCAAGGATCTAGAACTAGAAATACCATTTGACCCAGCAATGCCATTACTGGGTATATACCCAAAGGGTTATAAATCATGCTACTGTAAAGACATATGCACATGTATGTTTATTGTGGCACTATTCACAATAGCAAAGACTTGGAACCAACCCAAATGTCCATCAATAATAGAATAAATAACGAAAATGTAGCACATATACACCATGGAATACTATGCAGCCATAAAAAACTATGAGTTCGTGTCCTTTGCAGGGACATGGATGAAGATGGAAACCATCATTCTCAGCAAACTATCACAAGGACAGAAAACCAAACATCGCATGTTCTCACTCATAGGTGGGAGTTGAACAATGAGAACACATGGACACAGGGAAGGGAACATTACACACTGGGGCCTGTTGAGGCATTGGGGGCTGTGGGAGAGATAGCGTTAGGAGAAATACCTAATGTAAACGACGAGTTGATGGGTGCAGCAAACCAACATGGCACATGTATACCTATGTAACAAACCTGCACGTTGCGCACATGTACCCTAGAACTTAAAGTATAATAATAAAAAATAAAAATAAATAAATAAAAATAAAATAGCTAATGTGTTTCAAGTGTTCACTATCTGTAAGGCATACTTATAATGCATAATTTCTGTATTTTAAAATTTACAGGACTTTTTCTTTGTAGTGCAATGATTAATTTTTGTTGAGTTCCATGAACATTTGAAAAGAACATTTATTTCTTTTTTTGTGTATAAAGTTCTACACAAACCTATTAAATCAAACTTATTTGTTATGTTACTCAAATCCTTTTCAAAGTCTGAAAACTGGTGATTCCTGGCTCAATCAGCTTGCACACATGTTGGGTTTAGCACATGTAGTGTTTAAATTATCATTATTTTATTAACTTTTATGCCTTAAATGGATCATGTGCTCTGTCTAGTTCACCATAGTTCTTAGCATCATCATTTCAGGTCATCTCACTCATTTGCTTCAGCTGCCTCACTCTATAGGCATTTTGATGTGTGTCTCTTGCTTTATAATCTGACTATAATTATTATCAGGTCTACTTAATTTCTGAGGGAGATCCCTTAGTGTCTCTACCAGTGCTTGGTCACTGTAGCTTGTCAGTTTCTCCTTGTATTTCTGACAATTTTAGTTTTATGTTTTTTGAAGCTATGTGGTTGGATGCATAAAGGTTTATGTTTGTTGTTAT
Organism: Homo sapiens; assembly: GCF_000001405.40. NCBI lineage: Eukaryota > Metazoa > Chordata > Mammalia > Primates > Hominidae > Homo > Homo sapiens. The sequence continues at coordinate 139,684,640 of NC_000008.11, read as the reverse complement.
TTCTTCTTGGCAGAGATAAGCTTGCCTATGTAAAACAAGCTTTTTAAAATTCTGTTTGATCCTTTTGCCTTCTTTTTCCCCTGATCTTATTGCTGTACCTGCTTTTTTAAAATTAGCATTTGTTATGTATATGTTCATATTTTTAGCTTATTTTCACCCTTTTTCTTCTAGGAAAGTTTTTGACATGCCTTATAACAAAAGACATAAAAATAAGGTATAAAGTTAGTCACAAAATATGGGTGTATACTGACCTTCATATTGGCTGTGATACAGGTTCACATTTACTTGTGGCTTCCAAGGAGAAAAGACAGAAAGAAAATAAGTCAAATGTTATAACTGCTATCAGAAATGTATGGTGCTAAATTGCACAAAAGAATGTACTCTCATGCCTTCACTGAGGGTTCACCAAGTAATGTTGTGTTAGTGTGAGGAACACCAAAGAGGACTACAATGAAATGTGGCTGACTTGGAAACAACCAGGGCCATGGAGTTCTCAGGGCATGTCTGGGTGGGATGTCCAGTGAGTGATGGTGTGGTCTCTGGGGACACTGTCCAGGACCACCTGGGACCTGGGCTTCTTTGACTTTTTGGCTTTGTCTTCCTTAGTGTATTGGCATTTGTACTTGGGTTTATCACATCTCTGTTCCAGGCAGGAAGAAGGAGGGGGCAAAGGTCAGAAGGGTTATGCCAGTTGAGATTGTCCTTCTAACAAACTTTCCAGGAAGCCCCACTCAGCAATTTCCACCTGTGCCCCATAGGCCAAGGGTGGGCCACATGGCCACACTTAGACCCATCATTGGCAGATGACTGGGAGAAGGAGGTGTGGCTCCATTTCCCATATCATGCCTGCCTTAATACTTAGGGGACATCCAGTCTGGTCTCCTGGAAAGTAATGGACCTTCTGGTGGCCTGTTCAGTGGCCCTTCACACTCTGCTCACATACCTCCTGTGACAGGGACAGCCCTCTGAGCCCTCAGCTGTGTTCAGCTACCACGTGTCCTGGATGTGACCTGGTAACCCGTGGTCAACTCCAACCCCTCGGGCAGACCTGGCTTCCCCGTCTGGGCTTTAGTCTCCCCATGCGTGAGTAAGCCCATGGACAAGGTTGGCTTTGAAGTCTAGTGGCTGGTGATGGAAACTCTCAGACCTGCTGCTGAAGGCAGAGGCCACCAGCTGCTTCATTTGGCATCTGGGGATGTCCCAAGAGTCCCCTATAAAAGAATCAGAAGAGGAGGAGATGGAGCTGAAATGGGGAATGCTTTTGGCAGGAGAGCACCTCAGAGTGAGAACAGCAGAGGGGAGGAGGGAGGGAGAAGGAGGAAGCTGCCAGCAGGGGTGGGGCGGGTGCTCTTCTCTCTGGCTGCTTCCTTCTCTGCCTGGCTTCCAGGGCACCTGCTCTTCACCCTCGTCTGGCAGGGGAGAAATCTGGAGCTGGTGGGTCATTGCTCTTATCTCCTTGAGCCTTTCGTTCTGGGACCAGAATCTTCCCGTACAGGCAGGGTGTCAGTGCTGTGACCCTTTTCCTTCTTCCTATCAGGTGGACATTTGCTGTAAGCTGGGATCTTGCTTTTTAAAATTTAGAAGGGAATTGTAGATGCCCTCTTCCCTGGCCCCTACTGCCTCTGGTTGAAGTGCCTTACCACCCCAGTCCCAGGAGGCCTGGACATTGGAAATGCTCTGGTTTTTTTCCTTTGAGTTTTGTTTTCCAGCTCAGTCTAGATCCATTCTGGGCACACAGAGGAGCCCTCTCTAATTTTTGGCTTCCTCTGGGGATGACCTAAGCATTTGTTTTTAAAGGGCGGGTGTGGGGGGGTCACCAGGCATTATGCAACACTGCACTACGGCAACGTCACCTACTCGGCCTTCTCCAAGCTGCATGCATTTCTGAGATGGCCAGGGCCTGTGCTTATGTGCATCAAGCTAGCCACAGGAGATCGAGTCACTGCCCTGCTCACAAGCCATCCATGGCTCCCTGTGGCCCACAGCCTGCAATACATTGCTTACCATGGCCCTTGAAATCTAAGCTCTTGATTACCCCTCAGCCCTGTCCCTCTCTCCACCCCGTCCCTCTTTCCACCCCTGTCCCATGCAGACTGAGTCCCAGGCTAGAGTGGGGCATCCCTAGCCACTGAAGATGTCTCCTCTGTGCAGCCTTCCCAGGCAGGTGAGATGTCTCTCCTATGTGTCCCTGAAGTTCCAGGGCTCCCGCCAGTTCAGCACCTGCCACCCTGTGTCGTGCTCAGCTCTTTCCAAGCCAGTCTTTATCCCTTGCCCCCAGCACCTCTCAGCAGGGACTCTCTTCTTCATCTCCCAGGGGCTGAGGCCCCCACCCGCCTGTGTCTGGCACTAAGCAGGCCCTCCGAGAATGTTTGTTGAATGAACATAGGCATGGAAATGGGACAGCTTTCACAAGAGCTATATTTAACTGTTCTAGAATATTCTCTAGGTCTTTCAGAAAAGCAAATCCTTGAAAAACAGCAGCCCACGAATCTGAATGGCAGGTGTTTGTGAGAAGAGGTGGGTGGTCCCATTCGGAGGGCTTCTTTCGGAGCCGGGCTTCTCCCTGCACCCCTCGTGCTCCCCACTCAGCCCGAGGTGCCTGCTGAACTTGCCGTTCTTCCTCCAAATCCCAGGGTACCTGCAGGGCCTGGTCTGGTTCCCGTGGTGCCACCGGAAGCTTCCATGGGCTGGGCCACAGGAAGGTAACCCTTTGTGCCCCACCTGGGTCTGGGCCATCTTTCCTGGTGTCTCCCTGAGCTCCAGGCATGGCTGTGACTGTCCAGGCCGCATAAGATGCCGGTTGGTTAAATAGCAGTGTCCACGCACTGACGTCTTCTTTCCAAGTAGGGTGCTGAGGCCAGGTGTCCACTATAGGTTGCCTGGAGCCCCACACCATGATGTGAGATTGGCCACTGCCAGCCTCCCCAGGGAGCTGGCCCCAGAGGCCTCAGAGACTCTTGTTCCTTATGGCAGAGGGAGCAGCCAGCTTGCTGCCCGCTGTGCTGCTGTGCCACCTGCAGCCCCTCAGCACAGGGTGACCTCCTAAAGCCAGCGACCCTTGTTCCAGCTCCCAAGCACTCAGGGGCACCAGGAAGTCTGCCGGGTCAAGTTCAAAGTAAGGAGATGTGTGGACCTCACCCACCGGGCTCCGCCCTGCTCTCCCAGCTTCTCACTCCTTCCCCTGGAGCTCTGGGCATGGGGCTCTGGGCACTGGCTGCTGGTGCCTTGACATGGTCCCTGCCTCCTGTCTCACACCTTGACCCAGGTTACTCCGTCTGCCGGTGTCTTTCACGGCCACTCTGCTGTTTCTTCACTTGGTGAACTTCGGTGGGCGGTGTGCTCGGGAGAGGAGCACAGCCTGATGGTTCCCTCCCTGCCTCTTTCTCATTGTGTGACCATGAATGGACATAGCTTGGAGCCTAGTGTTTCCATATGTAAAATGGGTGGAATGATGACTGCCTTCTGGAGATTTTTGTGAGGCTTACATGGGATCACATGTGGAAGGCGCTTGGCCACATGGCACAGAATGAATGCACAGAGGGCGATATGATTAGTGTTCTCATCTGCCTGTTCTGTGCCATGCTAGATGCTGTGCTAGAGGCTGTTGGCTCCAAGGCAAAAAGAGCAGACACGAAAGCCACATGTGTGCTTGAGGAGACGGTTACAAAGCTGGAGCTCTAAGTTGTGGGAGGAGAGGGGCTGATAGGAGGCTGGGGTGAGGCTGGAGAGAGCCCCAGGCTGCTGGGCAGGACCATGGAGATTGTGAGGAGGAGTTTAGATTTTGCACCCTAGACCTTGGGATCAGAGAGAGGGGGCATGGCTCTGCAGTTCCAGAATGCGACCGCCTGGGTTCCATCCTAGTGTGGCCTTTAATAATGGGTGGCCCCAGAGAAGCTAAGCACCTTCTCTGGGCCCCGTTTCCTCTCCTGCCAAGTGGGGATCCTGAGAGTGTCAGCCTCACAGGGCTGAGTGTGCATCAGGGATTAGGAGCACGCAGGGGAAGTGCCCAACGCCATGAGCACTCACTCGGCCATGTGGGTGGTGGGTTTGCATGGGGCAGGGGCAGATCTGAGATGCTGAAGCCACAGAAGGCCACGTCAGCCTCCTCCTCTGATCTCCTCCATGGGTAAGGATCCATCTTCCTGTCCCTCCTCCAGCCCAGGACTGTGCCTGAGGTGGCCCTCCTGCTGTCCAGGATCATAGCCCCTCCGGAGGTATGTAGGACCCAGTTAGCCCCCAAGCTGCTACTTGTAGGCCCGGGATAATGGCTGTGGTTCCTGGGGAAGGTGAAGGGGCAGATCCGGGTGGGGAGGTGGAAAGTGAGCCTCCACAGCCCTGGGGAAGTTTCCTTCCTGAAGCTGGGCCCCGCCTGCCCCCTCTGCCACCCCCAGAAGACCCAGACACGGGAACTTGTGGTCCCTGTGCCTGCTGCTGCTGGCCAAGGCTGAACCTGAAGCCCGCGCTTGGCTGGCTCTGGGCAGAGGCGCTGCCAGCTGGAAGGGACGCTGCCGGCCCTTGCTGGCCTTGGGCATCACTCCTGAGTCCCCGTAGGTATGAGGTGGGAGCAGGTGGCGCAAGGGAAGAGACCTGGTCGGGGTGGGAGCCATGGTCCCCAGACCATGCACCCAGGAAGGCCCATGCCTGGTACACAGAGTACACTCACCTCACCCAGGATGCCCCATCCCTCCTGAGCGACCCAGCTGTGACATACTACAAGGTGCATATGAGAAAGGCACCCAGGCTGAGGGAAGCATGGGCTGCAGGACAGAGTGGAGTTGGGGGTTGGGGACACCACAGCCTTGGATCACAGGAAGGGCGGGTGACATAAACACGTGCTTATTGCTGAGTGAATTGGCTTGGACCCCTGTGTTTCCCCAGGTTTCCCTCTCTAGCTTCTCCTTCCGTGAAGGTAGAACCTGGGCTTCTTTGAAAAGACCTGGGTTTGAATCCTGACCCTCTCATACAGGCTGTGTAACCTTGGGCAAGCTCTGTAGCCTTTCTGAGCAGTCTTCCCATCCATCCAGCAAACAAGTTGAGGACATGCTGGCACGTGCTAAGCTCTTGGTGACTTCGACAGATTCCTGCTAAGCTCCCTTCAGCTTTATCCAAGGATGTGCACACCCAGAGGCCCTGGGCTGAATGATCGCTAGACTGTGTTGACTTCTTGTTAGAAAAATCTGACCAGTCTGGGTTTCCCTTGTAACAAGAAGTGGGTGTCAGCAGGCCCGGCTGGCAGGGCTCCTGGGGGAAGTCATCGCAGACCTGGGCCTGTGCAGTTCCCACACCCCCGTGCTCAGGGAGTGCCTTTCACCTGCCATTCCGCATCCTGCCTTCTCGGCAAGAGGAGGGGAGAGCAGAGGCAGGTGCCAGCTGGGCCTGCACCTGTGCGTCAGGGACACAGGCGCTCTCCGGGAACCCACCTGGCATCACTTCCATAGGCTGTCATTGGCTGGAAGTGGGTCACGTGGCCACTCCTGGTATTTTTAGCTGGGCCCGTTGTTGTTTTAAATAAAACTGGGGTTCTCTTAGTGAGGAAGAAGGGAAGGGGCTGAGGGGACAGCCCACCCTGCCTCTGATGCTTACGACTATGAAGTGGGCTGTTAAAAAAAACAAAGCAAACCCTAACTCCCCAAAACGAGACCCGCAAATGCATCTTTTCAGCCAGTGTTCTTTCAGCCAGGGCAGGCCCAAGCCTCTGCACAGCTGTCTGGTCTTGCCACTGTGTAGATGTAAAAGCTGGATTTAGCTGTGCCCTGTGGATGAAGGTTGCATTTTTCTTACCCGTTTAAAACCTGGGGAGAGAGGCCATTTACTGCTGTGTTGTCTGTAGACCTAGGACCTTGGTCTGAGAATGGGAGCCCACGTGGCATCAGGGGCCCAGTGATGGCCTTCAGCCCTGGCCAGGTGAGGTCTGGGGGCCAGAACAGCCCACCCAAGCCCACAGGCCTTGACCCCCAAAGAGGAAGGTACCTGTGGACCTTGGAACTGGCTGTGGAGTTTCTATCAGCGCTATGAGGCTGCATCCAGGACTTTCTCCAGGGATGGGCCTGAGGCCCTCGGGGGTGTTGAGAGAACATTCCAGCTGCATGAGGATCTGGCTTCCTGAGCCTCATCCTGGAAGAACAGAAGGGCCCTGTGAAGGCCCCGGAGCTCAGAGCATGAGTGGAGACGGGCCGAGCTGGGTGCTGACCAAGAGCCAGATGCACCTTGCCCTGAGCAGGAGTGGGGCTTCCTAAGAGCCTAGGGTGGACACGGGGCTGTGGTCCTAGAGGGACAGTGACCTCAGGGCTCTCACCCAGAAGGGAGGTGGGTTCCTGTCTCAGACTGGAGAAGGGAGCTGCCTGCAAGGTGTACATGTCAGGAAAGACGCTTCCACGACATCCTGGAATCCCTTCACCTCTGAGAGAAGGCAGCCTGCACCTTGGGCAGAATCTTGATTCCAGTGCCTTCCAAGGAGTTCGTATGGCCCTGAGAAACCTGAGGGATTGTATGGAACACGAGTCCAGTCACCTCCAGGGCCAAGCAGGGGGCAGCCTTTGGCACCAGTGGGTGCAGAAGTCTGCCAGCTGCAGTTGAGTGGGCCTGGATGGGCTGGGTCAGGCTGTGGGGCTGGGATGCGAGGTATTACTCTGCAGCCGTGGGGACCTGTTGGGCTGGGATGTGAGGTATTACTCTGCAGCTGTAGGGACTCATTGGGCTGAGATGTGAGGTATTACTCTGTAGCTGTGGGGACACATTGGGCTCAGATGTGAGGCATTCCTCTGCAGCCATGGGGACCCCTTGGGCTGGGATGTGAGGTACTACTCTGCAGCTGTGGGGACCTGTTGGGCTGGGAGGTGAGGTATTACTCTGCAGCCATGGGGACACATTGGGATCAGATGTGAGGTATTACTCTGAAGCTGTAGGGACCCGTTGGGCTGGGATGTGAGGTATTACTCTGCAGCTGTGGGAACCCACTGGGCTGGGACTCGAGGTATTACTCTGCAGCCCTGGGGTCTTGTTGGGCTGGGATGCATGGTATTACTCTGCAGCTGTGGGGAGTCAGGGAACACCTCCTTTATTTTTTTTCCTCCTTGTAAGAGTGTCCAATCCACTTTCTCACCCTCAGTCAAATGCTTGGCATTTAGAGGAATTGTGTTCTCCCTTGGCCCTGAGCTGCTGCTTGGGGTTTAAACAAACCAGCAGCCCAGGCGAGCTGGGTGATGAATACTTTTTGGCATTTGGGGTCAGACTAGCCCCTGGGACAAGTGTTTTGGAAAGAGCCCCAGGCCCTGGGGTTGGATGAGCCCAAACAGAAGTCCAGCATTGTCCAGTTCTCCTGGCGTGACTCAGTGCCTCTGCCTCAGTTTCCTCATCTGTGACCCAGGGGTGCACACCCCCACAGGTGATAGGAGAAGCATCTAACACCCAGCACAGGCACAGGTGCAGCCGCTACACCACCTGCTGTGCCCAGCATCAACCTTTAATTGGTGGCCACAGGGGGTAGGGTCCCCTGCGGCCACCAACTAAAGGCAGGTCCAGAAACATGATGTGGGGCTGCCTTTGGGGGAGGTGCATGCATTCTGCAGCCTACTGGCCAGCCCGGGTTTTCATCCTGTCTTTGCAACCTACCAGCTGTGAGACTGTGGACAAGTGATTCACCACCTTTTTGTTTTGTTTTGTCTGTCTGTTTGTTTGTTTGTTTGTTTTTTGAGACAGTCTCACTCTGTCACCCAGGCTGGAGTGTAGTGGCACAATCTTAGCCCACTGCAACCTCCACCTCCTGGGTTCAAATGATTCTCGTGCCTCAGCCTCCCAAATAGCTGGGATTACAGGCATGCACCACCACACTCAGCTAATTTTTTTGTATTTTTAATAGAGACGGGTTTCACTATGTTGGCCAGGCTGGTCTTGAGCTCCTGGCCTCATGTGATCCACCTGCCTTGACCTTCCAAAGTGCTGGGATTACAGGTGTGAGCCACCGTGCTCGGCCATGATTCACGTATTTTGTGCCTCCGTGTCGTGAAGGTCAAAGTGAGCAAATATTTGAGAAGAGCTTAGAATGGTGCCTGGCATGTGACTTACACATAGGGAGTGCCTCCTCTCAGAATCAGGGGCAGGCTGGGTCTAGAAGGCCCTTTGAGGACAAACTTCTCATTTTCCAGGTAGCCCTATTCTGAGACATCCTGGTGTGTTCATCAGGCAACATTTATGAGTGCCTGCACTGTACCAGCCCCAGCTGGGAAACAGAAATAAGTAACTCACAAGTTGTAGTTCTGTCCTCAAAGAGCCCACAGACCAGAGCAGGAGACAACAAGTAGCCAGCTAATGATGGCCCAGAAGACCAAGGGCTAGAAGTGGGTTGGGGGAATCCACCACTGGACACTTCATTGTTGGGAGAAGAGGGAAGGATGTATAGATATGTAGCAGTAGTCAGCACAGGCTAACTGCTGTAACAAACTGCCCTCACTTCTCAGTGGCTTAACACAATACAAATTTATTTGGCTTTCACATTAATGCAGGTCAGAGTTGAGGCTCTGCTCCACTTGGTCATTCAGGGCCCCAGGCTCCTTCCATCTTGTGGCCCTGCCCTTCTCTAGGGCTTTGGCATTCTTTCATTCAACTAGCCAATAGAAAAGGAGAGCCCATGGGCAGCTATGGGACATTTCTCATGCCTCAGGCCTGTAAAAGCAGTGTATTATTTCTGCCCACATTCCATTGGCCAGCACTTGGTCACATGATCCTACCTAAGTGCAAAGGAGTCTGGGAAATGTAGTTTATCTGTGTGCCCAAGAGGAAATTGCACCAGGTTTATGAGGTTTGGTGAACACCAACAGGTTCTGTCACAGGAGGCTTCTAGGAGACCTTAAGGTTGACTTGGGTTGTGAAAAATGAATGGGAAGTGAGGGTGGGGGACACATAAGCTCTCTAAGCTCTCTAGGCGGGGGGTCAGCTTGGGCAAAGCAAGGACTGAGAGTGTCTTATTTCGGGCTGCTATAACAAGATGTCACAGGCTGGGGAGCTCAGAAACAACAGCATTTGATTTCTCATGGTTCTGGAGGCTGGAAAGCTGAGATCAGGGTGGCAGCTTGGCTGGGTTCTGGTGGGGGCCCTCTTTCGGTTACAGATGGCTGACTTCTCCTGTGTCCTCATGTGGTGGAGAAAGAGTGAGCTGGCTTTCTGGGGTCTGTCCTTATAAGGGCACTAATCCCTTTCTTGAGGGCTCTACCCCCAGGACCTAATTGCCTCCTACCAGCCCCACCTAATGCTGTCACATTGGGATTAAAATTTTAACATATGGATTTTAGGGGACACACTGAGTCCACTGCAGAGCGTGGAATACGTTTTGGGAAGGACAAGATGCCCAGGCAGTGGGGCAGGTGGAAGGGTGAGCAAAGAGGTGCTGGGATGTCTCCCCTCCTCCCCTCCCACCCTTTTCATGCGGCCCCATGTCCCGAATGTTGCCAGGTCAGGCACTGCCTGGAGTAGGGCCTGCTGTGGACCTTATTACGTCATTTGCTCCTCCACCGCTGCTCCTTTTGGGGTTGGTGGATAACCGAGGCTTGGGAAGAGAAAGTAATTTTCCTGTAGCTCACTCAGCCAAAAAGTAGAGAGCCAGGATTGAATCCATTGTGGCTGACTCTAAGGCCAGTGCTATTTCTGGGGGTGACAGCAGACACTCGGAACTGTGTCTCTTGTCAGTGAGGCTAAGAGGGGTAGGGAGAGGGGATCCAGAGTGGGGAAGGCTTCGGGGGGAGGAAGAGCCATGTCCCTGGGGTGCCAGGCCAGGGGAACTTGGCCTCTAGGTGTGGCTTTCAGGGAAGTGCTTGCTGGGTGTGGGCCTCGCAGGCCCCACCCCGGGCTGAGTCCCTGTCTTGCTGCTAGGCCCCAGGGTCACTGGGGTGCTTGGCTTTAGTGACTGACAGCCTGGGCCCTGTCACAGCACCAGTGGCTCTCACAAACGTGTAGGCAGCACGGAAGAGGGGAGAGACCGTCTGGCCCCGTGAGGCACTGCAGAGGCATGAGGGCAGAACTGGGGGCTGGGGTCCTGAGGTCTTGGGTTGGAGTCCCGGCTCCTCCCTTTTGCTGTGTGGCCTAGGCATGAGGGAGCCCCAGGCTCCTGAGCTGTGAAATTGGAGAACCGGGTCCCTGCCCCTCACAGAGGTTGCAGGAGACACAGGCTGTAGGAGACACTGGGGCCCTCCCACCTGGCCCTGGCCCCCTATACTCATCAGCTCAGGCTGCCCTCGGAGCGGCTCAGACAACAGATGTTGACTTCTCACAGAGTAGAGGCTGGAAGCCTGAGAGCAGAGTGCTGGCAGGGCCCGGTTCTGGGGAGCCAGCTTCCGGCTGTACATGCAGCCCTCCTGCTGTATCCTCGCATGGCAGACAGCGGAAAGAGGAGAGGTCATCGCCTTCCTCTTCTATGAGGGCCCTCAGCCCATCACAGGGCCCCACCTTCATGACCTCATCTAAGCCTGATCACCCCCAAAGGCCCCACCTCCAAGTACCATCCTGTTAGGGGTTAGGGCTTCAACATAAGAACTCTGGGGGGATGCAAACCTTCATTCCACAATACACCCCACGTGGGTTGGCTGTTGGAAACAAGCCTGGGGTTCCTGTCGCCCTGGCACACTGCAGGGGGTTAGAGCCAGGAGGAAGGGAAGGGCTCAGGCAGAGGGGAATAGCACAAGGCCAGGGCGGTGGGGCAGGGGCGGGGCTGCCGTGGCTGGAGCCGTCAGCTCTGGTTCCAGGAGGAGGAGAGGTCCCCGAATCTGGCCTTGGGGGAGCCAGGGAGCAGGTGGGATGCTGGCTCAGCATGATCCTGGGATGAAAACTTTCCTCTCTGCAGGGGTGGGGAGGGGCTGGTATCCAAGAGCACCCTGAGGGGCCCCACCCCACTCCTGACTGCAGCAGAAGAGGGCCCATCATCTCTTTGGTGGCATTTTTACAAACTGCAAAGGGGCTTAACCCACTATCCCAAATGTGTAGAGCTGACATTTTGCTCACATTTTCTTTCTCTTTGCAGTCTGTTTGCCGGCTGTGCAGCCCTGGAAAGCCCTTGAAGCTCTCCTAACCCTGCTGTCCCTATCTGTAAAATGGGCCAGTGGTGTTTTACCAGCCACACTGTCAGGGATGCTAAGTGAGGTGACACCTGTCAAGGGGACGGGTGGGCTGCACGCATCCCCACTGCTCACCAGCTCCCAGCCAGTGCCGCTAAGCTGCCCCTCACAATTCCTGGCATAGGCCTGGCAAGGCTTTTGACTTTTTCATTTTTGTAGCGGCTTTATTGAGATTTCGTTCACATAGCATACAATCCCCTAATTTAAACTCTGCAACTCAATGGTATTGAGCATTTTCACAGATATGCGCAGCCATCTCCACAGTCGATTTTAGAACCTTTTATTCACCTGAAAAAGAAAACCTGTGCCCTGTAGCCATCACCCCCGGCCCTCCATTCCCCCCAGGCCTATGCCACCACTAACCTACTTTCTGTCTCTATCACACAAGGTTTTGAGCCCAGTTCCGCTGGGCACTCATTTGTCAACTAAGGGGGCAATTAGCTCCCCAGATCCAAGGATTGAGGACCTTCTTGCCTCTCGTTCTCCTTGCCCGAATCCCGTTCTGCACGTGGTAGGTGGGTTGAGCCTCTGGTTATTCATTTATTTGTTCCTCTCGCCTTCTTGTCCTTCCCCACCACTGGCTGCTCCCCAACATGAGCCTGCCCTCTCCCGCCTGGCGCAGTGCCTTCTGCACTGTGATGCCAGGGAAGATCCGGGCAGGGTGGAACCCACGCAGGTGCCCCGGGGCTTGGGACCCCTTCTGCCTGTGGCCCTTCCCCGCCCGCACACCCTAGGATGTAAGTGACCCCCAAACACTCCACTCCTCAAGCTCCTTCCCATGCGGCTCCTGTCTCTGGAGAGGAAACAGGACTGGAGACCCAGTTCTTGGCCCCAAGCCTGCTGTAGACAGAGAGGCTCCCCCACGGGGGCTGTGTCTGGACAGGGTGGGCCGACCCTGTCCCACAACCATGTCCCTCTGCTACAGGCTCCCCTGGGGGCAGCCTCAGGCGAGGGGCCGTTGCCATGGGAATTGTGTATTGGAGTCTATTTTGAGACCATCTTGTAGTGTGATTTTTAATATGGCCTGGTGTTGGCTGTTGGTTTTTCTACATTTGCCCAAGTGAATGGATTTTGACTGACCAGAAGGGTTGAGCTGATTTTGTCTTCAGATGTGGTGTTACCCAGAACATTGTCTGAGCAGTTAATTACAGGTTACAGGGGCCCCAGAGCACCCTCTTAAAGACTGGGCTTAGCCTGCCACCACGAAGTGTGGATGGGAGGCAACTAGACACAGTCCAAGGAAGGAATCGTTGTGCCAGCCCCGAGGCCCTCCCCTGGTCCTGCTCCTGCCTCTGGGCAGCTGGATGAAGTCAGGTGGGTGGTGTGTGTCCTGTCCTAGAGAGGAGGAACCCAGAAAGCCACCTCCAAGCTGCAGGGAGTTAAGCGAGGGATTGGAGTGAGGAACCTGGTCTCGAGCCTTGGTGAGCCCCTGCCGTGAGTGGCTGCTGGGGTCAGTCCCACCTGCCCGGCCTGAGGAAGGATCTCACCCCCGCCCTTGTTCTCCTAGCCTCAAGCCGATGCTGCATCATGTTCATCAGGGCGGGAACTGCGAGTGTGTTAACATTTTCACATCTGCCTCTCCCACTGCACTGCAGACCCCATGAGGACAGGTGGGGGCCGGTGGTGCTCCTGCCACGCTCAGGGGAGCCTTGAATAAATACTTATGAATAGAAGAATTGGCCGGGTGCGGTGGCTCACACCTGTAATCCCAGCACTTTGGGAGGCTGAGGCAGGTGGATCACTTGAGGTCAGGAGTTCAAGACCAGCTCGGCCAACATGGTGAAACTGAAAATACAAAAAAATTCTGTTGAAAATACAAAAAACAATTACATTCTACTGAAAATACAAAAAAATTAGCCAGCTGTGGTGAACACGTGCCTATAACCCCAGCTACTTGGGAGGCTGAGGCAGGATAATCGCTTATCGCTTGAACCCTGAAGGCAGAGGTTGCAGTGAGCTGAGATTGTGCTACTGCACTCTAGCCTGGGCAACGGAGCAAGACTCCATCTAAAAAAAAAAAAAAAAAAGAAACTAAAAAAAGAAGAATGAACGCCAGCAAGTGGCCTTGGGCACGGGCTCAATGCTGGCCACGCAGGGACTCATCCTCCCGCCTCTTGCTGGTGGGAGTTCATGGCTTAGGCGTCTCTCACCTCCTCTGGGCTGGCTTTTGGTTCCTTCCACTGCGAACACAGTACAAAGAAGTGAGGATATTGGCCCAAGAGTTCCAGAAGGGTGTCCCCTAGGAGGGTGCATCAGTGAGTGATGGGGGCTGAGCCAGGAAAGAAAGGGGGATGTGCCCGCTGCCACAGAAGCCCTCTGCCCTTCAGGCTGGGCAGCCAGAAGCCCAGGCCTCCTCTGCACATGAGCTTCTAGGAGCAGAAGGGCCAGTGACACTTGACAGACCTGTGGTTGCTATTGTGGTTACGCTTCCTTCTGGTTACTGATAATTGCTATCAGAATAGAGGTGGTCCCAGGAAGGAGCGAGGGAAGGAAGCCCATAGGAGGAGTAGGATGTAGAACAGAGCGAGGTTCTCCGCATGGCTTGGGGGTGGCAATAGTGGAGGGGATGCCACTGCAGGTGCGCGTCACAGGCCAGCTTGGGGCCCTGTCCCTGCCCTGTGATGAGAATGTCTCCGGGGTGGTCATCAAATCCTAGAGCTGCAGAAGATGCTGCTGGGGAGGCGGGCCACCCACGTTTGACCTACCACATTGTTTTTAACGTTAAAAAACAAAATCATTTTAATCACATCAATAATACATAATTATTGTAAGAAATATAAGAAAATACAGATGAGTTAAAAAAGATCTGATCTCCTGCCCTCCAAAATCAATGGCTCTGAGACTCAGGATGTTGTTGGTCCATATTCTTCCTTTTCAAATATATTTGTCTTTTGGTACCTGGGGGAGAATGGATCCTCTCCGAAACCCAAATTGATGGATGTTCAAGTCCCTGATATAAAATGGTGCGGTATTTGCACATAACCCAGGTACATCCTTCTGTATACTTTAAATCATCTCCAGATTACTTCCAATACCTAACACAATGCACAGGCAGGGCTTGTTTTATTGCTTTTCACTTTATTGTACTTTATAGATACTGCTTTTTTTATTTTTATTTTTTTAACAAATTGAGGGTTTGTGGCACCCCGTGTCATCAAGCCCACTGGTGTCATTTGTTTCCAAGAGCATGTGCTCACTTTGGGTCTCTGCGTCTCATTTTGGTAATGCTCACACTATTTCAAACTTTTTCATTATTTATTAAATCCGTTATGGTGATCAATGATCTTTGGCGTTACTATTGTAATTGTCTGGGGGCACCAGGAACCACATCTGTACAAGAGGGCACACTTAATTGATAAATGTTGTGTGTTCTGACTGCTCCACCCACCAGCCATTCCCCCTAATTCTACTCTGCCTGTGCTCTACAAGTGGTACAACAAAGCCTGGATGGCAGCCTGTTTACATCATGGCTTACTGAATATTTTAAGCCCAATATTGAGACCTACTGCTCAGAAAAAGAGATTCCTTTCAAAATATGACTGCTCATTGACAATGCACCTGTCACCCAAGAGCACTGATGGAGATGTACAAAGAGATTAATGAGGTTTTCATGCCTGCTAACACAACATCCTTTCTGCAGCCCATGGATTAAGGAGTCATTTAGACTTTCAAGTATTATTATTTAAGAAACACATTTTGTAATGCCATAGTTGACATAGACAGATTTCTGTGATGGATCTCGGCAAAGTAAATAGAAAACCTTTTAGAAGGAATATACCATTCCATATGACAGTAAAAACATTTGTGATTCGTAGAAGGAGGTCAAAATATCAACATGAACAGGAGTTTGAAAGAAGTTGATTCCAACCCTTTGAGGGGTTCAAGACTTCAGTTGAGGAAGTAACCACAGATGTGGTGGAAATAGCAAGAGAACTAGAATTAGAAGTGGAGCCTGAAGATGTGACTGAATTGCTGCAATCTCATGATCAAACTAATGGATGAGGAGTTCCTTCTTATGGATGAGTGAAGACAGTGGTTTCTTGAGATGGAATCTTCTCCTGGTGAAGATGCTATGCACATTGTTTAAATGACAACAAGGGATTTAGAATATTCCATACACTTAATTGATGAAGTAGCAGCAGGGTTTGAGAGGACTGACTCCAGTTTCTGCAGTCCTAGTCCGTGGAAATTGCTATCAAACAGCATCGCATACTCCAGAGAAATCTTTGGTGAAAGGAAGAGTCAATCTGTGCAGCAAACTTCATTGTTGTCTCATTTTAAGAAACTGCAACAGCCACCCCAGCCTTTAGCAACCACCACCCTAATCAATCAGCAGCCATTCACATGAAGACAAGACTTTTCACCAGCAAAAGAATTATAACTTGCTCAAGGCTCAGATGATCATTAGCATTTTTTTTTTTAGCAGTAGAGTACTTTTAATTGAGGTATGTATATTGTTTCATTTTAGACACAATACGATTGCATACTTAATAGACAACAGTATAGTGTAAATAGAACTTTTGGATGCACTGAGAAATCAAAAAATGTGTGTGGCTTGCTTTATTGCTATTGCTTTGTTGTGGTGTCTTAGACCGAAACTGCATTGTCTCCGAGGTATGGAGAATAGATGTGAGCTGGAAAAGAAAGCAGCTGAACGTGACAAGGTTGAGCCTCAGATTAAAGAGAAATGACATGTGCAGCCCTTCCTCAGAGATACTCAGGCTCAGTTCAAGATCACCACGAGAAAGTGAAGATTGCAATAAAGGGAGTCACACAAATGTGTTTGTTTCCCAGTGCATGTAAGAGTTCCATTTACACGACGGGCGCGGTGGCTCACGCCTGTAATCCCAGCACTTTGGGAGGCCAAGATGGGCAGATCACCTGAGGTCGGGAGTTCGACACCAGCCTGGCCAACATGGTGAAACCCTGTCTTTATTAAAAATACAAAAATTAGCTGGACGTGGTGGCGCACACCTGTAATCCCAGCTACTTGGGAGGCTGAGGCAGGATAATCGCTTGAACCTGGGAGGCAGAGGTTGCAGTGAGCCAAGATCGTGCCATTGCACTCTAACCTGGGCAACAAGAGCGAAACTCCATCTCAAAAAAAAAAAAAAAAGTATTGTTTACACTATACTACAGTCTGTTAAGTGTGCAGTACCATTGTGTCTAAAAATACAGTGTACATACCTTAATTTTTTTTAATTTTTATTTTAAGTTCAAGGGTACATGTCCAGATTTGTTATATAGGTAAACCCATGTCATGGGGGTTTGTTGTACAGATCACTTCATCATCCAAGTATTAAGCCATGAGTTAATTTTTTTGCTCCTCTCCCTCCTCTCTCACCCTCCACCCTCCAAAACATTCCTCAGCAAATGCAAAAGAACTGAACTCATAACCACATACCTTAATTGAAAAATACTTTATTGCTAAAAAATGCTGACACACAGACATGAAGTGAGCACATGATGTTGGAAAAATGGTGCCAATAGACTTGCTTGCTGCAGGGTTGCCACAAACTCAATTGGTAAGAAACACAGTATCTGCAAAGTGTAGTAAAGCAAGGAATGGTAAAAGGAGGTGTGGCTTTGGAGTGATGCGGATGTGCAGCACTGTGCATGGCCCAACTATGCAATGGAATCTTTTTTTTTTTTTTTATTAAGACGGAGTCTTGCTCTGTCGCCCAGGCTGGAGTGCAGTGGCACGATCTCAGCTCACTGCAAGCTCTGCCTCCCGTGCAATGGAATCTTAATCAGCCATTAGGAATTGTTCTCCTATGTTGGAGGTGTAGGTTATTTCATTTTTTGCCGTTATAAGGAATGTTGTGAGGACCATTTTTTTTTCTGAGATGGAGTATCACCCTGTTGCCCAGGTTGGAGTGCGGTGGCACGATCTTGGCTCACTGCAGCCTCCGCCTCCCAGGATCAGGTGATTCTCCTGCCTCAGTCTCCCGAGTAGCTGGGATTACAGGCATGCACCACCATGCCCGGCTAATTTTTGTGTTTTTAGTAGAGGTGGGGTTTCACCGTGTTGGCCAGGCTGGTCTTGAACTTCTGACCTCGTGATCTGCCCACCTCGGCCTCCCAAAGTGCTAGGATTGCAAGCATGAGCCACTGCGCCCGGCTGTGGGGACCGTTTTTATGCACATTCATTTGCACACTTGTCCAATTTTCTCCTTAGGATAAATCCCTAGAAGTGCAATGGCAGGGTCACAAACACCTGCTACAAGCCCATTCAGTTCCATCTTGATGGAAGAGGCCTTTAGGGACTGAACTGCCTGGGCGGCAAGGATGGAGCTAAGGCCAGCAGGCGACCTGGAGTGCATCCCCTGTGGGGACTGGTCTGATAGGTGGGGGAATCAGGGCCAGAATCCCAGCCCACTCGGGCGCTTCTGAGATGGTGTGTGCCTTGGGCCACTTTGTGTCCTGGGCATGCAGATCTGCATCATAGCAATGTTCCCCTTGGGCTGTCTGGTCTGCACCAAGCCCTGTGGGAGCCCTGTGAGAGCTGGACAGGGTGGACGGGCAGGCCTCACCTGGGCATGGCTACAGAGGCAGCCGTGGCAATGCTGCCATAGGGGACAGGCATTGCAGGAGGAATGGCACCATTGCTGAAGGGTGAAACTCAGCCCTCTGGGCCAGGGCAAAGCCAAGGGCCTCAGTGCCCAGCTTGGGTCTTACCTTGAAGGGGGCAGGTGCCTTAAGGCTGAAAAAATGGATGAGGAAAATGTTAAGCAGAAAGAAATGACAAAAATCAAGCCAGATGTTGGTAAAGAGCTGGTGATGTGCCAACTAGCGGATACAGCTAGACATGGATCTAGAGCTTTCCATGCAGCCAAGCACCTTCTCCGTTCAGCCGGCAGGGATTTGAGCACCTGCTGTATGCACAGTGCTGGGCTCCGCAGCCTGGGCTCAGAAGCCTGGCCTCAGCAATGTTGTGGCGGCTGCAAGTGCAGAGCTGAGCCTAGGTTCAAGTCCTGACCATGCTGCTCAGTGGCCTGTGAGCTTTTGGTGACTGATGGATCCTCTTTGCCTCAGTTTCCTCCTCCATAAAAATGGGGATGACCACAGTGTTCTGAGCACTTTAGAGAGTGCCACCGGACGGCCGACTCATTTAAACCCGAGAGGCTCCTGCTAGGTATTTATATTAGCACTTAATAGACAGAAAGCACCTCACACAGCACTGACATAGCGCCGTGCTTAGTACATGGTAATGGGATTGCATATTGTCTTACCCACCCTACACAATAGGATGACTTCCATTCTACAGATGGGGAAAGCAAGGCTCAGGAGTGTTAGGAACTTGCCTCTTGTCACCTGGCCAGTGCACTGGAAAGCCAGGCTTTGCAGCTGTCTCCCTAGCAGGTATTTACTGTGACTCCCCTCTCAGTTCTCTCCTGCTTAGAACAGGGACCTAATTGCCACAGGGCCCATGGCTGGTGACCAGGTAGCTGGGATCAAATCCCAGATGGGACCCAAGTTCTTCCCTTACAAGACACAGCTCCCGGGGTGCTTGGCTTGCTTTAGGAGCACTCACTACTTCCCAGGTGCTGTGTGACAGAGTTGTGCTGTGTGGCGGGTGTTGATGCATTTAACCCTCTTGAGGTGGTTCTAGGGCTGAGCTTCTCAGGCTCGGCCACACTGACGCCATTTGTGGGCCAGCAGTGCCAGCTTCACCTGGCAGCGGGGTGGATGGTGGAGGCTCAGCCCTGCCAGACCTACCGTGTTGGAAGTTGCATTCTGACAAGACCCCAGGGCACTGTGTACACATTCAAGTTTGAGAAGGGCTGGTCTGGACAGCAGGCTGTGGGGTGATCTGATGGCAGCCCTTTGTGCACGGCCACCTCATTTTACAGAGTTAGCTGTCAGGAGCAGGGTGGGTGGTGAAGGAGCTAAGGTCCACAGAACACCTGTGAAGCTCTTCCGGCAGGTGGGCACAGAGCCAGGGCAAGGTAGGCACCTAACAGTTGGCAGAATAGTGTCTTCTCCTTCAGCCCCACAAAGATGTCTGCAAATCTGTGGATGTTACCTTCCATAGCAAGGGGGAATTAAGGTTGCAGATGGAGTTCAGATTGCTGATCACCTGAGCTTAAGAAAGGGCGAGGTTCCTGGATCAATCCAGGTGGGCCCAATGTGATATCAGCGTCTTTATAAGAGGGAGGCAGGAGGGTAGAGTCAGGAGAGTTCTGATGATTGAAGCAGAGGTCGGAGGGGTGTGATGTGAGGACTACAGCCCTGCTTTGAAGACAGGGGAAGGGGCCATCTATGAGCCATGCAGTGCAGAAGCATCTAAAACCTGGAAAAAGCAGGGAGTGACCTCTCCCGGATGGCCCTCAGAAGGTAGGCAGCCCTGCGACCCCTTGATTTTTAGCTTCATGAGGCCCATTGCAACTTCTAACCTCTTGAACTGCAAGAGAAAATGTGTTGTTTTAAGCCACCGAGTTCATGGCAATTTGTGACGGCAGCCTCAGAAAACTAAAACGTGCAGTAGCAATGGCTGTGTGGCCGCCTGGGCCTGGTTACCTTGTGTAGAATTATACTGGTGCTGGGGCCTGCTGTGCTTGTTGTAGGAAGGAGACATCCCCCCCAGATCCCTCAGGTTTGATTTTTTTTTTTATTGCTGGGGGAGGGTTATCTTTCCCTCCCTTCTGCAAAAGCCACACGGTGGCCCCACCCAGCCCGTGCTCCAGGAATGAAGCCAGAGGGAGCCTCTGCAATGGCTGGAGGAGCTGGCTCTTGGGAACCAGAAGTTCCAGTGACTGAGGACTCTGGCCAAGGAGAACTGGGCAAGACCCTGGAGGGCCATGACACCAGGCTGGGATGTGGTCACACGCCTTACGGCTCCCAGCCTGACCAGGCTGGACTTGCTGGTGGTCAGGATATGACTGTAGAGTGGAGGGCGGGGTCTGTGCCCTGTCTGTGGTTGGCACCTGACAAAGGTGACGGCAGTTTCTGGCTGCCAGCTCCTGGTGGCTAAGCGTCTTCTGGATTCTCAATTCGGTGAAACTAGGTTTGTTGGGGGGCTTGAGTTTGGGGGAGCATATTTAGCTAATAAGGGAAGCTGGACATAGCTTGAAATGCAGCCAGCTTGCAGTGATATGTTAAGGCCTAGAGGCTGTGTAGGGGAGGGGAGGCGGGCTCTGGAGGGCTTTGCCTGGCTGGGAAGGCTGGGTGGGCTAGGGCGGGAGACAGAGCAGCTCCCTGGACCAGCAGGATTCATGCTGAAGAGTGGAACCAGCAGGGTTTGCTCTCAAGGAGATTCAGGGGAGGGAAAGGACTGCAGAGAAGTCTTTGAACACAACATACCCATCTTGCAGGTGAGGAGACGAAGGACCTGAAAGAGGACAGACTTGACCAAGGTCACATAATGTCAGACATCACAGCCCTGGTTCTGCCCCTCCCGGTCAGTCTGTCCTGTCTGGGTTCAAATCTTAGCTGTGGCTGGGTTCAAATCTTAGTGTATGGCCTTGGGCAGGCGGCTTGATCGGTCCCTGCTCCCGTTTCCTCCTCTGTAGGATAGCCGCAAGCCCTCGCAGCGTTCTCCAGAGCATTCAGGGACTTGGCACAGAGTGTCAGGCCCCGATGTGTTATTTCGCAATTTCTTCTCGTTTCCTTGACTGACTTCACGCTTCCTGTATAAGAGCTTGTTCCACTTATCCGTGGCTACATAACAAACATCTCCATCTCAGTGGTGCAAAGCGACAGCAATCGTTTGCTAATGTTGTCTCTCTCATTTCTGGGGACTGGCTGGGCTCAGGCAGGCAGTGCTTCCTCGAGGTCTCTCAGGCGGTTGCAGCGACACTGAGTTAAGGCTGGAATTGGCACAAAAGCACCTTCTCTCTCTCTATCTCTCTCTCTAACACACACACACACACACACACACACACACACACGTGCGCACGCGCGTCTGTTCCTGGGGGGAAAACGTGAATGCCTGGGTTTCCCTCTGTCTCTGTGGTCTCTCTGCAGAGTGGCTTCAGAGTAGCTGGACTCCTGCACAGGTGTGTCCTCAGGGTGAACGAGCAGGTGGGAAGCAATGCTGTCATCACCAAGTGTCACTCTCGCCTCACTGTCTTTCGCGCCAGGGATTGAGGCTAAGGTGGTGGTGTGTGAGGGTCTAGATGGGGCCCAGAGGAGGTGCTCTGTGTTGATGGGGGCGCCGAGAGCATGTGACCACCTGTAGTCCCCCAAGAGCGGATGGGAGGAACACGTTTGCTGTGTTGGCCTCGCGCTGACCTGTCTTCCTTTTGTCTTCAGACCTGGATGCTCCCAGGCTTTGATGCTGGGTGGCCTGGGAGGATTCACTGGGACCCTGTGTGTGTGCACGTGTGTGTGCATGTGTATGTGGGGCGTGTGCACATGTGTGCATGAGGAAGCTTCAGCCCATTTCAGCAGAGGCTCTGGGTGGGTCTCTTCCTCTTCAGACCTGCACAGTCCCTCCTTTCCTCCCAGGGAGTGTGTTGTGTCTGGGAGATGCCATGGACTCTGAGGGGCTTAGAACAGCACTGGGGCACTTTGTGGGGCTGGAGGGGTGCTGCCCTGGTGTGAAGAGCTGGGGGTGAAGGCAGGGGTGCTCCCTTTTACTAAGCCCCTGCACACTAAGGCGCATCTACCCTCTGCAGCGTCAGGAAGCTCCTAGCCTGAGATCTGTCCTCCAGCCCCCCCCCCTTCCCCCACCCCTCCCCTTCCTCCCTTCTCCCCTTTCCCTGACCCCCCTCCCCTGTCCCCCGCACCTCACTAGGAGGGCCAGACTGTGTCTCCTTGATTCTCTGCTAAATCCTCTGGGCTGGCACAGTGTCTGTTCAGGGTGGGTGCTCATGAAATATGGAGTTGGGTTGAAAATGGCTGTGGCTGCCCACCCTGGCTAGACCCTCCCTCAAGGCCAGGAGCAGCTGGAAGAGCAGGGGGTGGGGTATGGCTGACTGAGGCCTTAACCTGGCAGCCTAGGCCTGTCCAGTCCAGGCCAGCAGAAGGGGCCAAGCCTGGACCTGGTAGGACCTGGTGCATGGGGTCAGGCCAGCGGCTGGTGGTGGCACAGAACTTGAGCCTCCTTTTTTGCATGTCCCTGTCTTATGAATACAGCTGCCACTAGAGAGCAGGGTCGATGCCATGTACAGCTCAGCATAAAGAACTCACCCAGTCCCCCTTCGCCTCACACTGCCCTGGCCACCTGCGTGTCCCCTCGTCCCCCATCCTGGCCACACCCAGCCCCTAGCAAGCCAGGCCTTTGGCCCATCTGAGTCCCTGCTGTGGCTTCACTTGCAGAGCCCTGGGCAGGAAGGACCCCAGCCTCCCAGCTCACCCCATAGCCTGCTCCTGCCATCTCTGCCTGCAGTAGAGTGGGATGTGGGGCCTCAGGAGGATGGGGAGGCCCAGAGGCCCACAGGGAATGGGGCGGCTACAGGATCCTCCCCAAGTGGTGGGGGAGAGGTGGGCCCCTGACCACAGTCAGGCTAGGCAGGCGCTGGGGAAGTTCAGTGAAGGTCAGCCTGGCCTTGAGTCTGCCTCTGTCCCACCAGCACCATCCTGACCTGAGCCCCTCTCGACACACCTTGGTCCCCAAGCCACCACTTGAGGATCCACTGTGGACTGTGGACCAGCAGCCAGCAGTCCCTCCCCACAGGAACAGGAGGCTGGCCCTCACAGAGAAAGGGGAGTGAGCCTCTATTCACCTCCTGGGGCTAGGCCTCACCACATCCCACCCAGGTGGGTCAAATGGTCCCCTTTGCAGCCCAGAAATGGACGTCCTCAGAGGTCTGGGAGCTTGGTCCCAAAGTGACACAGCCTGCACTTCCTGTGTGTCAGGCTCCAAAGCCAGGCCTTTGCCCTGGAATTGTAGACACCAGTCCCTGTTGGCCTCTCCTGGGACCTCCTTTGAAACTCAAAGTTCCCTGGAGCTGGGCCGTCAGCCTGGGCTGGTGCTGGGGGCTGGATGATGGGGCGCTCAGGATACCTCGCCCCAGGTGATTCTTATCACTGGGAAGCTGAGGCCCCAGAGGGGAGGGCATACCCTTCCTGTGGGCTCTGCTTGCTTCCCAGGGCTGTGACGAGGGCAAGCCTGGCAGGGGACACCCACGACCCTACCTTGTGTACTTTTGGCCATTTCTATACAGCTGGGATGGGAAGAGCCCTGAGACATGGCCAGCATCGGCTACCTGAAGGTGCTGGGGGTCTGAGCCTGCAGCCCCTGCCCTGATCACCTGGAAAATGGAAATGTCCCAAAGCGCTGAGTTGGGGTGGGGGGATCCCCACACTGGGATGTAAGCTCTGTGTGGGTGGAGACTGGGATGTGGGGCATATGGTGTGTCACACAGCAAGAGGCACATGGCCCAACTCAGCGTCTTCAGTATGTCTAAGACTGGGTCAGCATGGGGTAGAAGCTCTCTACCTTGTCTGCGTGATCGGACCCCACTGCAGTGACTTTGGCCTGGGAGTGGCTGGAGAGCTGATGCCCTGATGTCCAGCCCCGCTGGGTTTGAGGCCTGGCTTTGTCACTTTCTCAAGGGGGCCTCAGGAAAGTTATTTTGAGTTGGGCATTTTCACTGCTTTTCTGTCAAAGATGTACAGAGGTGCTGGTGCCTGTCACAAGCTGGGGGTTGAGGATGCTCCCATGGCCAGAGGACAGGGGAAATAAGGGCTTTCAAAGTGGAAGCAACTGGGTCCTCTACCAGCTAGCTCTTAGGCCTCCTTAGGCAGGTGATGTGACCTCTCTGAGCTTTAATTTTCCCATCTGGAAAATGGGAATGGTTGCAAGACATATCTTCTCAAAACAACCTGTCCAGGAGGGGCTGTCTCCTGGGCTAAGTCCTTTAATGACAGCCAGTATGCATTATTGTTAATCAATAAATGCTTATTGACTCAATGAAAAACACATCTATGTCAGTTTTATCCAGATTTAT
The DNA here is from genome assembly GCF_000001405.40 of Homo sapiens. Taxonomy (NCBI): domain Eukaryota; kingdom Metazoa; phylum Chordata; class Mammalia; order Primates; family Hominidae; genus Homo; species Homo sapiens. The sequence goes on along the minus strand of NC_000008.11, from coordinate 139,660,642 downwards.
TTTTTTTATTTTTATTTTTTTAAAGACAGGGTGTCCCTCTGTCGCCCAGGCTGGATTGCAGTGGTGCAATCTTGGCTCACTGCAACCTCTGCCTCCTGGATTCAAGTGATTCTCCTGCCTCAGCCTCTTGAGTAGCTGGGATTATAGGCGTGCACCACCACTGCCCGGCTAATATATATATATATATATATATTTTTTTTTAGCAGAGACGGGTTTCACGACATTGGTCAGGCTGGTCTCAAACTCCCAACCTCAGGTGATCTGCCCGCCTCAGCCTCCCAAAGTGCTGGGACTACAGGCGTGAGCCACCACACTGGGCCTATCCTATTTTTAATGCATCGTATGGAGGAGCCAGGGGCCTGTCGCCAGTCTTCATCGCGGGCTGTTATACAGGCTTTTGCTACCTGTGAAGGGGTGCTCTAAGTGCTTTTTAGGGGCTCTACCATTTAATATAATAATATTCCAGAGAGGTTGAGGCTCAACGTGTACCTTCTGAAATGTGCCCGAGGTCACAGAAAAATAAGCAAACAAATACAATAGTTCTGACCAGCAATTTTACTGAATAGGCAACACATCTACATCGTTCTTCTGTGAAGACAGAATATGAAGGTGCTCCTTAAGACTCCCACCCCACTCTGTTCTTTCCATCCCATCTCCATCCCTCCCACTTTTTCCTGTTATCACAAATAGGGGATTGTTTTAAAAATCAATATATTGTTTCTGGTATACACACAAATATATATTATCTTATCTCCCCTTTCTTGCACAAAAGGCAGTATACTTGATCATTGTTCTGTCTCTTGCTTTATCTCGTAAGAATAGGCCGGGTGCAGTGGCTCACGCCCGTATTCCCAGCACTTTGGGAGGCCAAGGCAGGCGGATCATGAAGTCAGATCGAGACCATCCTGGTTAACATGGTGAAACCCCATCTCTACTAAAAATACCAAAAAAAAAAAAAAAAAAATTAGCTGGGCATGGTGGTGGGCTCCTGTAGTCCCAGCTACTCGGGTGGCTGAGGCAAGAGAACGGCGTGAACCTGGGGGGTGGAGCTTGCAGTGAGCCGAGATTGTGCCATTGCACTCCAGCCTGGGTGACAGAGCGAGACTCCGTCTCAACAACAACAACAAAAATAAAATCCTCGAGATCTTTCCACACCAATACAGGGGTAGGGTCCAAGCCAGAGAGAGGCCAGGGGTCTAACACCTGCTGCTGGAGGATAGGGGGAGAGGAGTATTCTCTATTTTTAATCAATGTGTCTGAGGCAAAGGACAAAGACAAGAGGGGAAACTCAGCCTGAACCCTCAGTCCTAGGCATGAGCTTTGTTTCAAATATTTGAAGGCAGCTCTTGTAGTGCATAGGGAAAGCCTTGGGTCAGGTCTCAGGGGGTCAGGACTCCAGCCTGGAGCCACCCCTAGCAAGTGAGGGACCTTTAGCAAGTCCCTGACAGCGGCCAAGAGTCAGGGTCGTATCCACGCAGGTGTTTAGGTCCCAGAGCGGTTTCTTGCCTATGAATTCATTTGACTCTCACAAAGCCCCGAAGACTCAGCGGCTTGATACATGCTGTTTCTTCCTCCTAGAATGCCTTTCTGGCTAACTTGTCTTCCCCCAAAACTTGAATTTTTGCTTCACACTCACCTCTAATCACAGACCTTCTGGGAGCTTTCCTGGGCTGCCCCTTCCACAACTGCCTCAGCAAACCTTAGTCCTTCCCGTGTACCCTCATCCACAGCAGTGGTCAGCACCTCGGACAGTGCCTGAGGCAGGTGGACTCTGGAGTAGAGGCCAGGTCCAAGGGCAGTGGCAGACTCAGGACATGGGCAGGGAACAGCCCAGAAGGAGAGCCACCTCGCTTCCTGGACACTGGCCCTGCACTTGGAGGCAGTGTGACCGTGGGGAAGTCCAGGCCTCTCAGCTGCAAAGCTGGGGCTCTGGAGTCTGCCAGTTTCACAGAGCTAGTCCCTGAGGACACATCTGGTTTGTGAGAATAGCATCCAGGACCCAGTTCTTGTTTCTTGGTGGGTGTGGCTGAATTCCAGAAGGCAGGGGTTGTGCTCTCCCCTCCGTGGTATCTTTTGTACAGTGGAGGTAGTGAGGCTTGGATTGAGGGGGAGCTGCGGAAAAGGAAAAGGGTACCAGTGGCTAGGGGCTTGCTGGGCAGCAGGGAAGTCAGGCGTGACCCGTGTAGCCTGAGGCCCGCATCTGGTTTCCTTGTGTTCAGCAACATTGTGGGGTGTTCTGGAGGAAAGAGCTGGGGGCTGGCCTCCAGGTGGGTCCAGCCATGGGGCTTTGGGATGGGTGTGCCTTCCCTGCTCAGCTTTTCCAGCAGTGGTTGTCCCCCCATGACTTACAGCATCCACTAGGTGGTCCCTGCCCCTGGCTGCAGTGCTCACTGGGCTCCTCTCAGCCCTTCAGGCCTGTGGGTGGTAATAGCTGCCCCCTGCTAGCCCCTTGTGTCTTACTGCCCTACTTGGTGCCCTCAACCTCTCCTTGCCTCTGCAAACTCTCTCTTCATTGAAGACAAGGGTCTTTGCCCTGATTTGATCCATCTGAGTGGATGCCATGACCTGTTTCATGCCATGACCCTGACCTGATACAACCAAGGACTTGAGATTTTATTCTAAACCCAACAGGAAACCATAGCCCATTGTCCATATATCTGCCCACCCTACCATGTCATCTCCTCTGCCTGTCCTGTGGGGGAGACCTGCTGTTGGACAGGGAGAATCCTGGGAGCAGGGGCCAGCCATGTTCTCTGCCTGGATGGGGGTGATGTGGGTGGGGACCGCTGGGATAGAGGCGAGTCCTGGAGAGGCCTCCCCACCCGCCAGGGTGATAACGTCCCTCCTCTGTGAGGAGACAGGAAGTTAATTCATGCAAAGCTTTTATGAATAAAATGGGGCCTTGTTAGTAGTGACCATGCGGTGCAGCTTAGCAATGATCTCCATTCTGCATATGGGGAAAGGGAGTGTCCCAGTCAACGCCCTATGCTCAGATCCATCCATCCCCCACTTCTGCAGTGTATGGTGGGAAGCTCAGTTTCCCAGGCGCTATTGCTCTCTGGCTCTGGGGGGTTTTGGCTCTGGGGGGTTTTAGTTCAGGGAGCCAGTGCCGGAAGCTCACAGGGCAGGATGATGAGAAGCTCCACAGGCAGAGAGGGTTCACTGTGGTGTCCCTGGCAGCTGCCACAGGTCCTCCCCGGCTCCTGCTCTGGCCGGGAGACCTGATCCTGACCTGCCTTCTCCCACTGCCTAAGGGTGGAAGCAGCTTCCTGTGCTCTCCTCATCACCTCTGTGACTAATGTTCTGGATTGAATTCCCTCTGTTCTAAATTCTCTCAAGTGGTGGTGGTTTTCTAGCCAGACCCATGAGAAGTTAAGCTCAGAGAGGTTCAGCAACCCACCCAAGGGCACACAGCTAGTTAGGGGCACCAGAATGCTTGAGTGCAATCCTGGCTCAAGCTAGCACCTGCCTTCCCACCATTCTCACTTCCCCAAGAGAGACAAGTGGAGGCTTCCTGAGGGCAGCAAGCTTGGAGCTGAGCCTCAAAAGAAGAGTTGGATTCAGCCAGGTGGACCAGGCAGGAGACAGGGTGGTTCCTGTTGGAGGACATAGCACCTGCAAAGGTGTGGAGGGGGCAAATGGTGGGTTTGGAATGGGTACTGAGGCCAAGGGGCTGCAGGGGGGTGAGGCTGCACTGGGGAGGGCTGAGCCTGCAAGGGAGAGCCCCATCTTGGGAGGGTGAGCAGGGCCTGGGCAGGATCTGATTTGTGTTGGAGAAGATGGTTCTGGTTGTGGATGGTGTGGCCTATGGGGCCAAGAGTGGCTCCAGGGAGGCCCTGAGAGGCTGTGGCCTCTGTCCGGGTGAGAGATCACGGTGGCCTGGGCTAGGCTTCTGCATGGAAACTAGGAGAAACTGCAGGTCTAGGAGACAACCATGGTCATTGAAGAAGCATTTGTGGTATAGATAGGGCACTGTGTGGGGTTGAGCTCCTCCAAAATTTGGCATAAAGAAGAAAATCATCAGTCATTTCCAGGGAAGCAGTTAGGGAAGGTTGGGGTGAATGGATGGCTTCCCGGGGCAGGTGTCATCTGACAAGCTTCAGCATTCCCAGCTGCTCACTCATCTGTCTGCACCTGGCGGGTCCTGTCTGCAGATTGTGAGGGAGAGGCAAGCGCGCCCAGGACAGTGGGGAAGGGCACTCCAGGCCGAGGGAGCGGCGTGGGGAAGACCCAGAGGTGGTAAGAGCTTGCTGCATCTGGACAGCAGGGGCGTCCGAGAGCACAGGACCTCAGGTGCATGTGGGCTGGAGGGGCCAAAGAGTTAGTGGCCCAGGCTGAGCCCCAGCTGGATGGGCTCTCTGCTCGGGCTGCTCCTGGCTTTTTATATTTTTTTCTTCCTAGTACTCCTGAAGACCAAGCTGCTTGCAGGGAGGGCCTGACAGCTGCCACTTGGATCTGGGCACTAGGTGGGGTATATTTACCTGCACCTGGGGGCATCAGCCTGTACCCCAACCTGGCTCATACATACCTCCTTTGCTGTGCCCATGAGGAGGGGTGACACAGAGGGAGTACTGAATTGTTTGAATGTCCCGGAGCTTCATGGCTGAGTGTAGATTAGAGGGCCGCCCTGCTTGCCTCTAGCCTCTGTCTGATTTAAACTTTACCTGATCCCTGCAGGGGCAGAGCTCTTCTTCCCATTATGCAGAGGAGGAAGCTGAGGCTTGGGGGCCTCCAGGGACATTCCCAAGGCTCCACAGCATCGCTCTGTCTCCCCCTCGCTGTAGGCAGAAGTTCTCTCTTGAATCCTGTCTTCTCCCCCAGGAAACCTTCCCTGATGATCTAGGGGTGTCCACCATGTCCACTTTCTTCCTCCGGCTCTGATTGGCAGAGCCCCTGAGTGGGGAGAGCCCAGGGGTGTGGGAGGAGCCCAGTTTGGAGTTGGCCACATCTGCTTAGAGTCAGACATGTGCGACCTTAAGGGGTTACTGCCCTTCTCTGAACCTCAGTTTACTCAGCTGAGAAATAGGGATTTCTCACAGGGTGGCTGTGGGACTTGTCCCCCATTCAGAGCTGGGTATCGCTCAGCTTCCTGCCTCCCTCCTGGGATGGTGCTGCTGCCCTTGGTGTTCTTTCACCTGGACCTGATGGGGGTCACAGCCTCCCATGCCCCTTCCTCCCCCAGCCCCACCTCAGCGCTCCAGAAAATCTGCCTAGTCAGGTTTGAATGGGAGAGAGCCAGCCAGCCAGCATGTCTGGGTGGCGAGAAAGGCTATTTTGGGAACAAGCCGGGGAAGGAGTGTTTTGTTTTGTTTGCTCCTCGTGATTACAAGAGGTGGCAGAGTCCTGCTCCTGCTCTTGGGCACCGAGTGAGGTCTGGGTGAGGGCTGGGGAGGGAAGGAGGGATGCACTTCTCTGAGATGGACTGTCAGGCTTCTTGACAACCCGAGGCCACAGGGGTCTGCAGCCTGACCCCATTCCCTCGTCACTGTCAGCTTGGTCCCAAGCAGTATCTGAGGGAGGGGAGTGGGGGCGAGGAGCCTGGAGAAACCAGGCCATTTGGATCTCGACACCAGACTTTTATCTCTAGCTCTGCCACCTGCCCCAGCGCCCGCCCCCCGCCATCCATCTCTGTCCACTGGAACTGTCTCTTTAGCTGACCATCTATCCATGGTGCATTTGTCCGTCCGTCACCCATCTTTCCATTCACTGCCCCCTCTGCAGCCATCCTCTCGCCCATTTATCCGCCCACTCTCTCTAGCCGCCTGCCTCTGCACCCACCCAGCCATCCTCTGGCCCCAGCGGCCCACTGCAGCTGATGCCACAGGGGCTCTGTGCATCTTGAGCTAGGCCCCGGGGTAGCATGGTGAACAAGCCGCTGATCTGCCTTCCCCCACCCAGAGGCTATGAGTAAGCAACCAGTGTGGCATGTAATGCGTGTCTTCGTGGATCTTACAGTATCCTCAGGTGCCTGGAAGGATTAGCACAGGGAACTGCATAGGGACCCACGTGAAAGGCTCCTGGAGAAGGTGACAGTTCAGCTGTGGCCTGAGGGCTACCGCAGAATCTGCCTGTCGCCTACCTGAGGGAAGAGCCTGGCAGGGGGCTTTGAGGTGGGGAGAAGTCTGTTGTCTGGTTGTGGGGATCATCCAGGAAGCCAGAGGGTCTGGAGCTCAGGAAGGGGGTGGGGATGGGTCAGACAACACCAGGGCCTGAGCGGGCAGGGCATCTGCTCATTGGCTGTGGTCCTTGGGAGGCCTGGCAGGGTCTGGCCGCGCTCCGAGGCCAGCGTCCTGTTCAGCAGCTCTGCTCTCTGACCAGGCAGAGCCATCCCCAGATGAAGGGGGCTGAACGCTGCAGGTCACCAGGGCACCCAGCGATCTGGCAGCTTGTGTTTTCCATGTAAGTATTAAAAATGCTCCCCAGAGCCTTCGCTGGATATACAGGCAGAAAATTCAGACAAACTTCAGCTATTCCTCAGTGATTCTTAGTCTTATTTACAGTTTTCTTTTTCCTTAAATAACAGCATCGTCCTTTTCCTAACTGGAAAGCTCTGTTCCTGGGGCAATTGACTTGACAAGGCCCTAGGCAGGGGATGGGGTCAGAGTCCAGGCCGAACACCCACTTGTGTGGCCCATGAGCCACGGACTTGCCCATCCTGGGCCTCTACTTCCCCTGGGTGGAAGAAATGAACACGGGCCTTAGCTCCGGCCCCTTCTGCTCTGAGGCTCTGGGGTTTAGGGACTTGGAATTGGTGAGGTCCCTGGCTACCCCAAGCAAAATTCCTGGGAGGGTGTTGCCCGAGAGCTGAGCTGGCTGGTGGGAGGAGTGAGCTCCGCGTGGGCCTCTGGACAGTGTGGAAGATGGATTTTTTCTTGAGCTGATAATGCCGCCTCGTGTTTGTAGAGCGATTTATGGGTTTTGAAAGCACTTTCCCTTGTGTTGTCTGATTTGCGTTTGAGTATCTATTAAACAAGTGTTTGCATATAGCAGGCAGTGGGAACCAGCTCCAGGCCCTTGGGGTGAGGGAAGGGGTGGGGCTGGACCTGCTCCCCTACAGGGCTCACATTCCCATGAAGCATCTCAGCCACACTCCAGAGCTGTTGGAGAGAACAAGAGGAAAGGCGGCGGGGGTGGTGGGGGAGGTCTCTGTTGGGGGAGTCCTGAGTGCAGACCACTGGAATGATGGACCCAGAAATTGGGCAGAGGCTCACTTGCAGGGGGCTGGGGAGGGACTAGATCAGGCAGGCACTCCAGGTAGGGGACCTCAATTTTGCTTAGGCTTAAGCAAATATGTCACAAAGAAATTTTAGGTACTGTTTTGATTATGTTATGATAAAGCCAAGTGTGTGTAAATATATTCATAACATTTTCTATTCCTGGCCATATATCTGTGGCATCTTATGATAAAATTCATTTAAAAAGAGGGCTCTCGGCCATTTGGAATTTCAGTCTGGAACCAGAGGCTGACAGGGCTGGTGGCATCCGTGATGCTTCTTCAGCCTCACAGTAAAGCCCCTGAGCAGCTGGACTGGGCTTGGTGCTGCACCCTGTCAAATCCACAGCCTGGCAGCATTTGAGGAGTGCTGGGGCGCTGGCATGGGGCAGAAGGGGGGCCCCTACAAGGTGCATCATTGGGGACAGCAGCAAATTGTCAGCACTGCACACGATGCTTGTACGTGCATCAGCCCCTGCCCCGAAGATGGTGAATTCTGACTTCAGGACAGGAGAGGACAGAGCTCTTGTAGGAAGCTGAGACCATGGTCCTGTCCCTGTCTGGCCCCTGCAGGTTCAGGGGCTGAGGGGACCCCAGAATCTAGGCCCTAGGAGCACCCAGAGTGTGCCACATGCCAAGGGGTGCTCCCGCAGCCAGTAGCTGACAGCGTTTGGCTGCACAGTGCTCTGTGTATTTATGGACCCATAAAATATTAAATAATCATCATGCAGCACTTTTTCTCCTGAAAGGCCTTTAAGGTCCGTATTTCCCCCATTCGGAAGGCAGAACAAATAACCATTGAATCAGCCTTCAGCTCCCGGCAGGAGAATCCGGCCCTTAGAGGAGCGCCAGGGCAGGCTGGCGGCCCCCGCCCCCAGAGCATGGGTGGAAGGCCCCTCTGCTTACAGGGAGGGGATGCAGGTGCAAGGCAGAGAGGGAAGGACCCCACATGCATGTCCACAGCCCCCTATATGTGCCTCAGGGTGACCAGGTGTTGCTCCTTAGACACCTTAGCAGAGAACAAGGACACAGAATCCCAGAGCCATGATGGGCTCAGGAGTGAGCACTGAGCTTGGAGTCAGCAGACCTGGAAGAGAATCTGCTTGGAACAAGATCTTGGGAAAACTAGTTCCTAGTCGGCCCTTGTGTGGGATTCAGGGTGGTTGGGGCCACCTGTCTGCTGGGAGGGGAACTCAGTGTCTTGTGGAAGCATTGGGGGTGGGTGTTTTTTACTGTCTCTGCTGTACTATCTCTATAATCTCTGCAAGCTGGGGATCATGTGCCCCAGCTCTTGGGAGCATTGAAAGGAGGACATTTGAGACTTAGGCTAGTAACACAAGGCATTCACAAGATGGGGAAGTTCAGGAGGAGATCAGATTTCAGGTCCTTATGGCTCCAGGCACACAAAGAATGTCAGACAGCCAAGGGTGGGAGGTCAGGTGCTTCTCATTGCAGCAGGGATGATGCTGGTCTCAAAAATGGTGATGGGTGAGTCTCCCTAGGACTTGGACCACAGCATTTGGTACCCACTCCAGATCTGGAGATACTGACTCCAGATCAAAGAGTCCCTTAGAGCAATAGCAGGTAAGGACTTGGGCCAAGGGGCAATACAGCAATCCTGTGTAATTGTGTCGGCGATATTGGCTTTATTTTAGCAATAGCATGATTCCTCCTATTCTCCAACACATGAGAATTTCAACAAATATTTATTTTAAACCCCAACCCCAGTACTCTTCCACTAATTAGTCTTCTTCTGGCAGCAGCTGGGAAGTCAGCCCAATTTGGCCTCCATCCTTGACTCCCATCCATCCGCTACAGAAGGTCCAACACCAGTCTCACCCCACCCCATTCTAGCACAATAGTTGTTGCAGGGGGTTCCTACTTATCCAATTCCACCCTTTAATAGAAAACAATGCTCCAAACCCTCACAGTATGTCTAGGAGCTATCACCACTCTATTCACAGCAATCTGCACCCTGGGTGTGAATGATGATTTTGTCCCCTCCTGTGGCTATTGGGTGGGGAGCCACAGGTGGCCAGGTGTGGTTGCCGTGCCCATCCGTGGTCAGGAGGTGGGATTGTGGTCAGCAGCCTCCACCGGTACCAAGAACAGGAGGATATGTGGGGGCAGGGGGACCCCCACAGGTGGAGGAGCAGTGCTGCATGGGACACATGCTCGTGTTTCTGACTGTGCAGGTTGAATGGATCTTCAAGGTGCCTTCACTCCAGCCCCACCTGGCATATTTTGGGGAACTGCTAGAGGGAATTTCCTAGGCCTTAGGCTTGCAGCTGGGAAGAAGCAGAAGGGGATGGAAAATGCACCCTGACCTGCAGCCCAGTACTCTTCCACATCCACCCTGATAGCCTTGCAGCTGGGAAGAAGCAGAAGGGGGTGGGCTCCCTGACCTGCAGCCCAGTACTCTTCTGCATCCACCTCGATATTCTGGGGCTTTCAGCATTTATAGGAGCAAATATTCTCAGAGTTGGAAGGGGCTCTGAAGGCCACCCGGGCACATTCTGAACCATGGCAACATCACTTCCGGGGGTGTCAAGGGGCTGGTGGCCTCTGCTCCAGAATCCCCGAATGACGATGGCCAGGCTCAGCTCCCTGAAGGCCATGGGGCTGCTGCTTCCCTCCCACATGCTGCCTTCCCCACTGGGCAGAGCACCTGCAGCCACATCTTGGGAAGATTTCTCATTTCTCAGGGGTGTGTGGTTGTCGAAGTTTACTCTGGTGCAGTTGTAAACTTTCCATCTCTATCCGATTCAGTACCAGCCACTGCCTGCACATGAGTCAGATGCTCAGGGACCCTGGAGTGGAGAGGGGATATGGTCCCTGTGTGCACCTTCCTTCCCCATCCTTGGGGTCTACTTCCTCAGGTAAGGGAGGGACAGGGGGATGAGGGAGAGGGGAGAGGAGCAGCAGCCAGACACCCAGGTGCACACAGGGGACCCAGTTCTGCTCAGCTCCTGCCCCCATCCTGAGTGGGCGCCCACCCTCGGGTTCTTTGGTGCTCTGTTCATAATCATAGTAGGTGCTTACTAAAGCACTGTGTGTGCCAGGTCGATGCATGTTCAGGGTGAGATGTGATGGAGGCTCACAGGGATGGGAATGTTGCCAGTAACTCCGAGCTGTGAAGTAACGTGAGTGAGCTAAGGCTCTGCCTGGTTAGCAGAAGGTGCTCCCACCTCACCCCTACAGTCTGTTCTTCAAACAGCAGCCAGCATGATCCCTTGAAAATCCACTCCAGATGCTCTTCTTTGGATCTTACTTGGGGGAGATGAGAAGCCCCAGGAGAGTTTTGAGCCAAGTTCTTCCCACAGCCACAGGCTCCACATGATCTTAACTTGGCTGGCATTCCTGGGAGGCTCTCTTGCCACAGGGCCTTTGCACCTGCCACTTCTCTTTCCCCAGGTAGCTGCCTGGCTTGCTCCCCCACTGCCTTCAGGGAGATGACACAGAAGCGTCTTCCCTTGGTGTCCCTCCCACACCCACCTCTTTCCTTGGGGAGTGCAGAATTCCTGCTCCTCCTTGTCCAAGGAGCCTCTGCTCCAGCATTAATTGCCTTTCGGACAGTACCACTTTGTTCTTTGCCGCATCCCCAGACCCAAGAACATGTTAGGTGCTCAGTAAATATTCCTCAAATGAATGATTGAGGCAGAGAGGTTAAGCAATTTTTTTCCCCCCAGGGTTACACAGCTGAGAATTGATAGGGCTGGGATGGGAAGCCAGGCAGTGCTGCCCTGGAGCCAGACCCTGTTGTCTTGCAGGTACTGGGGAGCCATTGAAGGCTTTTGAGCAGGGGAGTGTATCTGTCGCACAGTGCAGGAGGAAGGGCCCAGGAGTGGGAGTAGACCGGGCATGGAAAGACCGCATCCAGGCATGTGGCTATCTCAGGGGTGGGTGGTAAGGTCCACAGTAGGCAAGGCAGAGGCAGGGACCCAGTGAGGGGCAGCATGTGTGCAAGGCACATCTTGGAGTGACTTTAACCCAACCCGATGATTCTGATTTTGCTAAGTCCTTCCTCATTCTACACCCTCAGTGTCCACTTGCAGCCAGCCCCCAAATCAACGGGTCCAAGCTCATCTCTGGAGCCAACCGGTGCCCCAGGCTTCAGGGCTTACATAATTAAATACACGCTTCTGACGCGCCACTCAGGCCAATTTTCCAGATCTCATCTACTTGAAAATCCTGTCATTTTCCACCAGCTGAGTTACAGTGAAAAAGGATAATTTAACCGGAGTCCATCCATCTTCAGTGAAAGTGAGCAATTCTGGCCCGTCTGTAGTTGAAGTTCCTGAGATATGGAATAAAAGGTGTGGGAGGGGAGGCCACGGCGTCGGGGATGGGGAGAAAGCTCCTCGGAGGATAAATATTAGCTCTGCATCCTTGGGTTGGGTTTAGTTTGGTTTTGAAAGAGTGTTCATAGAAATGAATTATGAAAATCAACAGAAGTAATTTCTTAGGCGTCCAGTGGCTTTCTTCCCCTTTGTATGCTAAGATGATTACCTGTCACAGGGAAAATGTAAGCTGCAGGTTAAAATCCAGGAAAGGCAGTGGGGGGATGGGAATGACACCCCATCCAGCCCAGAGGCTTCACTCCAGCCCTCATCTGCCCACGGCACGTGTCATTGGCGTCCGGTGCTACCCAGTGCCAGCTGACTCTGCCCATAAGAGTCCAGAGGCCTGGTGGTGGGCTCTTTGAGGGCAGGGGCCGCGTCCTTACCCATCTGTCAGCTGGGGAAGAATTTGCTACTGGTTAATCCCACTTGCACCAGGCTCTAGGCCGAGACACAGCTGCTCAGTGACGGGGCTGGCACTGTTGGGTTTTATGATCAATAGTCAGGGACCGGCGAGTTCCTGAATTTGTATGCTGGGCTAGTGGCCCATTCTCAGTCCAGAGGGACAGGAGGCAGGCTGGAGGGCCACGTCAGGGTGACGCGGCAGCCATCACCATCTTGCATGGGTTGTTGCAATAGTCTCCCCTCATTTTAATTGAGGTAGAATACGCTTTACAAAATTAACTATTTTAAAGTGTACAATTTGGTGGCATTTAGGACATTCAGTGTCTTGCAACCATCACCTCTGTGTAGTTCCAAAACAACATCTTATTTTCGGCTCCAAAGTAATACCCCGTCCCCAGTAGCACTCACTCCCATTCTCTCCTCCCCATCCCCTAGCGGCCAGTGATCCACTTTCTGTCTCTGTGGATTTGCCTAGGGTGGACATTTCCTATCAATGGAATCCTGTGCTAGGCAACCTTTCATGTGTGGCTTTCTTCACTGAGCATTAGGTTTTCGAGGCTCTTCCGTGTTGCAATGTGTCCGTACCTCTTTCCTTTTTATGATCACATGATATTGCATTGTAGGGATAAAATTCCAGGTCTTATTTGAAGGAGATGGGTTTTTTCCACCTTTCAGCTAGCGTGCTGCTATGCACATTGGTGGACAAGTGTGTGTTTGGCTCCTGTTTTCCATTTCTTTGGGCATATTCCTAGGAATGGGATTGCTGGGTCATGTGGCAATTCTAGGTTTGACCTTTTGGGAAACCACCACATGACCTTCCACAGCAGCTGCGCCATTTTCAGTCCTGGGGTAGCCACCTGAGAGGGGGTAAGGGCGGAACGGGAGACCTGAGACCTTTTAAGGTGGAAGTGAAGTCCCTTAGGGCTCAGAACTCTGGAAGCTCCTTGTCTTTCTGAGTGAAAGCCAAAGCCCTTACGATGGCCCTGAGACCCTGTGGCTGGGTCCCTGTGACCTCCCTGCCATCACCGCCACCTCCTTTCCAGCTGCACCTGGCCATCCTGGCCTCTATGCCCTCCTCCATCTGGCCAGCATGCAGGTAGGTGTCTCAGGGCCTTTGCATAGCTGTCCCTTAACCACAGGGGTCGCTGCAGGGGAACATGCCGCGTGCACGTCTAGCCATCTGTCCTTCCATATCATTTGTTGTTCATCATGCTGGGCATGCACTGTCTCCCGCCCTGCCCCCTCCCACATGAGAATCTGAGCTGCACAAAGGCAAAGACCTAGTTTTGTTCACTAAGAATCCCACATGTCTACAGCTGTGCCTGGCAAACAGCAGGTCCTCATGGGCTGTTTGTTGAATGGCTGAATGAAGATATGGATGGAGTAGCTTCTGCCATAGACCTCCAACCAACCACCCCCAGGCTCCTGGCAATGGGGAGCCTGGGACCTTCAGAGCTTCTCTACCCTGGCTCCTCCATGCCTTCTTCCCAGTTGCCATCCTGGGCCTGTTCCACCCTGTGGAGTGCTCCCCTAAAAGCCCATGCTCACGGAGCCCAGCCTGAGCCTCTCTGCTCCTGCCTTCCAGCCTCAGACCTGCAGAGCCCCCTGCCGCCAACAGAGGGCGGGAGAGGTCCCTTGTGTAGGGTCTGGGAGCCCAGTGCCCAGATGGACCCAGCCCACCTTTGTGTGCACTGCACACCCCGCCTTGTGCACGAGTTTGGGCTGGCGGCCAGTGTTAGGACAGGGAGCCAGGGGGCCCCATTAGAGATGATAGAGCTTCACACAGTCATTCCTTTTGGGGAGCCACAGCTGGCTGCTTATTGTGTTAAACTGAGAGGTACTGGTTGGTGCTCTCTATGTTTCTGCTATGGGTATTTTGAATCCATTTGTAGGAATTCATGTTTGTTATGACTTATTTCATCTTGCTAGATTCAGGATTTTAAAAGATTTCAAAAGCCTGGAAAGATGGCCAGAACTTTCATCTAAGATAGGATGCATTCATTCATTCATTCAGTCAGTCAGCAAATAGTCCCTGGCATCCCTGTTTTTCCCAGCAATAAAAACATGGTACAGTCCTTTAGGGCACTGTCCATTTACTGGCGGGTTGTACCTCACTGCACTGTGTAAGAGACTGCTTCTGGGTCATTATTCCAAGTCATTGATGAAAAGTATTGCTCGGGTCAAGTCCAAGATAGAGCCCTGGGGCTTGCCCCTGGAGGCCTCCTTCCATGCTGACCTGGCCGCTAGAATCTCTGTTCTGCTTATTTATCAATGTTCAGAAGCCACGGAGCTGACTGTCATCTGCCCGTGATCACATGTCTTCTCTACGGGATACTGGAAGAGACTCAGAAATGAAGGAATTTGGCAATGTGTCCGTTGTTGGTGTTGGGCTTTGCAAAATGGAACCAGCGCACAGCTGGTTGGAGAGGAAGGTGGTTCCATGAGCTCCAAAGAAGGGTGATGCCCACAGTGTTTCCTGAGGGGTGTGACCTTGTGGCTCCTGCTCACAGGCAGGGCTTCCTGGGGAGGTGACATCTAGTTCAGTCTCTGAACACTGGATCCAGTTCCAACTTGACAAGTAGAGGGGCAAGGAGCCTTCTGGGAAAGCAAGCCACTGGTCATGGGGTGAGGGAGCCAGAGAGCACGGACCCTGGGGAAGCTGCCATCATCCCCAGGGAGTGTCTGAGCTTGCTGGGAATGGGTAAGAACAGGATGGGTGTGGGGCACTGGGCTAAGGAGGTGGGGTGCCGTCTCAATAGTGTTGGAGAGTCTTCGGGTTTGGGCTTCTGGCACAGGCAGGGCAGTGTCTGGTCTGAGGCTTGGGAAGCTCCCTCTTGCTGCCCTCTGGGTGGAGGCCAGAGAGCAGGCAGGAGGAGGGGCCAGGCGATGGTGGATTCCTCCTGTGCACCGCTTGGGGCCTTGCACGGGGCAGGTGCTCAGGATGGATGGCTAATTGGCTCCAGGTGCCTTGAGAGCCTTCTGGCTGAAGCTCTCTGCAAAACAAGCCCATGCCAGGCTGCTGGGGCAGGTGCAGGGCTCTAGAGTGTGGGGCATGGGCAGGAGGGAGGGGACTGTCACCTAGCACCTGCTCTGGGCCCTGTGTCAGGCTCAGGGTTTTCAAGAGCACCTTGTCTTGTAGACCTTTCTGCAGCCCTGTGGGGAGGTGGTACCGGCCTCAATGTACAGACAGGGAAGCCGTGGGCTGGAGAAGGTCCCAGTTCTTCCACTGCCTGACTATGCCAACTTCCTCTCCTCCCTACCTGGACCCTGAAGGCCCCTCCCTGGGCCATGCTGAGGGCAGGTGGGCATGGGCAGGCATGGGTGGGCAGCCTCTGCCGTCTAGAACTGAATCCTTGAGTCTAGTGGGCCTTGGGCTCCCTGGGCCGGTCTGAGCCTTTAGAAGGTGAAGGGATCCTGACCCCTTCTTGCAGGTGGGGCTGCTGGGGCCCCGAGATGATGAGGTGCCCTGGGTCTTCCTCGGGCCCACAGCACCTGGAGAATGCCTCCCAGTGCTCCACTCTGGACTCTGGAGCACTTGGTGGGTGCCCCTGCCACAAGGGGCTGTGGTCTATGGCTTGCACTCTCTTTGTTAATTCTGGGACAACAAAAGCCTACACGGTGCGGGAGGGAAGCCACCCCGTGCGTGGGTCTGACACCAGCCTAGGGCTTCTGCAGCCGCCTCGCACCTGGTGCTAACCTCCTGGGGGCTTGGTTGGCTAGCCCATGTCTGTCTGCACTGTGGGCGGGGATGTGGGGGGAGGCACAAATAGATCAGAGATGGCAGCAGCCTCTGGAACAGGGGGTGGACAGCTCCGCGGGGGAGGCAGGGCTCTTGGCAGAGGTGCGCTGGCAGTGCCGGGGCCCAGCGGAGGTGGCCCTGAAGCCCGGTCAGTGCCTGAGTGGGCACTGCTGCAAGGCATGCTGGGATTGTAGCAGCCAGAGGGCAGTGGGAGGCTCTGGGGGGGGGGGACAGGGCAGGAGCACCCCAGGGAGCAGGCTGTCTGGTCTGGTCCCATGCTCCTGAGTGGCCCTGGTTGCAAAACCACCTGTGCTACCCAGGTCCACCGCGTGGGCTCCTAGAACCTCACTTTCCTCATCTCTGAATTGGAAGAAGTGACACCCACCTTAGGGTGTGAATCTGAGCCTCAGAACCCACTCAGTGTTCCCAGCCTATGCAGCGGGAGCCCACCCTGAACCACCTCTGGCTGAAAAACCCTACCCTGGAATATGGTTTCAGCCGTGGGCTGTGATCCATTAATGGGTCATGAAATCAAGTTAGTGGGTCACAGCTAGAATATTAAAAAATGAAACAGAACAGAATGGAATCAGATAATAGAAGAGGAAAAATGGGAGCCCGCTGGAAGGAGAAATGTTCTGAGGACGTTGGTTGAATATCCATGGCTGCCGAGACAGGATGCTAAGGACATTTCTTGCTCTGGGTCAGGTTCAGCCTGTCTGTGTTTGGATGTCCACACTGCCTCCTACAAGCTGCGGACACTGGTTCTTTCCACATCAGTTGGACAGGGATGATGGGGACAATAATGGCACCTACATCCCACAGTGCCTGGAAAGCCCTTCCTGCAATGGGCTTGAGTCTGGCCCTTCCTAGCACAGTAATCAAACCAGAGTTATAGTTATTTCAGCAACAGCTACCAGTTCCTGACTGTGGGTATCGTGGCAGAGGTGGGGACCACAATCACCGCCTTCATGGGGCCCGGATCTAGGCAGACACCACCCCGGGACCAGAGAGCTGGATTCCAGGGCAGGTGTGGGAAGAGCCCCCTCGACTCCCTTCCATGGTGCAGAGGAAGGGGGCTGGGGGCTGTGGCTCAGCTGAACCTGCGGGCCTACCTGAAGGTGGCGGCGGTTGAACCAGGGCTTGTAGATGAGGGAAGAGGCTTTGGCCAGGGGTCCTGGGGAGGAATTTCAGGCACAGACTGGAGTAAGCAGAGGCCCCTGAGACCCCCATGCATCTCAGGGGTGGGGTGGGGGCTGCCAGCAGCGTGGTTAGACTTGAGCCATAGGATGGGAAGCCATGGGCTTGTCCAGGTGACAGCCGCCAGGGGACACCTGTGCCCTGCTGAGGGCCGGCATCATGGCTGTAGCTGTTGACCCAGTGCCAAGCCCTAGGCCCGCCCCTTGGCCTGTGCACGGTGACCTTGGCCCAGGAGGGAAATCTTCAGGATCCGGAACGCTCCTGTGTCCCTCAGTCCCTGCAGCCCCTTCCCCAGTGAGTCCTGGGACCCCTGGGGTTGGTCTTGCTGCAGCTGAGTCCTGAAGGGAGAGGGAGGTTTGATGTCATTTCCTCCGGGGAGCCACCTGGAACCCCCCAGTCCGGGTGAAGGACGTTGGGGAATAGAAATGGCTTGGAGATCCAGACAGGCGGGGGTCGCGGCCAGCAGAGGGTGGAGACCAATGGTGGGGGCTGTTCAGAGGGGACCTGGCTCACTGGCCTTTTGGGTTTTAGGCTGTGACTGAGCCTGGTGCTGGTGTGCAGCCCCTGCTTTGTGGGGCAGTGATGGGAATGGAACAGGGGAGTGAGAATCCCACTTGGCCCATGAGGAAGCCCACGTCCTTTGCAGGCTGGTTTATTCCTTGCCTGGCCAAGGGGGTCAGGCAGGGGGACCACAGGGGCTCATGGGTCTTGGGGCACTGCCTTATCAGATGCAGAGGCTGGGCCTCGGTGGAGGGAGGGGTCCTGAGCGTGGCAGGGGACAGGAGCTATCTGACCATAGGACACGAGTTCTTTTCCTTGGCCACCTACCCCAATCTTGTTCTGCCAACAGCTATGCTTCCTGGGGTTTCCTGAGCAGATGCAACAAAAACACCCCCTGCTGCTCAGGTTCCCCATGGGGGCCGCCACTCTCCCTGGCATCCCCTCTTCCAGAATTTGCTTTAGATGAAGCCACACAAACAGTACTGTCCCCTCCTGCCCTGACCTGAGCAGGCCCTGTGGGGGCTGGAGGGCCCATCCACGGCTCCTTCCCCAGGACTGGGTGCAGGTCTCAGGAGAAGCTGCAGTGGAAGTGGCTGCTCCCCACTGAATCCCTGCATCTGTGCTCTTTGCCTGGGTGTGCCCGGCCAGGTGTGGGAGGAGGAGCCTTCCAGGGCAGTGCGTCCTATTTTGACTCGGGGGTTTCAGGATGACTTCCTGCGGGCAGCCTCCAGGGACTGTCCCCTTGCCAGGCAGAAGCAGGATGTGTGGGAAGGCTTGACATTTTTTGTAAAGCATGCATTTATTGCTTTTGAGCTCATTAAAATTGTGGATTGTTTTTGTTTGAACAAACGAGTGAATTTAAGTTTTTAATTTTATTGCTTTGGTGCCATTTCCAAGTTTTTCTGTAGGGGTAGAATCGTCTTCGTGCAACGACCTCTGGTCCCAGCCATGTTCTTCACCTCTCCCAAGTCTCAGCAGTTGTCTTCGAAGGAGCCACTACATTCGCACAGGCTGCTCTTGGTGGGGAATGAAATTTAGTTGCTTTATAATTTTAGGTGGGGGAAGCGCTGCCCCTGTGTCACACATGTAACTTGGGATTATAGGAGTGGCTGAAGTGGCTAACAGGAGGACACTTCAAAGTCCCTTCTCTGATGCAGAAATCTGTTCTAGACTATCTTGGATGAGTATGCATCTGTCCCTAGCTTGCATACTCCCAGTCATGGGGAGCTCCCTACCTCACCGGGCTATGGCTGGCTGGCTCCTCTTCCTGAGCTGAGGTGGACATCTGTATGGCAGAGCCTGAGAGGAGGCCTGTGCATCACAGAAGCTGAGCTCTGCCAGCCAGGCAGCCCTTCCAGTGACTACTCCCTGAGTGCTCACTCTGTCTTCTGCTGGACACCAGTGTGGCCCAGTCCTCAGCCACACTGCTGCAGTGTCAGGGCAGTTGCATTGGACTCACCAGGGAAAGTCAGCTGGTCCTCCCCCAGGAGGGCAGCCATGTAGCGGGCACGGCAGGGACAAGGGCTCCTAGGGAGAGGAGGCTCAGCGCAGTCAGTGAAGAGGTGGCAGCGAGGTATCCTGGAAATTGGGTGTGTAGCAGAAAGTGCGGGGGGGGGGCAGGCCAGAGCGCTGGGGCAGAGCGGGAGGCCACCAGCTTCTGGAGAGGCCCACCGTGTGCCACACCTTTGCTGGGCATGTGACAGCAGGCTCCGGTCATCGACGCTGTCCACCCTGTTCCACCTCCAAAACAGCAATGGTCATGATGCCCATTTCAGGGGGCTCAGGACTGCTAAGGAGTGCCAGGACCCAGGGCCCCAGGTCCCTCTAGTCATCTGTGCTGGCTTGATTGTCTGGGCTGAGCCCTATGTCCTGCCAGGGTGGGCTCTTGGCTGCAGGCGGGAGAGCGCTGGGATGACTTTTAGGAGGGCAGGATGGGAGCCCCACAGACAGCAGCCCCATGCGGTGAGGGCACCCTGAGAGTGGGTGCTGGGTGCAGCTGCAAGGTATGAATGA